>NC_000004.12:4506520-4813017 GCF_000001405.40 Homo sapiens
GTGTGACCACAAACGGACAGCATGGGAGTTTCTGAAGGGAGATGGAACTGTTCTGCATCCTAATAGGGAAATGGCTATACAAAACACACATACACACACAGGGAGAGAGTACAAGACCCCCCGTGGATGCCTGAAACCAAGGATAGCATTGAACTCTATAGATACTATGTTTTTTCTATACATACATACCTATGATAAAGTTTAATTTACAAATTAGGTAGAGTTAGAGAATAAATGCAATAATAATAAAATAGAAGAATTCTCACAAGTTATGTGAATGTGGTCTCTTTCTCTCCAAGTATCTTATTGTACTGTACTCACCTTTCTTTTTGTGATGAAGTGAGAGGATAAAATTCGAACCACAGTTGACCATGAGTAACTGAAACTGGAAAATTAAACTGTGGATAACATGGGGGATGGGACTATTGTACATAAAATGCTAAAATTCAGAGAACTGTATTAGCAAAAAGGTCAAGCTTACTGTATGCTAATCTACAAATAACACTTAAATTTTTAAAAAGCAGCTCTTCCTAAGCCAGTGCTCAGCAAGGAGAAGGCCATGTTCAGTTGGAGCGCCAAGATCGTGAAGCCCAATGGCAAGAAGCCAGGTGAGTTCCAAAGAATGCTAGCAACACAGTACAAGACGGCATGACACTCCCTCTTGATGCTCAGCAGCAGCTCTCAGTCAGCCATGCAATTATGAGGGTAAACAACCCATACTTTACAGTGTACTATAAAGAGTCCGGCATCTCCCAGGCTCTTCTGGAGCTGGAAAAGAACTCGGACCTCAAGGCTCAGCTCACAGAGCTGAATATTATGGCAGCCAAGGAAATTGAAGTTGGTGGTGGTCAGAAAGCTATCACAATCTTTGTTCCCGTTCCTCCACTGAAATCTTTCCAGAAAATCCAAGTCCGGCTAGTATGCGAACTGGAGAAAAAGTTCAGTGGAAAGCATATTATCTTTATCGCTCAGAGGAGAATTCTGCCTAAGCCAATTCGAAAAAGCCGCACAAAAAATAAGCAAAAGCGTCCCAGGAGTGCACTCTGACAGCTGTGCACGACGCAAGCCTTGAGGACTTGATCTTCCCAAGCGAAATTGTGGGCAAGAGAATTCACGTGAACTGGATGGCAGCCGGCTCATAAAGGTTCGTTTGGACAAAGCCCAGCAGAACAACGTGGAACACAGACTGAAACTTTTTCTGGTGTCTCTAAGAAGCTCACGGGCAAGGATGTTAATTTTGAATTCCCAGAGTTTCAATTGTAAACAAAAATGACTAAATAAAATATATTCACAGTAAAAAAAAAAAAAAAAAAAAAAGTTAAAAAGCGGCAGCTAGCTAGAAAAATATACGAGTTTCCTAGTCCCTTATGTTCTAGCCTAGAAAGGAAGCATTCCGTATTTACTGCCTGCTTACCACTGATCGGTCACCATGCCACAGAGGCGACCTCAGAACAAATGACCTTGGCTATCCTAACACAAAAGTAAAAGGTATTCTGAGTCCAATTATAGGATGTTTTTAACTTCAACACTAGCTGGCCTTCCATCACTGCTCAGGAGAATTATTAATCACTATTAAATAAAATGGATCATGGCTGACACTCCCCCTAGTGCACAGGACACTGAAGTGCCCGTGTGAAAAGCACCTGCTTTTAGGACTTCAACTTAGGGCTCATATCTGAAACCACTGTTACTTTGTTTTTGTTTTTTGTCTGTTCATGGTGTCTTAAGTATGTCATATGTGGACCTCACCACATATCCCCCGTTTTTGCTTCTCTAGAATACAACAACCTATCTCTTTGAACTGTCCCTTCTTGCCTCCCATTTATGGCATATATCCTATATTTCACTTGAGAGGATCCCAAAAATCTGGTGAAAATCTTGTTTTTTTTTGTGTGTTGCACAAAGATTATATATAAAATATACATGAGAAGTTTGTTACTTGGAGACCAGGAGTGCCAGATTCTAAAATGTCAGGATTATTTTGAAGTTAACAAGAAGGAGCTGCTGTGTAACAACAAACAATTTTTTTTCTTCAACTTTTATTTTAAGTTCTGGGGTACATGCGCAGGATGTGCAGGTTTGTTACATAGGTAAACATGTGCCGTGGTGGTTTGCTGCACAGATCATCCCATCACCTAGGTGTTAAGCCCAGCATCCATTAACTACTCTTCCTGATGCTCTCCCTCTCCCTAGTCCCCACTTCGACAGTCCCCAGTGAGTGTTGCTCCCCCACCATGTGTCCATGTGTTCTCATCATTCAGCTCCCACTTATAAGTGAGAACAGGCAGTGTTATAAGGTTTTCTGTTCTTGTGTCAGTTTGCTGAGGATAATGGCTTCCAACTCCATCCATGTCCCTGCAAAGGACATGATCGTGTTCCTTTTTATGGCTGCATAGTATTTCATGGTGTATATGTACTGCATTTTCTCTAGCCAGTCTATCATTGATGGGCATTTAGGTTGATTCCATGTCTTTGCTATTGTGAATAGTGCTGCAGTGAATGTATGCATGCATGTATCTTTACAACAGAATGATTTATATTTCTTTGGATAGATACCCACTAATGGGATTGCTAGGTCAAATGGTATTTCTGCCTCTAGTTATTTGAAGAATTGCCACTGTCTTCCACAATGGTTGAACTAATTTACACTCCCACCAACACTGTAAAAGCATTCCTTTTTGTCTGCAACCTCACCAACATCTGTTGTTTTTTGGCTTTTTAGTAATCGCCATTCTAACTGGCATGAGATGGTATCTCATTGTGGTTTTGATTTGCATTTCTCTAATGATCAGTGATGCTGAGCTTTTTTTCATATGTTTGCTGGCTGCATGTATATCTTCTTTTGAGAAGTGTCTGTTCATGTCCTTTGCCCACTTTTTAAAGGGTTTTTTTTTTCTTGTAAATTTGTTTAAGTTCCTTGTGGACTCTGGATATTAGACCCTTGCCAGGTGGATAGATTACGAAAATTTTCACCCATTCTTGTGACAAAAAGGCTGTCTTGTAACAAAAATTTAACTTGGAGTCGAAAGACCCTAATTTAAATGATCATGGGTTTTGGTTACAATCCAGCCATATTTTAGACAAATAATAATAAGTATAATCAATATATTAAAATCAATAATAAGTGTGTTAACAAAGTATGGTAAGTGGTGAAAGTGTTACGGGACAAAAAGCAAAAGTAATGCAAAGTAAGGGAAATCTAGGAAGAGTGTAGGGAAAAAGGTGAATTCTAATTTTCAACAGGGTGGTCAGGATGAACTTACTGAAAAGATGACATATAAGAAAATGTTTGAAGGAGAAGTAAAAGTTATGCAGGCAGGTATCTCCAGGCAAATACTTAGGGAAAATCATTCCAAGGAGAGGAAACAATAAGTACAAAGGCCCTAAGACAGGTGTGTATCAAGCATGCGTGAAGAACAGCAAGGAGACTGACTGTCTATTAGATACTCAGGTAACAGAAATAATGTCAGGTAGGTAGACAACTATAGATGTTTCTAAGTGTAGGGTTTCAAAGAGGTCTGACCTGGAAATATAAATCTGGGAGTTTCTGGACTACAGAGAATATTTAGAACTAGGGGGCTGCAGGAAATCACCACGCATCGTTTTATGAGCATTTTATAATGGGTGCCTACTATGTGTCAACTGTGTGCAAAGGAGAGAGACACAAAGAGAAACTCAGCTTCACAAAATACTCTGCTAGTTTAATTTTAGTTTAACCAAAGCAATGGAGGAAGGCAGAGGAAGAGAAACACAGATCATCCCCAGTCATAGTTTTTTAAAAAAATTAGTCAAAGAAAGTTAAGAAAAAAAGATTGTGTGTAAAATATAAGTAATCTTAAATCTGGGTCTTAATCTAGGTGATTAACTGCAGGTACCTGCTACATGTCTCAGATCCTCCTTGTCAAGTTATTCATTAACATTCTTTTCATCAATCTGTCCATCAAGAAATCCATGACATGCAATTATTAAAAAGTCAGGAAACAGAGATGCTGGAGAGGCTGTGGAGAAATAGGAACGTTTTTACACTGTTGGTGGGAGTGTAAATTAGTTCAACCATTGTGGAATACAGTGTGGAGATTCCTCAAGGATCTAGAACCAGAAATACCATTTGACCCAGCAATCCCATTACTAGGTGTATACCCAAAGGATTATAAATCATTCTACTATAAAGACACATGCACATGTATGTTTTTTGCAGCACTATTTACAATGGCAAAGACATGGAACGAACCCAAAGGCCCATCAATGATAGACTGGATAAAGCAAATGTGGCACATATACACCGTGGAATACTATGCAACCATAAAAAAGAATGAGATCACGTCCTTTGCAGGGACATGGATGAAGCTGGAAGCCATCATTCTCAGCAAACTAACACAGGAACAGAAAACCAAACACCACTTGTTCTCACTCATAAGTGGGAATTGAACAAGGAGAACACATGGACACAGGGAGGGGAACAACACACACTGGAGCCTGTTGTGGGGTGGAAGACAAGGGGGAGGGAGAGCATTAGGACAAACGCCTAATGCATGCAGGGCTTAAAACCTATATGACGGGTTGACAGGTACAGCAAACCACCATGGCACATGTATACCTATGTAACAAACCTGCACATTCTGCACATGTATCCTAGAACTTAAAGTAAAATTTAAAACATTTAAAAAAAGAAATCCATGCCATGGCTTGAATGTAGGTTGGAAGATGAATCAAAGGTACAATGCATTCTGACAGTTTCAAAGAGGAATGCAGCTTGTCCAGCCTACGCTAATGTGGACTCTCACAGTTCCTTGTGCCAGCAATGCTTTATCAAGGACTTCATATGACAGCTATGTTTTGTTCTATGAAACTGAACACTTGATTTTTATCATAATCATTCCTAAAAATAGTGATTTCATCTCTAATACATGAGTTGAATATTAATCGTAAAACAAATCTTAGGGAGGACAGCATAATTTTGATGCAATCCTAGTAGCAATTTCTGAATAGCCTTTGCTTCAATAGTTTGGAATATGTATTGTTTAGGTACCCAAGGCAGTCTAGAAGTAGCTATTTGAATCTATGTGGTAGGGGAATCAATAGTCCTTCTAAACCTGGGTGATGGCGTATTTGTATACTAGGGCAGCTATAAACTGAAAAATCTTAAATATGGGACTGAAAATACATACAATCACCAAACAACACTCATGATTAGTGTGTGTGTGTGTGTGTGTGTGTGTGTGTGTGTGTGTGTGTGTGTGTATGCCCCTAGGTTAAGGTCCTCTTAAGCATAAACTAATTCTAGCTAGCTTTCCAAAACAGAAGGAGAGGAGATTTGAAAAATACTAAGGTAATGTATGAAGGATGGGTTAAAGTTCAGGTTTTATCAACCTAAGCCCTATTGACATTTTGGGCTGGATAATACTTTGTCTGGGGGCGGAGGTGGGGGTGTTTGTGGGAGAGCTGTACATTGTAGAATGTTTAGCAGCATTCCTGGCCTCTTTCTGCTAGATGCCAGTAGTAGCCCCCTAGCTGTAATAACCAAAAATGTCTCCAGATATTGGCAAATATCCCCTAGAAGCAAAATTGCACGAGCCACTGGTTTAAATGATCAAAAGATGGGAACGGCAAGGATACAGCTAGCCTCTGCAACAACTAAACCAGATATTTAAAACTCCTCTAGAACTCTCTTAACTCCTACTTGTTTTGTCTGCATTTTAGCCTTAATTTTCTCATTGCAGCTCAGCAATGAAAACTGGCCACCAACAGCTCCCGAGCTTTGTTTGCTGAAATCCAGGCCTCTGGACTAAGAATAATTCTTTTTCCTAATTCCAATTAAAAAAAAAAATCTTAGGAAAGGATTCTGATTGGCCTGATTTGAGTCTGGTTGCTACCCCTGGTCCATGACCTAGAGAGTAGAAGATACTATGGAAACACAGCAGCTTGTACTGAAACCACTTGATTGAAGCCAGAGTGGGGATGAGTTCCCAGGAAGAAGGCAGGCACTATTGTTGACAGAAGGGTGGTTTCAGGACCAAGAATAGGTATGTGCCACAATCATCTACTGCTGATTAACAAGCACACCATAGAGCAAACAGCCAGGACATTACCAGTCCTGTATAATACTGAACTAGATTTGCTTTTCTGCATTTGAGGCACGTTTGTGAGTTAGGTACTCTGGGAAGCATGAGTTGGTAAGCAGGTAAGCAGAATACACAATATCTAAGCTTGAAGGCTTTTTCACCAACGTATCTTACAGTGACTTCCTGGATGACACATTTAAGTAACCCACAGATGAAAACTGGGAATATTGTTACTAAATATTGCTCAAAGTTAGACATGGCAAAAAGCTGGCAGTTGGTATGCTTTGTGGGCTATTAATAAAATATACTTTTAACATGCGACTCTGCCTCAGTCAACAGAAGACCATAATTGACCAACCATTGCTCAGTTTGTGGGCTGACAGAAAACCAAATGTTTGCCTTGAAACTCCAACTGGGTTCAAGAATAAAATCCAGGAATATAATAATAATATACATATCAAACGGACATAAGGGTATTCAATTTAGAATTTAAAGAAGGAAGCAGTCTAAGCTGAAAAATTTTAAGACTTCCCAGAGAATGAGAGGAGACAGACACAGGAAATCCTTCCCTGGTTGTCTCTTTAGGAAACCTCAGAAATTCGGTTCTATGTTAAGTAAAGAAGTACCTGTACTTTGAGAGTGGAGATTCTGATAGAGGGGGGGACCCTCGTCTGGCCTGGATCTCAAATCTCAGCTTTGCCTTAGGCAAGCCAGAGCTCATGGGGTTTCCCATTCATCTGGGATCTTCCAGTAGAAGTAGACTCAAGCGCCTGATTACAGCTTTATCCCAGAAGCAGCACCACTTTATCCAGCCAGGAGCCAATCATAACCAAAGGATAGAGAAACAGGTTTGAAGAAGGAAAGGAAAGTGTGGGGGATTTCAACCAACAGAGTCACAGACTGCTTCGTGGAAGTCATCTAATGGTCATGGCCCTCACTGCTCTGTTCTTGGATCTTATGGTTGCTTTTAGAGGCCACATTCCCCGGTGAGCAACATACTCAAATAGACACTACTGTTTTCAAAAGTAGATTATTTAAATGTGACACACTGAAAATCTCTAAAATCAGGTTAGTAAAAATCACACTGCTACATCTTAAACAGATACCCGACAAAACAGCATGGCCAATGAAATCTTTAATGCTGAGTAAAAACTACCCCAGCACTCAATCTTGACAGCAAAGCCAGAGGTCTGGGATATCTCCTTGCTACTGCAGTAATGAATTGCCAGTTGACTGTGATGAGACAATCATAAACTTCTATTTTTTTCTTAAAAAGACTGATGTTCCATCACTGCTTTTATAAATGATGTGATTTCTTCCCCTTTTAACCTGAGGGCAGGGGTGTGATAAAGACACTGACGTCCTTAGCGGGGGTAAGGACATGTAATTACGTTAAGAGTCAATACTGGAGAAAGAACTCGAGAGGGCAGCTTCCATTGCAGGAGAGAATCCAGCCTAAAGGAGACATGACATCAACCACATACTTCAAAATCCACATGGCCAGGACTTGTATATCATGGCTTCACTGTATCAAGCGGCACCTTGAAAGTAGTAAGTATTCAATACTGTTTACTGACTATTTCTGCAAGGCTTCTCCAAGAATCATGAAGAAAAGGATACACGTAGATATATGAATCAGAAAAATGCTTCTCAGTCTTCTCACTGCAGATGGAGAAAGCAGTTCCATAAAAATTGCCATAAGTAAAGCTATCAACTTGTTAAGCACAGCAACAGATAGTGCAGCTTCAATGGAAAATGGAGACTTCATGAATAAAATTCATTCTCTCACTGGTCTCATTAAAAACATTTAAAGTGAGAAATTTTAAAAAGTTCTATCTTTCAGTTATTTCGTTATGGCAAAAAAGAGAGTTATATGTTATTTAGATGTGATTTCTACTAACTTTTAAAAATTCTTCACTCCTACCTTTCAATACTAAGATTCCGAATGGATGATCCACTCTGTCCTCATTTGGTCAACAAGGAGCAAGTGCCTGTCACAAGCCAGGCACTGTGTTTTAAGCAGTAATACAATAGGATAGGATAACATCCATCTAGTCTTTGATCCGAAGGAGCTTACAATCCAGTGAAAGTGGCATAAACAGGTTAATCAGAGAATATAAAATCCAAACCACCAAAGGAGGTACCCATACATTAGGTAATGAAAGCAGGAACTAGGAGGGGCCTCTGGTCTGTGGGAAAAAAAAAAAGACTAGAGAATTCTTTCTTTGGATCAGATAAGGGGGTATATGAGAGAGGATCCAAAGGGTCTCTCAAGTTCCTAGTTAGGAAGACTAATCTTTTGCCTTCTCTATGAAGATCCTAAGAAGCATACAATGGAGGCTAATTATAACAATAGTTCCATAAACTATGGGGACAGGAAGGAGGGAAGGAAATCATATTATCCAAGTTTCACAAGTAAATGTCTCATGAAAACATTCAACATAAGGTACTTGTAATCCTCTTTAAGTTTCACTTTCTCCATATAATTCTCAGAAAGTACATTCATGCAACCAAATAAAACTGCTTCTCTCCCCAATGACAAAGTCCTTAAAAGTTCCAAAGGATAGTGAGACCTAAATGAATAAAACTTTAAAAAATAATAATATAATATACTAGGAATGGTTGTAAAATTTCTAGAAAAATTCATGGTCTAATATGCAATGATTACTTCTAATAAATACCTCAAAACATTTGTTTCCAGTGATAATTGTAATGTGAATAACTGTAAATACTAAATAATGGAAAAAAAGAACTTTGACTACCACATAAGCAGTTCTAAAAATTGTGGTCATCTTTTGTTTGCTTTGTGTTTTAAGAAAAACTTGAATAGCCAAGGTTCCTGGATAAAATTTAAATACTTTGAACTGGCTGTGGTGGTTCATGGTAATTAATTCTCACTTAAAGATTCATCAGATCATAAACTGACTTTATTAAGAGACACGATTTGAAATGGACTTTGAATACTATACACTGTATTTTATACTGGATACCAGTCTGATTAGTAAATGCAATAAAAATGTGTACCTAGAAAAAAACGATAAGACATCTGACAAAAGAGAGACACACGTGCTTTAGCAGTCTACATGTATTTTTGGAGACATTAAGTGTACAACCCAACTGGAAATTACCTATAGTTTTCTAAATTTAAGAGGAAAATAAATTATTTTTTCCTAGCACATAAAAAAGAGTTATAGTCAGCAGCAACATTTTAAAGGCTACTTAAAAAAATACTACTCACTGGTAAAATCCCCTCCCCAACCCCATGCAGTCTTTTCTGCAGTGCAAATTATTGATTTGCAGGCAAGAGTAAGTATTCCGAAAACAGCATCTGATTACAGCATAAGCTATAGCTGATACAAAAGCTTTTGTGATGAGAAAAGGCAGTACCTCAAATCTAAGAAGGTAAAACACCAAGTAGCAAAAATGAATCCTTTAAGAACTATCAAACCAAACAAAAAATAAAATTAGATATAAATTCAACTTTTAGACTGTGGTCAATTGAGGTCTAGACAAAACCCTATGTTTGTTCATTGCCTAGTCTCCAGTCTGCTCCAAGTTTGAAAAGGTAATTGAACACAGTCTATAATTACTGGATTAGACACAGATGGGCTCTGTACATTTCAGGGGGAAAAAAGCACTGTTTTGATTCATTTTATGATTGCCTGTAAGGTCAGACTTTTCAAAATGTACTTTCATCTGTTAAATGGTTTCTCAAATTCCCTGGGGTATATCTTCAATAACTGTGATGTTTTAAGCAATTTGGGCCTATCAGATCCAGTCTTTGAATATAACTAGCTGCCTATTTTCTAGTATTATAAATGTGCATGTAGGTTAATTGCTACATCTCGTACATATTTTCTGAAGTTGCAGTTTTGGAGGAAAAAATTGAAAAATTATGCCTCTTTTCCGACAGGAATTGGCCATATTGATGATTTTCATATAAGAAAAAAATCTTTAGCTTATATACAAAGTCCATGAAAAATATTTTCTAACTGACTCAAGTGAAAAACAGAAACAAGGAAACATCAACATTCTGCATTTAAGTTGTAAGTAAAGTAATCTTAGATACTTGCAACTGAATAATTTATAAAACAATACATTCTTGACTAACGTGCTATGCATTTTTATTTAATAACTATAAATAAATAGGAAATATTTTGTCTGTGCTAACATTAAAACTATTTTCCAATCTAAAAAAAAAGAGAAAAACTCCAAACATAACATTTTGTATCACTTGCAGTAACAATGATGTTGTTATATAACAACATATTATAAATTCATAGTGAAAAACAGTATCTAACTTGGAGAATTCAGTATTTGGTCCCTTCAGTGTAGTACCTATCTTATTTCCAAACATCCCATATTAAAACGATTTATGCAATAGCGCTATACACAAAATTTGTATGAACATTTGTGGCATACTCAGTAGCATCGGTTACAATGCCACAGAGTCTTCTTTGCTTAGTATGCTTTATCACAGAAAGTTGGTTCTCAGGCTTTAGATTTGGTCACGGGAGCTCCCGACTGTATCAAACAATCCTTTGGAAAACAGCTATAGAATTCCCAGGGCTGTTCTGAACCAGCGGTATTGGGGCTCGTCAGTACATTCTTCCCCTGATTCCCACCCACATCATGACATTAGGTGCTTCTGTTTTTTCAAAATCTCCTTTCCAATTATAGCTTCATTTTCTATTCCCAAAATTTACTTCAGTTAGCTACTGTGATACTAAATAGAAACACCCCAACATCAGAAAAATAAAAATAGTAAGACAGTGTAGAATAAAGAATAATCCCAAAAAGTTTGTATATTTTAGGAAGTTGGTTTCTTGTTGGTGTTGTGTTTTCACACAGAAGGAAAAGGGGAATTTACAGTCACATAATTAAAACCTAAGTTGACATTCTTCATAAAGTCACACATGTATGTAGAAAGCTTTATAATTAAAACAAAAAGATTTACAACCATGTTCAAGAAAATCTAGCAATTTTACTAACACTCTTTACAAAATGCATAAACGTGATTTATTTATAACCTCTTCCTGTCATAAAACCAAGGAGTTTCTAAACCACACAGATAATCTTGTGTTTTTAAAAACCACTAATTTCAAAAGAAGATAATATTTTACAGAGACAAATGTTCATATCACTACCTACATGAATATAGCAATCATCATTCCCTTTATAAGTGTTTTTTTTTTCTTTATTTTTTTTTTTTGAGATGGAGTCTCGCTCTGTTGCCCAGGCTGGAGTGTAGGTGTGGTCTTGGCTCACTGCAACCTCCACCTCCTGGGTTCAAGCGATTCTCCTGCCTCAGCCTCCTGAGGAGCTGGGATTACAGGCGCCTGCCACCACGCCTGGCTAATTTTTGTATTTTTAGTAGAGACGAGGTTTCACCATGTTGGCCAGGCTGGTCTCAAACTCCTGACCTTGTGATCCGCCTGCCTTGGCCTCCCAAAGTACTGGGATTACAGGCTTGAGCCACCACACCCGGCCTATATGTGTTCTTATAAAATGTTGCAAATATAATGATCTCGCATGTGCTAAGGAAGTGGCTTTAAAACTTAAATCTATTATAAATGTGTTAAATCTTTATGCAAAATGAACAACTGCCCCAATTTATATTTCAGATATATGTGGATTTTCTTATAACGGTTTGTTAAACGTAAGATATACCTGTATTAAGTGACTAAAAGCACAGAGAACCATGTAAATGTTGTAGAAAATTATTAACAATGTTCGTCCTTACTCTCCTGAGAGCTCATGCACAAAGCCAAGATAATATCAGAATAAGGCATTTGTATAGAAAACTATGACAGAACTTTGGCCTTGTTATTGTGCTGTTTAATTCTTTCTTCGAAAGGGTGTATACAAACTGAGTGCAACAAGCCAATCTAAATGGTAAAACTCCTAAGGGAGGAAAGTTTCTCTAAGTAAATCTATTTGTGAATTTAAATGTGAGTTTCACAGGACTGGTTACCAAAAATTGTGCCTTAATGTAGATTATAAACACATCACTACTTAAGAAAACATAAGGGTTTTTAAAAAAAAGATATACAAGCTATAAATTAATTCCTTCCTCTCTCTTTTCCTTTCTTCCTTAATTTCTTTAATTTCATTTCCAAAGTCACAGAAAACATATCTTAAAAGATTATAAAATAATGAATTTGATATTATCTGCATCAACAACACCCAGTTCTAGCCTAGCTCTAGCTCACAACGGTTTACTTATACACACGTGCACTTTATTTTATGACATTAACGCTCTAAATAAATTGGGAGCTTAAAATCATAAAACTGACTATAAGAAACAAAAGAAAGCCTGGAAAGATTTCTTCTTAGCCTTTCTCGAAAAAGGTCTTTCCCTTTTTAAACAATTTACATGATGTTTTATGGTTCTTTTAGAAGAGAATTGTAGTAAATGGCACTCCAAGTGGGTTGTGTGAACCCACAAACCACTCCTCATAAAAACTGCTATAATTTTCTAGGACAGAGACAATAAAATATCATACATAAGCCAATGCAAAATCACGGTGTGACCACAGTAACAAACACATTATTTTCTTGAAAATTAAGCATGATAAAGCTGACAAAAAGATGACAAAGAGAAAAATCTTGACAGTTTACTCAATATGCTTAACACACAAGCATTTACAGAGTTTTCCACCATTCCCTAAATGACTTGAAATACAGGTGCTAATCTAGGACTGAAGTTTTTATATGTAGTTCATCTATTTTTAATAAGAGATTAAGAAAATTATTAACTTCATCTGTAGCTCAAGGAACACTTTAAATAACCTAATCAATCTATCTAAAGCTACTAACATTTTTGTTTCTAGTCAAATGTTAAGCTTTATGGAAAGTCCTAATGAAATTTTCAGGGAATGCATTTCCCATTTCAGACCACTAGGGACCAATAGGTGCCTTCCATTCCCGAGTCAGTTACTGAACAGTTAATAGAATTAACATGCTGCGAAAATAAGCATGTATTACCTTCTCCCTAATAGAACCAAATCATTAGCTGTAAAACAGCTGAGAAGAACTGAACACTATATAGGCAAAAAAGGGAATGCTCAAATGAGATTTTAAAAGGACGACTAGTTCAAATGGTGTAGTTGTTAAATCATCATCTACTCTGGAAAACTTTCTACTTTCTGTTTCCCCATGGTAGAATTATTGAACAAGAAAATTGAAATACTAAAACCATGCTTTTCTAACTTAAAGGTGGATGAAACTGCAATACCACACTGATACAGAAAAATAAAGCCTGCCTAATACAATTCCCTGTAGCTGATCGCAGCAGTTTATTGCTAAGTCAGGCATGATACTGAAATTAGGATTGGTGAGCCAAGCCAAAATATCTATAAAAGAATATCATTTATCTTATGATGCAGTAATAACAGTAAAACAAAACAGCATTTTCTACTTAAACCTGTTCATAATTACAAATTCCAGTTACAACAAATGATTTAAAATATTTGCAACATTCCTTCACAGTAAAACATTGGAAGAGAATTGAAGTGAAATAAACATGAAGCCCAGAAACAAGCTAACTAGTACAAACCTTAACAGATACATTTTATTGCTTTTCAGACTCTTACATTAAAATGGTTGCTCATAACGAATTATGCTGAAATTAAATAGTATTTTTGCATATAGCTCAAAGATCCCAACTCTTTCCCAATAGGGTGCTGTTAAGGAGTATCTCAAATTCCAGGAGAATATGGCAGTGATTCGATTAAATCTGTTAAGACACTGTACACAGAAATTTGGTCTCCTTCCTTCCACACACACAAAATATAATAAGTGCAATTCTAAAACAGTGAGCTAGAGAACAAAAGTTGAAGACATGAAATGTGAACTCATCAAATCCTTTCACATAAAAATGCACTTTAAATATTTTTGCTTCTATATCAGACTTAAAGGAATAAGATACCTAAAAAGCTATACTATTAGATGTAAAGAACAAATAGCCACTTTTAAATAATGTGCTATTAAAAATGAATTCATTATTCTTGAAGTTAAAGTTTTGTATTATAAAATACATCGTTGTACTTGTTCAGACAGTCTAGCTGGCCTTTGTTTGTGTTTACTGAAAATGCCTTCCATATACTTAAGGCCCCAAACCAAAGCTTCCCAAATGGAATCTGCAGAGAAAAAAAAACACTGATTCCAAAAAGAAGACTGTGCAAACAATACATAGTTCCAAGATAAATAAATGTACTCAAAGCAACAAAACTTCCTCCAGGTTAATCAAAGACTCCTGCCTAGTGAAATATATCTTTCAGAAAACATAAGATGTCCACATGTTTAAGACTTACAATCAAAATGATCTTTAGTATCTAAAAAAATTCATCATCCCAAAAACAACATTGTACAATTTATCTAGTCTTCCAAAAAGACTTGAACAATCTTTGAAGATGAAAAACATTTTCACCACATCCTACAAAATCCCACCTGACTTCATTTACCAAAGACTACTCACCCATCTAACCCACCCCTCCAACCCACTCTACAGCTCTCACTAGACTCTGTTATTTGTCCAATAAAATGCAAAAGTCTGGCAAAATCCTCATAGGCAAAAAGAAAAAGTTACTGAATCTCTTTTGACTCCAAGGCCTGGTTTCCTTTAGGTCCCCTCACTGACATTTCTTTGGCCCCACAGCATGGGGTACAGGCCGATCTGCATGGCTGGCTATACAGACGTATTATGAAGCCTTTACAATTGACCACACAAACACAATACCACAATGTAGGTCAGCTTATGCACTCAAATGCCAAAGTGAAGCTTATAGGGAAGTAAACTACAGACATAAATCTGCAAGGGTAGAATTCCACCCAATGATCCTAAAATTATTTCAAGGAATCAATCTCCAAGTATGCATCATGAAATCAGAAGAGCCCAGTTAAGCTTTTAGAGCGGGGGAGGATAAAGAAGAAAGAAAGAAAATGAAAGACTTAAGAAGAGGCAGCAAAGGTTTCACCAATCATTATATCATTGAGAGGGCTCAAACTACAGATGAAGTTAGAATACAGATGATTGTAGAAAGGGTATTTAAAATTATTAACTGATCAAATATTTGTAGTTGTCATTAAAAAAAAAATACAACTTAGCAATTCAGTTCAGAAAGAAGAATATCCCCAGGAACATACACATCTGTTTAATATTACAAGCCAACTGTCAACATCCTAAGTGAAGTTTTAATTTAATATTTTTTCTTTCTTGATGTTTTACCTTTAATCAATGCCTCATGAGAGTATCAACTTTCTATAAGAAACTGTTAAATATAAAGAAATGTTATTGTAGCATGTTTATAAAATCATAGTTCGAGAACTTTTTATTTTTCCAAAGCCTGACCACAACTTAATTATCTGCAGGACATTCCAGGCTCACAATTGCAAGCTCCAGTTCCCAAGCAATTTTAAACAATATCTACTGTACAGGACAGAGGGTACACAAAAGACCGCAACATGGTTATATTTCCAAAAGTCAGCATTAGGCCCTTTAGACATGGTTTTTATTTTCATTAAACAATATTTGTTTCCTCACTAATCATTAAATGGTTTTCATCACTATTGCCTGCTTTCCTTTCACATGTCAGTTGTTAGCATCAGTGTTTGTGTTCATAATAAATATAAAAGTAATCCACCCCATCATTTAAAAATGAACACACACGACGTCTGGTTCAATGAGTGTTAAGAGACTTAGCAATATACTCACACCCTGAATACTGATCTATTTTAATCTAGACACTTAAAAAAACGTAATGGAGTAATAGACTATACAGCCCTCTCCTTTAAATCAGATTTAAGCTTCGTGCCTGCTTATGTTATTGTGGGCACACAGATCTAATCAGTGGTTCAAGACATTTACTTGGGAAAATGAAAGAAGAAGACAGTAAGTTCATATCCCTGACCATAATGGGGAGGAGTTGAGAATATTGCCAATTCCTTTAGATGCATGAGAAAACTAGCCTGATTAAAAGTAACACACTAGAAACTGACCGAAATGTGGAGGAGCAACTCACAGAGCACTCCAGAACTTTAGGAATAATTCTGAGAAAGTAAATTTTAAAAATAAATAAAAGCTGTATGCTATAAAGTATTAGGAACAATAAAAAATATGTGAAGTGTGGAAGAAACAAAGAAAAGTATAACAAAGTCAGAGGTAAAATTAATCATCAGTAGAAAAAAATAATCCAGCAAATAATCTGGAAAACCTTCAAGAAGTCAAGATACTTGCATTGTTGCATTGGAACTAGCAGAGTTTCCAGAAAATCAAATTATTTAAGTACAAATAAACTAATTTTGGATTTCAGATTAACTGGCCAGCAGCTATGTGAGTGCAGAGAGACAGAAATGTACAAACACATGTGTTTACTGGCGTATGTGTTTATCAAACATTCTATAGCACTTCTTATGTGCTAAGCACTTTCAAGGTGCTTTACTCAAATTAATTCTCCAAAATTAGGTACTACTTTATTCCCATTACATAGATGAGGAAATGAGGTTAAATATTTTATCCACAGATCAGTTGCAGGAGGTGGTAGAGCCCAGAGTCCATGCTCTTAACCATCATGGCACAAATCATTCCAGGTGACATTACCTCTAATCCAAGTAAAAACAAGCTTATTACTTGGAGGGATCCACAGGCCTACGTTCTCCATAGCTGCCTCCTCAGACTTCTTATTCTCTGCTGGCTTCTCAAATGTAGTCTTTTCCCAGGGACTACTCTGAGGCCCTCTTTTCTTCTGACTTGAAATTCCCCTTGGGTGATCCCACTCTTTCCTCAAGGCTTCAATCTCCATTTACATTCTGATGTCTTTTCCAGTCTAAATTCCTGGCTTAGAAATCTTTCCTCCAGTACATTTCTATATTTACAACTGCCTGGGAAACGTGTCCCTTGGGTGTTCAGCAGGCACCTCAAGTAACTACAAACCTGAACTCATCTTAACTACCTACCTATCACAATGAAAACCTCAAAGTCATCTATAACCACTGATTCACATCTCCTACATTGAACAAGTCCCAGCTCTTCTCAAATATATCGAGTCTACTCCCTAGCTCTATAGTAACGAGCTGAGTTCAGGTCCTTGCTGTATCTTGACTAGACTTGATTACTGCAACAGCTCAACTGGTCCTCCTCCTTGCTGCCAGTCCTTCTCACCTCTGCCGAATCCACCAACTGCCAGCAGAATGATCTTTCTCAAATACATACCTAACCACATTAGTCCCCTACTGAAAACTTTTTCTAGTGCACCATGGCCTTCGAGATAATGCCATTCCTCTCCCATTCTAGGGGAATCTCTTTTTACCCTTCAAGGCTTAACTCAAAACTCACCTCTCCTGTTATGCCCTCTCCCTTTAACCCCTCCCACTGAGTTCTTCACTTCCACCTGTGTCCACAGACACTTTGATAGCAGCACTTATTAGAACATGCTTTAGTTATGTGCCTCTAAGTCTATTTTTTTCCCTAGATTATGTGTTTCTCAAAGTCAGACATTGTCTCACTCACGTTTGTACACCTAATACCTAACCTAGTTGTATGCCTGGCATATAGTTGGTGCTTAACAGTAAGTGACTATGAGTAAGTGAATAAATAATTCATTCTCAGAGATACCTTCAGTTCAAAGTGGTATTTATAATGCCTAAAGCAGAGTGAATGGGCACAATTTTGAATGCAATGTACATCTCTTGTTGGCCACCCCCATGCATTGCTCCCCTCCTTCTGGGAACAGCTCCCCAAATTTCCTTTGGAAACAATTCGTCCCTGATTCTCAGCCAAATGTATTGGGTGGAAGTAACATACTGCATCAGATGCAGAGCTGGGTCCTAAATGGACCAAGCTAGGCAGTATATCCTTTTAGTGGCAACAGGAGTGGATTGAGGATAAGAATATCACTCAATTTGAGCCAGTAAGAGAAAGTGAAACCCAGTCAAGCAAAGAGCCTCTCTCTTCCTCCAGAGGGGGCATTATGAGAAAGTGAGGCCTGCAAGTGCTGCAGCTCAGTGGCTGCCACAAAGCAAGGGCGTTAGAGGCGCCTTAAAGGCGCCAACACTGTGTGTGCAAGGCAGAACAGAGGGAGTAAGAAAAACCAGGCCTGTGGTGACACTGTTTGGTTCACCGAGTCCAGCCATGCCAGAGGTTAAGTCATACCACTAGACTTTTCAGTGATATAAATCAATAAATTCCTTTGATCACTTAAGCTAATTTGTGTTGGATTCTCTGTAACTTATAACCTTAGTAAGACTTCTGATAAAGCAAGTTAGTGTTTATGGGAAGAAAATCAAGCCACACATTTGAAGAAATGTACAGAAAAAGGAGACAAACAGGGAGAGGGTGAGAGTGGACCGCAAATTAAATTTGATAGGATACGAAGAAAAGAAAAGAAAAGAAAAGAAGCTAACAAGGTACAACACAAAATAGAAGAATGAGATTCCAGATGTGGAAGGAAAGCTTTCCATTCCAGACAGCATCAGTCAGGCCCACATAGGGGTATCCTGTGGTACATTTATGAAAAGAATAAAGTTTTATAAAGAGCTAGAAAAAGAAATTTTAAAAGTAACCAATGTTTCTTTTTGAAAAGGCCTTTATGAGAAAAAAGAAAAGACTTTGGGATAATTTAATCTGGAGAAAGCAAATCCTAGAGGCAATTTAACTTGTTGAAGGGTTATTTATAAGGAGGTGACTAAACAGCTGTTCTCCAATTTCACAGGGAAAAGAATGAGAGGAAATTGATTTAAATTTCAGTATGAAGCTCAAGGCAGGCAAAGGAGAAGTGCTTGAGGGAGAACTGTTAATGATGAAAAAAACTAAATGGAAAACTGGATTTTTATGGCTTTTAAAAGATGGAAAATTACCTGTGTTGATTCATTTAGTTTGGGGGTAAAACTACTAAACAAATATTTGAGGTGTGCCTTCTGTTCATTTATTCAAATGCCATGTATGAATCCCTACTATGGGCCAGATGCTCTGCAAGGCACTAGGAATACAAAGACCAAGAAGATATGGTGTCTGTTCTGTCTAAAGGCTGTATTACTGGGTACAAGAGCCACTGTGCTAAATACAAAGAAGCATGAAAATAGAGTCCTGCTCTCTCCTTTTCCATCCCCTGTGCCCAATATAAGCCCACAAATAAACAATATCATTTGAGAGATAACACAATCGCAGCTGAAAGGTTAAGTGACAATGTTATTACTAGATAAAAACACAAAATAATAAGGCAAGGGATGTCACAAGCCATACATATTTCCATAGTAAGAATACAGGCAGCAAATGCTTTCAATTCAAGAGGAGACTAGTATAGGCTAGAATGTGCCTTTCAAGATCAATGGAATTTGAGAAAGTGAAGGAGAGCAAGCAGTCCAGGCAAGAGAAATAGCAGGAGCCAAGGAAGGAGGCAAGAAGCTGAGGGGACTGCTAACAGAGCAGCATGGTGAAAACTGGTGGGATGATGGGGGAAGTGTGGGGTTTAACACTGGAGGTGGGTAGGCTAGCTTTATAAAGACCAAATATCTGAGAATCTTTGCGTGGAGAATGAGCGGTACTGAGCGCTTCTGAGCCAAAGTAATGATGAAAGCAACATCTTCCGTGCAGTGGCTTAGCTTGGAGAGGGACTGAGGGCTCACCGTTACTGTGTCAGCTCAGGCACAAGATGGTAGGAGTCTGAACTCCTATGGTAGCAGCAGAATGGATGAGACGGAGAGAAAGTGCAGGTGCTTATTCACTTAATTGATTTCCAAATACTATGTACTGAACTGTGCTCTGTGCTGTGAGGGGAGTGGAACACAGTGTCTATCTTCTTGGGCTTGGTAATTAACTGGATAGAGGACAGGAAAAGGGAGAATGACAGATGTAACTGCAAAAATGGCAGTCAGGGTGGAGGAGCTCTCTGGTGAGTTCGAATTCCTAAATTTTTATTTACACAAGCTGGAACAACAACAAAACGTCAAAATGTAAACAGGAAAACCAATCCTCCCAATATACGACTTCATGTGCACCATGGAAGATGCTGATTTTATCGCAGTTGAGTCAACGGGAAAGTATAGAAGCAAATATGCTTGTACTGGTTGAACTGTACCAAGTAATGAATATTTGAAAAGACTTCTGAAGCCAGGCATGGTGGTGTACATGCATAATCCCAGCTACTCAGAAGGCTGAGGCAGGAGGACGCTTGAGCCCAAGAGTTTGAGGTCAGCCTGGGCAACATAGTGAGACTCTATCTCCAAAAAAAAAATTGAAAAAATAAAAAAAGGCTTCAAAGATAACAAGTAAGGTATTTTTTTAGGACTGAAATGTTTCCAGATTTCATCTTTTGACATAAGTGAGATATATTCACAGATTTTCAATCATTTACCCACAGATAGGTATTTAGAAGCTTTCAGGAAATTCATCACCTCTCCTTGATAGCTCTTCTTTTTCTTCCTTCTCTTAATTTAATTTTGATTTAACTTCCTCTTGTCATTGCTTGCTTACAAATCACTGCCTCTGTGTCTGGAGCCAATTGGGGCTGTAAAGTACCCCACGACGCCTTCATCTGGGGACCTATTTATATATATTTTCTTATTTCAAGAGGTAGAGCTAGCCTGTAACTCCAAAAGTTTCCAATCAACCATCACATTCTATTCTTTGGAAAAATATGCTTCTCTCCACAGTTAAGATGACATCAAACTACATATTTTGCAAGAATATTTCCTTTCTACCTGTATAAAGATGAATTGTGCTTTGGGAATTCACTCACAAAAAAAGGGTTGAGTGTGGGTAATAAATGCTTAATAGCAATAACATTTTTTAAAACTTTCTACCAGTTAAAATTAAATGTAATTTCCTTATTACTTTAATGGAAACTTTTGGAGTTGAAGTATTTAACTAGTCTCTTTTACATCAAGTGTTCATTATATAATTCCCTTTTAATATTAGGTATGTAAACTGTCCATTGACAGAATAAAAACACACATTTCCACTGAAACAAAAACTGGAGAAGGACAAGGCAGCTTGATTCAGGATCTGATAATGGGTTACAGATTCCATTTCAGTTCAGATTTGCAGTCAACATGCCACAGAGTCATTTACCAGGTCATATTTGGAGGGAAAGTATGAACTGCCACGTCACTGAGAGAAAAATCTGTGTGAGCCTAAAATACTTGACTTTTCCCACTGTAATGCTGAGCCTAAGGAAGAAAGATAGAGAAAAAAATTATATATATATAATTTTATATATATATATGTTTTTATATATATATAATTTTATATATATATGTCTTTATATATATATACACACACACACACACATATATATATATATTAAAAACTACCTTAAATTAAAAGGCAGTGATGATTTGGCCCAAGTTCTGGGCATGGGGAAGACATCCCTTAGCCACTGTCTTTCAGGGTCACCCTGAGTGAGGCTGCAATGCTGCCTTGTCCATTGCTGGCTGGTACTAGCCTACTGGCTAAATCATCCTAACCCCCAGGATGCTAGACTTACACAGCGGAAAAATTCTAGAGCTGGTGGGCAGACACCTAACCTGAGTCATGGGCTGTGGATGCAAAGCTTCTACCCAGTTCCCAAGCCAACTCCTCTTTTCCAGCCTTCCCATCTCCTGCTGGAGCCTCCCATTAGTTGACCCCTATCAGAAGCCAGGGGGCAAGGAAACCCCACTATGCAGCCCATAAAGATCAGCCTCTTGATGTGATCCCCAATATTGGAGGGGGGGCCTGCTGGGAGGTGTTGGATCATGAGGGTTGATCCCTCATGAATGGCTTAGCGCTGTCCCCTTGGTGATAAGTGAATTCTTGCTCAGTTCACACAAGATCTGCTTGTTTAAAAGAGTCTGGGACCTCCCCCTTCTCTCTTCTTGTTCTCTCTCACCATGTGACACTCTTGCTCCCCCTTCACCTCCTGCCATGATTGTGAGCTTCCTGAGGCTTCACAAAAGCAGATGCCGATGCCATGCTTCTCGTACAGTCTGCAGAATCATAAGCCAAAATTAACCTCTTTTCGTTATAAATTACCCAGCTCCAGGTATTCCTTTATGGCAATGCAAAAAATGAACTAATACAGGTTGTGTGGCTAAACTGCATCTTTCGGATTGAGGCCCCCAGGTACTAGGAGAACTGCCTGCTGCTGGCTCACAGCCGAGTGTGTCTCAAGCAGCAGGAAGGTGCCTCACCCAACACTAGGGCCCTTCCCTGGGAGAAGCCCACAGACAATGGCTGGCCAATGCAGTGGTTAAAAAGCCCTGGCCCTTTGCCTCAATTGGGCAATTCTAAAAAGCCATCTCAGCTCCAGAGATCTCCACGGAACTGACCATTTAATGAACAAATAAAATCAAAAACTGGTATCCCAACAACAGAAAAGGGAATTACAATTTTTTTTCAAATGTCTATAATCCATAAATTGGGTCTCCTTCCCTCTCAATGATTTTACTAACTAAAACCACAAATCCTTTTCTCTTTTCCCCAAAAGCAAACCACAACACTTATCTTTAAGAAACGCATGGTTGGCCAGGTATGGTGGCTCACACCTGTAATCCCAGCACTTTCGGAGGCTGAGACGGGCGGATCACGAGGTCAGGAGATCGAGACTATCCTGGCTAACACGGTGAAACCCTGTCTCTACTAAAAATACACAAATTAGCCGGGAATGGTGGCTGGTGCCTGTAGTCCCAGCTGCTCAGGAGGCTGAGGCACGAGAATGGAGTGAACCAGGGAGGCGGAGCTTGCAGTGAATCAAGATCGCGCCACTGCACTCCAGCCTGGGCGAGACTCCGTCTCAAAAAAAAGAAAGAAAAGAAATGCACGGTCACAAGGTAATTGTTGATTAAAAGAAAAAGGTTGGTTTGGAAGCAGCCATATTTCCCCAAAAGTTAGTCAAGCACTTTCAAATATATAATGTATGCACCAAAATATGCTCCTAAAGACAGCAGATGATGTGATAACATACTAAAGAGCAAATCCCCAGAGGCGTGGTCTGTGGAATGCCAAGTGGAGCACAGTTCCCAGCCTGGGACACACTTGCCACAGGACACCTGTGCATGCCCAAGAGCTGGGGAGGCAGCAGGCAACCGGAGAAGCACAGCACACACGTGCCAGGACTACTCATCTCACAGCACCAGGGACGTCATCTTGGGAGATAGCTTACCCTTCTGAACCTCGGTTTCTTCATGAATAAAGGAGCCTAACTTGAAAGGATAGTCAAATAAATTATAAAGCTTTTACCACAGGGCCAGGTACAGTAGGTGCTCAACAAGTGGTAGCCATTATTATCATTTATTATGCTTTAGAATAACAACCAGAAACTAAGACATCAATGCAACATTTGTGGATGATTTTCTCATATAGATTAAGAAAGTCTGGATTGGAAATCCAGCTGAGTTACAGGAAAATTACTCCCTTTACAAAAGATTTTACCACAGACTTCCTTTAAATAGCCCCCACCCCTCCACTGCACATTTAATATAGAATTAGATATTGCTTGCTCATAACATTTTTCTAATCAAAAGCTATTAATTCTCCATTTCCTACCACAGCAAATAAAAACTCATCTGCCAGGAGTTTTACTTGTTCTGTTTTGCTTTTCATTTCAAAAGTAAATGTGCTCATTAAAGAAATTCTGGATGATAGAAGCAGAAAAATAAATCACCCAAGTCCCATCACTCAGAAAAAGCCATGGTTAACATTTTGGTGAGTTCCCTTCCAGTCATTTCCATGCCTAGAGTTTTTTGGGTTTGCATACATAGTTTTAATTGTAATTGGTTTGGGTAGTTATTTTTTTAAGCTAACATAATAATATAAGCATATATTAATTATATATAATAATATATAATTCTCATGTCATGACATACTCTTCAGTATGTCACATTTACCTAACAATTTCTCTATACTTGGGAATAATGCTGTAGTGTCTCTATGTAAGGTACTTGTGACAGCTGCCATCACCATCATCATCAAAATCATTATTATTGTATTATTAAGGCTGCTGCTGTTCTGTGAACATTTCTAAGGCTTTGTGAAAAAAAGAAAAGAAAAGAAACACTGCTGCTGCAAACTTTGTTTTGTTTTGTTTTTCCTAGCTGGAGTGCAATAGCACAATCTTGGATCACTGCAACCTCTGCTTCCCGGGTTCAAGCAATCCTCCCACCTCAGCCTCCCGGGTAGCTGAGATTACAGGTGTGTGCCAAAGCGGCAGGCTAATTTTTGTATTTTTTTATAGCGATGAGATTTTGCCATGTTGCCCAGGCTGGTCTTGAATTCCTAAGCTCAAGCGATCCACCCACCTCAGCCTCCCAAAGTACTGGGATTACAGGCATGAGCCACCATACCCGGTCAAACTTTTAAAACTCAGAAAGACTTCCCACTTCTACAAAGTATGTCAACATTCATCTTCATTTTCTTCAGTTTTGTTTTTACAGTTAAATCTTTAGTCCATCTAGAAATTTATTTTAATGTATGTATGAAACAAGGAACTAAAAATTTATTTTTTTCCCAAAGTGCTAACCAATTACCGCCAATCACTGAATAAATCTTCCTTTTCTTACTGATTTACAACACATCCTTTGGCATGGATAAAATTTACACACACACACACACACACACACCCTGGACTAATGGGTTTCACTAAAAAATTCATATATGCATATATTATTTTTTGGTGTAAAATGTTTTGGTATATATGCTGCCAAAGTGAGCATTAAAGTAATAATTGCTGTGTTGACAACACTTTTTCTTCACTTCCAGGTACACAATACGTGTTTCTATTTATCCAAATCTTCTGTATCTGTCTACAAAATTTTGCAGTTTGCTTCAACTAGGTCATTTACATTTCTTTTTAAGGTTATTACTAGAAACTCTTTTTGTTGCTACTATAAATGTTTCGTTATATTCTAAATGGTTATTAATTAAATATAGGATCGCCATTGATGTTTGCCCACTAATGTTATACAATGGCTCTCGAGGCCTCTGTAATCAGGCCACAGCACCTCCCCGTTTCACACTGCTGAGTAAGAAGCCCCCACTGGCCTTGTTACGCTGGTTTCCTTACTGTCACTGAGCACACCAGGCTCATGTTCACCATCCATCCACTTGACTTGCTCTTCAAGGATCTGCTCCCAGGTCAAAGCTTTCCTAAGTAGACTGCCTCTAATTACATGCCTTTTTCTATACTCATCCAGAACTGGTAATAAGTCCTAAAACATTTAATACTTTCAAATAATATAGCAATAATTTTCCTTTTATCAATACTAGAACATTCAATTTTTTACATTTGAGAAAAGATTAAACAAAAAACAAACTACATTTTTTGTCTTTTTAAGAGGCTATGATAAATTTGAAACAAATTTGGTAAAAATATACTGTTTGCTTAAAATACTAATAAACTAGAAGCAGCCTAAATAGCTTTCAACAGGGGTTCAGATAAATCAATTATTTATTACTATTTTTAATAGCTATGCAGCCAAATAAACTGGTGGTAAGAGCAATACATACTGATATTTAAAAATTTCCAAAATACATTGTTTTCTACAATACTGTTATGTAACCCCTCTCTACTCCCCCAAGGAAGAGGGGAGGGCATATGGAGAGGGATTACATAACCGTATTGTAGAAGAATCTTGATTTTATTTAACAGAAAAAATGTTTGGAAAGTTAAACACCAGAATTTTAACTATGGCTATTTCCTGACACTGGTACTAAATGTGAACTATTTTCTTCTTTATTCTGTTTAATGAGCACTTACTAATTTTATAATCAGATTTTAAAATAGTCAACTTCAAAAATGTGCCCTGCTAATAAAATTCCATTATAAAATTATATCACCACTTTTAAATCAAATACATTTGTGAAAACACACCAAAAATGCTAACTTTGAAAACAACAACAACAACAACAAACCAAAACAAAAAAAAAACCTCACTCTTTCAGAGACTCAGGGAAAATATCACAAGGTAATGGGCAGTTATCACTGCAAAAAGTATTTAAAAATACATCCTGGGACTTTCAGATAAAGAGTACTGAGTCATGCAACCATCTCATTGAAAAGGTCCTTATGGATTATCTAGTCAAAACCTCTCATTAAAAAAATCAGAAGAGTGACACCCAGAGAGGTTAGGTGAGTTCTCCAAGATCACATAGTAAGCTATTGGCAAAGGCCAAAAGTATTTACAATTCGAAACGTACACTTTTTAATTCCTTTCTCAATTCCTCTGAGTTAAGATATGCTGTAGCCTGTTACTTCTGCTAAGACTATAGAATTCACTGCTGGAGAAAATGTCCAAGAAAAGGCAAGTGTTCATTTCACCAGAGTTTTCTTATCATTTGACTACAAATTAGATAGAAATGTTACAATATTGTGAAATGGAAGTGTCTCTCTCTTGGTTAAATACAGCTTACAAATTCCATGGTAAGAACATTTTGACAAACAGACATATGTTAGATGGTGATAAGTAGAAGCTGGCAAACTTTAGTATTCATAGTCTTTGAGGATCTGAAAGTCTGTAACAAAGAAAAAAGTATTGCCGGGTTTAAAATTTCAACTGTGCTGCAAGCTTTCCATATCTGAGTTATTGGGTTCATTCAATATATCATACTTTCATTCCTCTGGTTTATTCACTTTCTTTTAGAGGAGTTTTGAAGTTGCCTCTTTTTAAGTCAATATTAAATGTAATACGCTTTAAACATAAAATGGTTTTCATACCATAAGCCATAATTAACATGTGTAGACTTCACTGATACTTTACCCACCAGAGGGAGTCCATGTGGATTTCCATGTAGTAAGAGACGTCAAACATCAAGTTTACATGAATTCAACAACCACATTATTCATAATACAATCAATATTATAAAATCACTCAATAATATATTTCTATCCCCTGAAAAAGAGAAAAATTAAATGAGATCGGGCACATAAAGTCCTTAACCGAGTTCCTGACCTATAGCAGAAGCTCAAAAATGACTGAGTTTCCAAAATCTGTATTCTTCTGCACATTAGTTACAGTGCTTACAACAAATTAACTGGTATTCTGACTTACACACAAGTTGACGTGAGCTTGGCTGATATCTGCCCTAACAGATGGCTCTAGCCTCAATATGTAGAAAAATCTGGTTCTTGGGCCTCCAAAATGAAGCCAGCCCCTGATGGGAAGAATTCACTAAAAACGTCACACTGAGAAGACGTGTTTCTGCAGCCCTACCCTAGTAGGTGAGACACATAATAATTGGTCAACTGCCAACTCAAAAGTGAGGAAAGAGGGAACTCTTTGACACACTCCAGATTCTTCATGGAATGCAGGAGAAAATGAATCAACTATCCCTGAGAATCATGCTTCTACAACATGTGATATAATCATTAACCCCAAGATGAGTTTCATTCAAGAATAAAGAAAGCAGAACTGAGAATAACAGGAGAGAACCTGGCATCCACACGGGCCATCCTAAGTTTCTACCTCCTTGTACTTCTCGCCACCATAAGTCCCAGCCTAGTGATGGCCGTATTGCTGAGACAGGTCTCAATCTCCATGCAACTGGCTGGGCATAGGTACATAGGCACTGGGTATCTATTTTGTACTCAACTGTCTCCAAGGTCTAAATGTGGCAAAGCTGAAGGACCCCATTGAGTTCCTCAATCCAGGTTTATCAGTAAGCACTGCTGCTGGGGAGTTATCCACCACATGCTGTCTTAATAAAACTCCAGTGTCCATGGGCTCCTTGGATCTATTCTCTACTATTTAGAATTAAGAAGAAGGCATGAATAACTGGCACTCAACTCTAACCCTGAAAACTCTGTTATTGTAATCTTCTACCATTTAACTTTTCAACCAGAAAGCTGGAAATTATTCTACCTCCTCCTCTTTCTATTTCCACTAATTAGTTACTAAGTTTTACTAAGTTTGTTGAGCCTACCTACTAAATACTAAATACCTACTTCATCTATTTTTCTCCCATCCAACCCTACTGTCACCGGCTCCTCAGTTTCACCTGAATTACTGCAACAGCATCCTGCTTAGCTCTCCATGTCAGTCTTGTTACATTCCAAACCCATCATCAACACTGCGGATTAGTTTAAAATACAAACATGATCCTTTCGTGCCTCTGCCGCATAGCCCAGAGCATAAAGTACAAACTCCTCAGCACTGCTAACAACGCTCTCATCTAAGAGTTGGCAAACTTTTTCTCTAAAGGGTCATACAGTAAATATTTTAAGTTTTGCAGGCCTCTGCAGGCTATCGCTCTGCTGCTACAGCATGAAAGCATTCTTGGCCTATATTTAAACAAATGAAAATGACATATTCCAATAAAACTTTATTTACACAACTAGGCAGTGGGCCGGATTTGGCCTGTGGGCCAGTTTGTGGACCCCTGCTCTAACCTACTTCAGTACAACCTCACCCCCTGACACTCTGACCCTCACCCGGGCCTCCTCCAGAAAAGGGCTCTAGTCACACCAGTCTTGCCTCTGGCCCCAAACTGCCCTACTGTTGTGTGCCACTGCCTTTGCTCACACCCATCCCTTCTACCTACGTCTGGTGGAATGGTTTTTCTCCTTAAAAGCCAAGTTTGATGATCACTTTGAGGTTTCCACTGATTCTCCCCTAAAGAGATTTAGGTATCCTTTATCTATCTTTTCAAAGAACAGGTTAATATGCCTCATAGTTTTTTTATGGCCCCACAATGCCTGACACACCAGATGTTCAGTGTTTATTGGATGATGGTATAAATCAATTATTGAATAAATACATTTCAAAACTTACAGTCCTCCTAAGTCTTGGGCAAAATTCAGAAGTGTAATCCACACAAAGGACTCACAATCTCATGAAAACTCTGCAGTGCTGAGCTCTCCTTATAGTACACACTCAGTTATTGCAATCCATAAAAACACAGCATCATGAAGCTAAAACAGGCCCTGGAGAGCATTAAAGCAGTGGTTTTTAAACTGTGTGTCTCTGGGCCCTCTGGTTGGTTCCTAGGGGTTCCTCAAGGAGAGGGGGAAGGTAACAGAAGGGTAGTAGGCTGGCGAATGAACCTCTCTCCCCAAACCTCTCACTCCAGCTTTTACCAAAGCTGCTCCTTATTTCATTAGCTAAAAGGTTCCTGCCATATTTAAAAAGAAATCTATATGATTCAGCACACTCATGCTCTGTTCACAGCTTGCATTCTAAACCTCCATTGTTTCCCAATCCTACTTCTGTATGGTTTGGCCCTATCTCCTGTCCTTCCTGCCTCTCATGGACTCACTGTACCTGTTGCATGATACTGCTTCTTTGAATCATGCTCCCTCAACTGAAATCCCCTAACTATGATTATACTCAACCCTTAGGTAAAATTTATAATCCAGGTGGTCCCAGCTCAACCTTTGGGTCCCAACACTGGCACAGAAAGTCAACACTGCCTCTGAAAAGGAAATCAAGGAGGACCTGGGGAATCAATGCTAAAAAAGTTACAGTTGTTACTCATACCTGAGTTGTTGTGCTACCTGTGTCTGCTTTTCCACTAGAATGTAAATGTGTTGAGGGAGGAACGGAATCTTAGTAATAAAAGCTACTATTTACTGAATGTTTACTCTTAATACCGGACTAAGTATAAATGTGCATCATGTAATATTCAAGAATCATGTGAGTATCACAGAGCTTTAGAACTGCAATGAGCCTTGGACAGAGATCACCTAGCCCCAAAACTGAGAGAGACAGTAGATTAACAGTTATTCATTAATTCAAGAAGTATTTATTAAGCACCTGCATCCCCACACTGTTCTAGAAGCTACAGATTCAGTGCTAACAACACAAAGTTCTTCATTTTCAGAAAACATATATTCGAGTAGACAAACAACAAATAAATGGATATATGATCTGCTAGGGGAAGGGACAGAAAAAGGAGGCCACTTTACGCAGGGCATTCAAGGAAGGCCTCACGGAGGCAACATTTAACCAGAGACCTGAGGAACTGAGAGATCAAGCCATATGGAATCTAGGAGAAAAGTGTTCCAGGTAGAGGGATGCAAAGGTTCTAAGCGGGAAATGTGCCTGATGCATGTGAGAAAATGAAAGAGGCCAGAATAGCTGGAGTAGAGTGAGCAAAAGGAGGGGGAGAGGAGGTGAGGCCAGAGAGGGAGCAGGGCCAGATCATCTGGCTTTGGGCCACTCCAAGAACTCTGAATTTCAGCCAAAGATTCAAGATAATCAATTCCTAAAAATAAGTAAATAAAAAACGAAGTTTAGCTTCCACAAAAGAATGTATTATCAAGAACAAAATCTCATCTGCATGCCTAATCTGAAAATAGAGTTCCCAGCAATTCAGGATCATTATTACCTTATTTAGAATCAAAGTGTCCTTATTCTACAAGAAATCTCTGCAGTTATCTAATCGAAGCTTTCAGTTTTACTAATGTGGAAACTGAGGCCCAGAGAAATCACATGAGCAGCCCACTTACTGGCAGACCTGCGGCTAGAACATGGGTTCCTGCTTTCCTGTGCGGTGCTCTTCAGTAGCCCCTGCTGCCTCTGCACAGCAGTTCGGTGCTTACGGGTTTCTTGCTTACCTGTGTGGTAGCCCCCCCTGGCTCCTGTAACCTTTATAAGTCAGTAAGAGAATAGAAGAGCTGCCACTATGAGGCATCTCTAGGCCTATCCTCACCCCAGAACCTGTCATTATAAACTCCTGCATTTTCTAGTTTCTCATTCCCCACAGAGTTGAAGACAGCCAGGCAGGCAAGGTGAAGGCACATCAGGCACTGTCCCAGGCACTGTGAGGGATGTTTTTGTTGCTTTTGCTTGCCCAACATTCCTTACTCCCTATTCCCAGACAGGGCACTGCCTTTTCCATGATTCTGGTGGGGGCTACATAGCATCCAAGCCACCTATTAACCACAGATTGAGGTGGACATAGACCTGACCAATTAAAGAAACATTCCTCTGGCTATAATGACTACTGTAAGAGAGAGCAGAGGATCAAGCAGAACCAACTAGATTTCCTTCCTGGGCTTTATGGATAAGAGCTAGAGAAAGAAGCTCTATCCCTGAATTTTCCAGTTATATGAGCTAAGGTATTCCCACTTTGTTCAGGTTAATTTACATTAGGTTACTATTACTTGCAAACAAAAGAACTCGGACTCATGTAGGCACCTGCATACCTTTTCTTATTTCACCTAACAACTTTATAAGGTTGCTATTACTCACTCTATTTTAGCCATAAGGTAACTGAAATTAAGTGGCTTCCCCAAGTTCATATAACAGATAAGACACATTCAAATCCAAGTCTTTCTGCCCCAGGTTCCATTCAGTATGCAGTATTCAGAATTAACTCAAGAAGAAGAAACTCACTGCCATTCAGAAACCAAACAAATTCTGGTTTAAAAATTACAGGAGAATGTAGTGGGCAGAGGGAGAGCAGCATTAAACCAGGTCAAAGGACCTGGCTTCTACTTATGGCTCTGTGCTATGACCTCAACTGCTACGACTTTGGGCAAGTAATTTCATTTATTTGGGTGTTAGTTTTCTTATCTATTAACAAAATGAACACAAGGTCCTTTTGAGTGAAAAAAAAAAAAACCACAAACAAACAAACATGGGTCTGCTTTAAGCATACAGATTCTACTGTTACTATATGTCAAGTAGATTTCAACTTGAATGTCAAGCCTAATAACAGGTAACGGCTCCTGGGGTACAATGTTGCAAAGGATTCTGAGCTATAGGGATCCACTAAGAAATTAGCACTGGCTTCCATGATCACAAGGAAGAAAAGAAAGTAAAAGCTGCATACCTGCCACACATCTGCCATCACTGAAAGAGTTTCACCTTGGCAAAGAAATGTTACCATCTTTTACGAATGCAGACAGTACTTCTGCACCACCGCTGATTCATCAGTACCTGCTCAGGATTTTCACTCATTCCTCACGCACTTAACTAAATTAAGGAATGAAAGTGCAAGAAAACTAAGTGGTTTGGAAAATACAGCTTGGTGCCACTAAAGAAAATATGTCTAAATGGCCTACATGAGGAGGGGGGAGGTAGTTTGGGGGAACAATAATAATCAGTCTGTTTTTTTAAAATACATACATATAGACTATGTGAGTAGGGTAACTCAGAAGCTACCCTACTTAGCTTGTGAGTTAAGTAGGGTATTATCACGTCCACTTTATAGAAATGGAAAACGAGAGTCAGACTTGCCCAAGTTCACCCATTTCTAAGTAGCAGAAGCGAGATTTGAACCCAAGGCCCAGGTCTCTTTCCAATCCCATCATCCTCACTAGTCCCACACTTCAAATGAGTTAACTAATCAAATTCCCATTGCAGAGTGACATATTCATTATTATTTGGAGTTGTTCGAATAATATAAGTTCCTCCCCCAAATAATCTGAAAAGTCGTTACTCTCCATTTGTAATTTAATGGGTAGACATGCATTTGAGTATATATAAATTTAGTAAAATTGAGCATAAAAGTTAAATGTTTAAAAGAATGATGCAGAAGCAATCAGCCTGTTGTTGGAAGGTAGGGACTGCAATAAAATTGCAGTTTCAATGCAATTTTATTCAACTTAATATAACCTCTACAACAATTCAGTGAGATGGAAATCTGGCATCAGGCATATATTTGAGGAATGGAATGGAAGAATAGAAATTGAACCAGATAAAACGCATCCTAGAAGTAACAGCAAATGCTTCAAGGAAGGCACTTACCAAAAGGCATACTATAACTTATTACATTTCATTAAGTCTGACAACCAGGGCTAAACCTGAATTAGAATATGTGCTTCTGGTATTTACCAGACTTTTCTCTATAAGGAATCCAGGCCAAACAAAATAACAGCCAAACTTTTGACATCTAATTGTAGTAAAAGCACAGGACATCCATCACTAGCTCTTCTAGTTAAACTTCCCACAAGAGAAGATGGGGAGTGGGGAACGGTTGCAAGAACAGGAGATAATACACAAAGCAATGACAACATAAAATCAAAATTGCTTAAAAGAATGTATGTTTCCTCTACGTCAGGGGGACAGTGTCCCTGAACAACACAGCCCATGAACTCACTTAAGGTGATGTGACACCTACTCACATCAATACATAGCAGAACTGCAAGTTGCATTGTCATGCGGTCCAACCCTGTGACATATGCACAAAGCTTTTCTCAAACATCTCTGAAAAGCAGTCATCACTCTGTTTAATCACTTCCAGTGACAGGGAACTCAGCACCCTATGGGACTGTTACTGTCCCTGAGGCCCATTAACTCAAAACTCAAACACATTTTCACCACTCAGGGAGAGGTGGAAGTGATCACAGGGCTCTCCAAAGGGCTTGCCAACCCAACTGTGCCTCCTGTCTCTACCATTCCCAAATCCCCCCTTTCCCTGAGCAGGACTCAAAATTAGCACAGTGTTAATAAATCAGTGGTTTCAGAGTTAGAAGGGACCCTTAAAAAGCCAATACTGTGATATTCATACCACAGTTCTACAAAAGGAATCTCAAGAAGTGCTTGGGCCAAACTGGGAGGGAGAGTGTCCTGTTTCTCTTCCTCTTATTTCAACCTAGGAAGCTCCCACTTTAATTTGTTACATATAGAGGACCAAGGTAGTTTTTTAAAAGGAGGAGGAGAAAAAAAGGACCATTTACAGGTAAATAAACTGAGGTCTTAAAACTTGCTTAATGAAATCATATAGCTAATAGTTGCAGGGTTCAGACAACAACCTCGTCTCTTGGCTCCTTCTCTGGTGCTTTCTCTACCAGATAACATCTGACCATCTACAGGGCAAAATTCAAACTCTGCAATGATACACAAAGCCCTTTAAGATCTCCGCGTCCAATTTTTATGAGAGTCCCACATTCCAGTCTCACTCAAATGTTTATTGAACCAACTTATGTCAGACTGTTACCTACCTCCACAGCTTAGCGCATACTATTCTCTTAGCCTGAGATGTCCTTCTGCACTGGAACCAACTAATCCTCTTTCAAGATTTGTTTTAGGCATCATCGCCTCTATAAAGCCTTTTCTGGTCCTCAGGTAGAACTGACCACATTCTTTTTGTGCCCTACACAACACCTGCAAGGCTTTATGGCACTTGTTTTATGTCTATGTCCGTCTACTCCACCACTGCTTTTACATCATATTACTCTAACACGAGGCTGGTCAGAAGGTAGGTGCTTCATAGACGGTCATCAATAGGGCGAGTGTATTCATCTGGTCCAATCCCCTTTCTAATGTTTAAGTATCCTCTGCTAACTGTCATTAATGCATGCATGACTACATTCATTCAAAAATATCTGAGTGTCTATACAGTGCCAAGTGTATGCCAAGCAGAGAAGGATTTACTGTGAAATTAATGAGGCTTAAGCTTTAGGGTCCCTCTCTTCAATCTTCCAAAGCTCTGAATCTTTCTTGGTGATTTTTATTTCTTGAAGAGGGCAGACAGAACTATATAAGCTGTAGGCCCCACAAAACCTAGATACCTCCTTGGTGTCACGAACACAAAAGGGAACAAGACAAACAGCTCTCCCCTTATGGAGTTTTCTGTTTAATGGGAAAGACAGCCATTTGTTCATTCACTCATTCAACAAACATTTACTAAGCAATGCTATGAGTCATGCATTCTGAGATGAAAACAACACTGTCCCTGCCCTTAAGGAAAAGGTTCCTGTTCCCAGGGAGATGAAGGGACACCTGCTCTGATCAGGGAACAGAAAGTAGTTGAGGTGACTGTAACACTGTGTTTGCGAAAGATTACCCTAAACCCGTCTCAAGAGGAACTGAGTCCTACTTATTGCAGAGACAAAGGGAAGAAAGAGTTCGGCTGAATACAGTTTTTAATCTCAACTAGGGGTGGGAGGCAGACAAGTAAATAGAACAGGCAAATATGGTGTGGTCAGTGCTGCAACAGGAAGCGAAGGACTGTCAGGAGGTTTCCCCTGAGTGCAAGTCTGTAGTGACGGCGAACTCATGACCTCACAAAGCCGCCCATGCACTTTCCAGATAGAGATTTCTGAGGATCTCCTTTCTTGTCCCCCAATCCCTGTCGCCGCAGGAGAAATCTGTTCCCCAATATGCGTCCCCCTTCCTCAAAATAAGGCTGTTCCTTCCCCCAAAAAGCTGTAGGGTCTCTGAGGCCAACTCTTCTGTCCCCCTTAGAGCCACCCCCTTCACACAATGCTTACGGGACGGGGTCTGGTTTGGGGCCCGGGGTCCCTGTCGCAGGACTGCCCCCTCCTCAACCCGCCGTTTCCATAGCAACCAGCTCACCACTTCGCGGGCCCGGCTGGAGAAGTCGCCCTTGGGCCGGGGGCTCCGGCGGAACAGCTCGTCCCGGCTGCCATCGACCCCGCCGCCCACCGCCACTCCCAGCGCCTTGTTCCGCGTCTTCACGGTCTTGACGCTGGCCCGGAATAGCAGCGTGATGTCCACCGCCATAGCGACCCGCACCCTCAGCCCCACACTAGGCCCGCCCACGTAAGCAGCCGGCGACCGCGGCGCGAACCCGGCCGCTGAAGGACTGGTCCTGCCCCACACGCCTCCCCCCGGCAACGGCGACGCGAGAAGAAAGGTTCCGGCCTGCGCCCTGCTACCGCGGCGGGAGGAAAAAGGTTCCGGCCTCAGCCGGCGCACCTGGCGGAGGAGGAACCTCGCGACGCGCTCTCGGGCATCGGTTTCTCCCAGCAAAGCTTGGAGGGTTTAGCTGCGCGGAGAGCTCAGCGAGCTCTTCTGTGTCTGTTTGGGGCGTGTGGGCTCCGGGAGCGTGAGGACCGGGAAGCTAGGAGGCTCCTTCCCTTCTGGCGGCTCCCTCACTGAGACCGGGCGGTTTGGTTGCGGGGGAAGTGGAGACGAGCCACCCTTGACCTTTGACTGCAAGAACTCACCTTGAGCAGGATAGAGGCACGTGGACGGTGACCCTCGGGATGCAATAAATGCTGAGACAGATCAGGTGTGCAAGGCACAGAGCTAGAGGCCAGAGGCCTTTCTTCTCCAACCTTCAGTCACCTCTTTTTAAAGTGAAGCCAGCATCCTCCTCGGGGTTTACTGTGAAAATTAAGTGAGCTGACGCGTGCTGTGTTTTGATGTTGCTTGGCTCCTAGTAAGTGGCCAATAAATGGTAGTAATCGTTAATAATGTTATTATTATAATCACTGTTATTTGTGGTAAAGGAAGAGGCTTTAGAGAAAAGGCGTCACCTGTGCAGAGATTTGAAGGATGAATAGGAAGTTTAGATGGAGACAAAGGTGAAAGAGTGGCCCTAATGCCGCTGGATTCTCTTCATCCTTCATGCATAGTTTTTAATTGTACCGTCTTGAGCCATAGCTATTAAAATTGACAACTCAATCAATGAGTTTCTTCTGCATTTTAGGTTCATGTTCTGTTTTGTGTTGTTTTTTGAGACGGGGGTCTACTATGTTGCCCAGGCTGGATTGCAGTGGCTAGTCAGAGGCGCCATCCTAGCTCACTACAGCTGGAACGCCAGGGCTCAAACGATCCTCCCGGACTCAGCCTCCTGAGTAGCTGGGACTATAGGCACGTGCAACCGTGCCTGGCCTATGGTTCAGTTTTAATTCAAAATCTCATTGATTTCTTCAAGATTTCTTTTTTCATAAAGAGGAAGCACAAGTAGAATATGTATTAAAACAGCAGTTTTAATGGTCATCAAGATAAAATTTTCACAATACTAAGATGTTATTTGCCTTTTCGCTCTGATTTTCTTATGAGTTGCATACAGTTGAGTTTGCTGGAGACTGTGATATTGCAACGGAGTAAATGCAGAACAGCTGTTTTCTATTAAGCCAGACTCCAAAAAAAGACTTTCAAAAACATCAAGTTTTTGTTTTGATTTCTCATATAGTAAATGTCGATAATGTCAATATAAACCAAAATTGTTTAGAGCCCTTAATAATTTTTAAGTGTGCAAAAGAGTTGAGACCAAAAGTTTGAGAACCACTGTGTTAAAAAAATAAAGTTTATCAGAAATAGATGTCAAGAAAGTATATATTTACCAGAAAGGAGGAAGGAAAAGATTTTTTTTTTCTTTGAGGCGGAGTCTTGCTCTGTCGCCCAGGCTGGAGCAAGCTCCGCCTCCCGGGTTCACGCCATTCTCCTGCCTCAGTCTCCCGAGTAGCTGGGACTACAGGCGCCCACCGCCACGCCTGGCTAATTCTTTTGTATTTTTAGTAGAGATGGGGTTTCACCGTGTTAGCCAGGATGGTCTCGATCTCCTGACCTCGTGATCCGCCTGCCTCAGCCTCCCAAAATGCTGGGATTACAGGCGTGAGCCACCGCGCCCGGCCAGGAAAAGATTATTTAAACCCAAACTGTAGCCACTTCTTGCAGTTTAAGGAAAATAAATTTCCATACAGCTTTCTTCCACCTACTGAGGAAAAGAGAAAGAAATTACAAAATCTCTGCCAATGATTCTATCTTGCATAAATGGCCCTTTGTTTAATCCAGACATTAATCAGTTTTTGGCCATGCAAAGTTAAGCCTGGGGTAGAGTAGAAGGAAAGAGAGATTGCCCTGCATAATAAAGTGAGGGGGATTGAATTGGGGGGAAGAAAAGAGAAGCCAGAACCCAGGGAGGGGGCCGGGAAAGTACAAAGTAGGTAACTGGGAAGGATCTTTGAGTGGGAGGGAGGCTGAACTACACCAAGCCTTCAGTGAGTGGTGCCTTGTGTAAACCGTGTGTTTGGTGCAGTTGGATATTTTGGGTAGAAGGGTAGGGACAAAGATCTAAGTTTTCTGTCTGGATTTGCAAGAGCAGAGAAGATTGTGGTGGATATAAGACCCAAGTGAGCTCAAAACATCAGGCTGTAAATCCACAAGTGACCACAAGTACATAAAATTCCTAAATAAGTCACAAAGATCTTGAGGAGGCTGCTGAACTTTCCACAGACCATGGGATATGGGGTTGTGCTTTTTACATTTTGTGTTTACTCTTTAATTTAAAAGAGCAAAGTGACTTCAGTTGACAGTTGACTAATATTAAGCCCCATAAAGCTGAGAGGGGATGTGGGTTAAAAGGATGTGCAGAAATGTTGTGAGAGTATACTACTGCAACTCCAGGGCTCAAACAATCCTCCCGGCTCAGCCTCCTGAGTATCTGGGACTATAGGCGCGTGCCACCATGCCTGGCCTGTTGGAGGTAGCACACAACTGCCCAGTTGGATGTAGTATACAAATTTTGTTTTCTTTATGCATTCAGCAAACATTGAGTGGGCCAGACACTGTTCTGAAAAATACGCAGTCGACTTTTGAACAGCACAGGCTTGAACTGCATGCGGCCACTAATACTCGGACTTCCTTCTGCCTCTGCCATCCCTAAGACAGCAAGACCCACCCCTCCTGCTCCTCAGCCTACTCGATGTGATGATGGTGAGTATGAAGACCTTTACTTTATGATGATCCACTTCCATTTAATGGATAGTAAATATATTTTCTCTTCCTATGATTTTCTTAATACCATTTTCTTTTCTCTAGCTTACTTTATTGAAAGAATACAGTATCTAATACATATGACATGCAAAATATGTGTTAACGGACTGTTTATGTTATTGATAAGGATTCTGGTCAACAGTAGGCTATTATTAGTTAAGATGTTAGGGAGTCAGAAGTTATACACAAATTTCCAACTGTGAGGGGTGGAGGAGTCATCAAGGATCAACTGTATTGGCACCCCTAAATATAGCTCACTACAGCAGCAACACCTATGCAAGGAGACTAGATGTAGGCTGCCAGTGAAAACCAACGTGTAATTTCTGGGCAGCAAATTTAAGAGCTAATGTATGATTCACGATGCTCTTTTCCCTCTGCTATGACAACCCTTAATGTTCCAATGTTCCATCAGCCTGAGTCCTTAAGTAAAGATGACATGGAGCATAGCCAACCAAGGACATTGTATTAGTCAGAGTTCTCTAGAGGGACAGAACTAATAGGATAGGTGTATATATAAAGGGGAGCTTATTAAGGAGTATTGACTCACATGATCACAAGGTGAGGTCCCACAATAGGCCATCTGCAAGCTGAGGAGCAAGGAGAGACAGTCCAAGTCCCAAAGCTGAAGAACTTGGAGTCTGATGTTCCAGGGCAGGAAGCATCCAGCACGGGAGAAAGATGTAGGCCAGAAGACTAAGCCAGTCTAGTCTTTCCATGTTCTTCTGCCTGCTTTTCTTCTGGCCATGCTGGCAGCTGATTAGATTGTACCCACCTAGATTGAGAGTGGGTCTGCCTTTCCCAGTTCACTGACTCAAACGTTAATCTCCTTTGGCAACACCCTCACAGACACACCCAGGAACAATACTTTGCATCCTTCAGTCAAGTTGACACTCAATATTAACCATCACAGACATGTACTAAGATTGAGAATTGTCCACAGATTTGTGGGTGTTTGTTAACTGCAGCATAATTAGCCTGTCCTGATTGATGACAACCCATATCTAGGTATCTACCAAAACAGGAATATTAGATGTATTCTCCACTCACCATCGTAACAGTATTATTCCTCAGTGAATGAAGCATGGAGAGGAAAGAACAGTTGTGCCTAAACCTAACCAATGGAAAAGACCAGGCTGGCAGGGACAGAGTGGCAGAAACCTTGGAAGACTGTGACCATGGCAGGGTAGAATTTATAACACAAGAGGAAAGGCCTTCAAAAACATATACCTTCACGTTAGGAGGTAAACTCAATGAAATTCATTGAAAACCATTTTTCCCCCCTCAGGGACTCTGGAAAGGACCCTGACTCTAGGGGTGGGAAGCTCAAAGAAGAAGCTTTTGTTCCCAAGAGGGAACCTAGATAAAGAATTCAGGGTGGATTTCTCTTGTTTTTTTTTTTCTTTTTTTTTTCTTTCTTTCTTTTTTTTTATTTTTTTATTTTTGAGATGGAGTTTTGCTCTTGTTGCCCAGGCTAGAGTGCAATGGCGTGATCTCAGCTCACTGCAACCTCCACCTTCTGGGTTCAAGCAATTCTCCTTCTTCAGCCTCCCAAGTAGCTAGGATTACAGACGTCCTCCACCATGCCCAGCTAATTTTTTGGGGGGTGTGTATTTTTAGTAGAGATGGGGTTTCACCGTGTTGGCCAGGCTGGCCTCGAACTCCTGACCTCAGGTGATCCACCCACCTCGGCCTCCCAAAGTGCTGGAATTACAGGCATGAGCCACTGAACTCGGCCCAAGGTGGGTTTCTTCCGGCAGCTCCCCCAGAAGTTTAGCTTTGAAACAGATGTGCAAAAAAAAGCGAGGGAAAGGCAGGAAGCAAACAGGAGGTTGTTGTGGTCCAGCCCTTTGAGGTGTGGCCTTTGTCCCCCCACCGCCCATTGAAGTAATATGGTTTGGCTGTGACTCCACCCAAATCTCATCTCAAATTGTGATCAGAATTGTATCCCCATGTGTCAGGAGAGGGACCTGGTGGGAGGTGATTGGATCATGGGGGCAGTTTCCTCCATGCTGTTCTCATGATAGTGAGTGAGTTCTCATGAAATTTGATGGTTTCATAAGGGGCTCTTCCCCCTTCACTCTCTCTTTCCTGCTGCTGTGTGAAGAAGGTTCCTGCTTCCCCTTTGCCTTCTGCCATGATTATAAGTTTCCTGAGGCCTCCTCAGCCATGCAGAACTGTGAGTCAATTAAGCCTCTTTCCTTTATAAATTACCCAGTCTCGGGTAGTATTTTTATAGCAGTGTGAAAATGGACTCATACACAGAGAGTACCTAAAGGAGGGGCTGCCACCACCTCATTCCTACCTGATTCTTGTTCTAGATCCTGAGCCCGTTGCTCTAGCCTACTGGCTTGTTTCATCCTACTTTGTGTCTCCTCCCACCCTGTAATGAGCCAAATGTTGGCCCCCCAAAAGATATGTCCACATCCTGATCCCTAGAACCCATGAATCTGACCTTACTAGGAAAAGAAGTCTTTCCAGATAGAGTTAAATTAAAGACCTTGAAATGAAGAAATGATTTTGGATTATCCTGGTGACCCCTAAATCCAATAGCAAATATCTTTAAAAGAGGCACACAGAATGGAAGGCCATGTGAAGACAGAGGCAGATACTGGAGAGATACAGCCACAGGCCCATGAATGCTGATGGCCACCAGAAACCAGAGGAAGCAAGGAAGTATTCTCCCCTAGAGTCTCTGAAGGGAGCGTGGCCCTGCCAGCATCTTGATTTTGGACTTTTGTCCTCCAGGACTGTAAGAAACAAATTTCTGTTAAATCACAAAGCTTGTGGTCATTTGTTACTGCAACCATAGGAAATTAACGTGTACCCTAACTCTTTTCCCTGCCCATCCTTCCTCCATTACCTATCCTCTACTTCCTGGGTGTGGCCCTCAGCCCCTGTTTGGGTTCTCAGCTCTGCAGGTAAGCCGCCTTCAGCTTCACTGGGTCTGTACCTTTCTTGTGGTTGATAAGTCCTGCGGCTGCCTAGCCTGGTGCTCTTCTTTCCTTCCCCATCTCTTCTTTGATCTCCCCTTGGAGAGTCACAACTGACCAGGCCCCCTGTCCCACAAGGAAAACTAGAGGCCAGAATGAACTGGATCTAGCCAAAAAGCACACCAAAGTGGGCTCTTTTCATCAAATGTGCAGCAGAAAGGGTGTCCATGCAACAGATATTTCACTCTCCCTGTGTGACTCAGAGAAGGCAGACATACTCAACTCTTGTTTCCAACTTCTCTATTTAGGAGCTATTCGAATGCAAAAGATAGGAGAGAGCTTGTGTGACAGTTCTGGCAGTGGCTGTGGCATCTGGAGTGTCTGCACCCAAAGAGTTGCCCTTCTCAGTCTAGAAAGACCATTCTGCCAGACGCGGTGGCTCACGCCTGTAATCCCAGCACTTTGGGAGGCCAAGGCGGGTGGATCACCAGAGGTCAGGCATTCAAGACCAGTCTGGCCAACATCGCGAGATCCCGTCTCTACTAAAAATACAAAAATTAGCGGGCAGGCATGGTGATGCACGCCTGTAGTCCCAGCTACTCAGGAGGCTGAGCCATGTCACTTGAACCTGGGAAGCAGAGGTTGCAGTTGAGCCGAGATCATGCTACTGCACTCCATCCTGGGTGACACGCAAGACTCTGTCTCAAAAATGAATAAAAGAAAGCCCATTCTATTATGAGCAGTTCAAGTAAGTGCAGAGAGAGGAAGGGGACAGTTGCCCACATAGCCAAGTCAGTCCCAGGGATAGTGAACAATAAGTTGCCTCCAGAACTTCAAGATTAGGAGCCACTGGATAATGAGAGTCAGCACAGGGACAAAACAGATGTCAAGGATTCTTCTTTTGTCATCCTGAGTCCATGTGACTAAATTTCAAGAGGGCAGGTTAGAAAAAGCAAAGTTGATGGGGCATTACCTGTGGTTTGAACTTCTACCTGTCATATTTCAGGAAATCACCATGAGGAGCTTGACTTAGGAAATTAAGGAAGACGTGTCCTTTTGTTGATTTTCACATGGGAAGACAAGGGTGTGTGTGTGTGTGTGTGTGTGTGTGTGTGTGTGTGTGGTGAGACACAAGGGTTGAAAACTAACTGGTTCTCAGTTTGTGGTGTTTCCTGCCATCAGCAATGGCCTTGGGGATGACTCCCACTCCTCCCTTCTAGCCCCCAAGAAGACTACAATTGTCTCTTGCTCCAAGTTAGTCTTCAGGAATACAAAGCCCAGCAAGTGCAGGGGGGCTCAGTGTGATGTGCACACAGTGTGGCACAGCCCAAGAGTCCGGCTTTGGAGGCAGTGATCTCTCAGAACTAAGACCACCCTGAATTAAGACCACCCTGTCAGCATCCCCTTACTCTGACCATGCAGCATGGTCTTTGGGCTCCACAAATATCCTTGAAGCCAAGAGTCACAATTTGGGTGGGAATCGCAAGCCCAGCCAGCAGGCAAAGATGGAGGCCAGAGGGCAGCTGAGCATCCATTGTCACTGGTGTCCACTCCCAGAGCTACTTGGAGGTGGGCACTAGCGAACAAAAGCCCTCAGAAGAGAGAAGGGGACACCACTGCCCTGGTAGCCCCCATCCTGTCTTTGGCCTGTAGGCCTCTGCACACTGTAAGCCTAGACCAGCCTCAACTATATCACACATTGACTTTTTTCCTCTCTGGACAATGGTAGCCTGGAGTATTGTAATACCCATGGAATTTTTATAGGGTACCTAAGGGATATTTATCAGATCTCTGAGTTCTTTCCAGAAGTCCAGGAAGTAGTTAACAGAGGATGACTAATAGGAAACAAAAACACAACACCACTACAACCTGAGATTCAGAAATGGAAAGACTTGGGTTTGAATTCAGCTACCCTACTCACTAGCTGTGTGACTCTGGGCAAGTTACTTCACCTCTCTGAGCCTCTGTCTGAAAAATGCAGACAAACCCTATTAACCGCTCCTGATTTCTGTGAGTAGGGATTTCTTTTTCACACCTCTCCAATGGAAGCAGCCTTAGTCATCTGGTTTTGGGGCAACATCGGCCAGTCTGCATTTTTCAGTTGGTTGAAGCGATCTACCAGTTGGGGACGTTTGCTCTTTTGCCTTCACCCTTTAACCTGAGCCAGTGGGACGCAGTGACCTGGCTGAGGACTGTGTTCTGCAGACTCATACATTACCTCAGAGGGAAGCTAAAAACCAGAACGCTGCCAGAACTGTCTCTTTCTTCCTCTCTCTTCCTCATCGTCATTATCATCTCCTCAAGTCAGTTTTCTCTGCTTCTCTGTTCCTACGGCTGAACACCAGCCCCACTCAAATCCTACATTTATTAATATATGAGATACCCGTTGATATGGTTTGGCTGTGTCCTCATTCAGATCTCAACTTCAATTGTATCTCCCAGAATTCCCACATGTTGTGGGATGGACCTAGGAGGAGGTAATTGAATCATAGGGGCTGGTCTTTCCTGTGCTATTCTCATGATAGTGAATAAGTCTCATGAGATCTAATGGGTTTATCAGGGGTTTCCACTTTTGCTTCTTCCTCATTTTCTCTTGCTGCTGCCATGTAAGAAGTCCTTTTCACCTCCCGCCATGATTCTGAGGCCTCCCCAGCCATGTGGAACTGTAAGTCCAATTAAACCTCTTTTTCTTCCCAGTCTTGGGTATGTCTTTATCAACAGCATGAAAACAGACTAATACAGTAAATTGGGATCAGTAGAGTGGGGCATTGCTGAAAAGATACCCGAAAATTTGGAAGTGACTTTGGAACTGGGTAACAGGCAGAGATTGGAACAGTTTGAAGGGCTCAGAAGAAGACAGGAAAATTTGGGTAAGTTTGGAACTCCCTAGAGATTTGTTGAATGGCTTTGCCCAAAATGCTGATAGTGATATGGACAATAAAATCCAGGCTGAGGTGGCCTCAGATGGAGATGAGAAACTCATTGGGAATTTAAGCAAAGTTGATTCTTGCTATGTCTTAGCAAAGAGACTGGTGGTATTTTGTCACTGCCCTGAAGATTTGTGGAACTTTGGACTTGAGAGAGATGATTTAGGTATCTGGTGGAAGAAATTTCTAAGCAGCAAAGCATTCAAGATGTGACTTGGGTGCTGTTAAAGGCATTCAGTTTTATAAGGGAAGCAGAGCATAAAACTTTAGAAAATTTGCAGCCTGACTATGCAATAGAAAAGAAAACCCATTTTCTGGGGAGAAATTCAAGCTGGCTGCAGAAATTTGCATAAGTAGTGAGAAGCCTAATGTTAATCCCCAAGACCATGGGGAAAATGTCTCCAGGCCATGTCAGAGACCTTCATGGCAGCCCCTCCCATCACAGGCCTAGAGGCCCAAGAGGAAAAAGTGGTTTTGTGGGCTGGACCCAGGATCCCCATGCTTTGTGCAGCTTAAGGGCTTGGTAGCCTGCACCCCAGCCTCTCCAGCCATGGCTGAAAGGGACCAACATATAGCTCAGGCTGTGGCTTCAGAGGGTCAAAGCCCCAAGCCTTGGCAGCTTCCACGTGGTGTTGAGCCTGCGGGTGCACAGAAGTCAAGAACTGAGGTTTGGGAACCTCCACCTAGATTTCAGAAGATGTATGGAAATTTCTGAATGCCCAGGCAAAAGTTTTCTGCAGGATGGCAGCCCTCATGGAGAACCTCTGCTATGGCAGTGCAGAAGGGAAATGTGGAGTTGGCGTCCCCACACAGAGTCCCTATTGGGGCACTGCCTAGTGGAGCTGTGAGAATAGGGCCACTGTTCTCCAGCTCCCAGAATGATTGATCCACCAACAGCTTGCACCAGGCACCTGGAAAAGCCACAGACACTCAATGCCAGCGAAGAGAAAGCAGCTGCAAAGCCACAGGGGCAGAGCTGCCTAAGACTGTGGGAACCCACCTCTTGCATTGGTGTGACCTGGATGTGAGACCTGGAGTCAAAGGACATCATTTTAGAGCTTTAAAATTTGACTGTCCGCTGGATTTCCGATTTGTATGGGCCCTGTAACCCCTTTGTTTTGGCCAATTTCTCCCATTTGGAATGGCTGTATTTACCAAATACTTGTATCCCCATTGTATTCAGGAAGTAACTAGCTTGTTTTTGATTTTACAGGCTCATAGGTGGAAGGGACTTGCCTTGTCTTAGATGAGACTTTGGACTGTGGACTTTTGTGTTAATGCTGAAATGAGTTAAGGCTTTGAGGAACTGTTGGGAAGGCATGATTGGTTTTGAAATGTGAGAACATGAGATTTGGAGGGGCCAGGGACAGAATGATGTGGTTTGGCTATGTCCCCATTCAAATCTCAACTTGTATCTCCCAAAATTCCCACGTGTTGTGTGAGGGACCTAAGAGGACGTGATTGAATCATGGAGCCGGTCTTTCCCATGCTATTCTCATGATAGTGAATAAGTCTCACGAGATCTGATGGGTTTATCAGGGGTTTCCACTTTTGCTTCTTCCTCATTTTCTCTTGCTGCCACCATGTAAGAAGTGCCTTTTGCCTCCCGCCATGATTCTGAGGCCTCCCCAACCATGTGGAACTGTAAGTCCAATTAAACCTCTTTCTCTTCCTAGTCTCGGGTATTTCTTTATCAGCAGCATGAAAATGCACTAATACACCCCCAGTCACAGAAAGGGTCTAACTTGATGTATCAGTCCCAAGTCCCAAGCTGGCCCAGTTTCAGACAGACCTTCCCCTGGTCCAGTCAGCTAGGCTTTAGCATCTGAGTCATATGGGACCAACGTGACTGTCAGGATACATACACTCTCTGGCTGGGGATTTGTGGGGAGGGGATATGTTAATATTCTATTGCTGCTATAACAAATGATCACATTTTGGCTTAACCAATTTGAATTTGTTATCCTACAGTTATAGAGGTCAACAGTCTAATGTGGGTTTCACTGGGCTAAAATCAAGGAGCTGGCACGGCTGTGTTCCATTCTGGAGACTCTGGGGGAGAATCCATTTATTTGCCTTCCCCAGCTCCTAGATGCTGCCCACGTTCTTTGGTTCACGGCCCCACCCTCTTTCTCTGAAGCCAGGTATGATGGGTGGAGATCTTCTCACATCGCATCACTCTGACACTGACTGTCCTGCCTCCCTCTTCCACATTTAAGGACCCCTGTCATGACATTGGGCCCACCCAGATAGTCCAAGATAAGCCCCCTATCTGAAGGCTAGCTGATCAACATCACAAATTCCATCTGCAACCTCAGTGCCCCTTGCCAAGTGACATACATATTCACACATTCAGCAATTAGGACTTGGACATTTTTGGGGGGCTGTTATTCAGTCTACCACAATGAGGTAGCTCCAGTAAAAAGATGGGGTGATTATGAGCTGGGCAGACACCCCTTTTGTGTCTTCCTGGAAGACAGAGAGATCCACCTACTCTTTTCCATTTCTCAAACAATGTTTGTAGGCCTGCTCTGGTAATACTCCAGGGGTCTACAGAAATTAAGAAAACAGAACCTTTTCCCTTTGAGGATTTAACCTAGTAGGAGACACACCAATATCCAAACACAAAGCAATGTTCTTCTGAAATCTTCTAGTCCTTTCTACCTCTTTTAAGGTACTTATCCCACTCTGCTCACCCCATTTTAGAGGCGTCAACTCACAACAATGTGATCAACAGTCACCAAAGTTCAAGTCCTCTCTCTCCCCTCCTTCTCCTGGCCTCCAGGTTGAGAAGTTTGGTGCAACTTCTTCCCAGGGCTGACTTCGTCCACCCCAGGAGTTTCATAGAGCACCTCATAAAAACCCATTTACTGGTTTCCCCAACATAATGGCAGAAATAAACTACTTGATACACACTTGGAAATCCCTTCCAGAGAACATGTGCATTGTTTTGTTGGCATGGCATCTTGGTTTCTAACTTGAATTTCCACCGCCTTTGCTTTTTTGACAGTATCTTCCATGATTAAGATGGCCGAATCCTCCACTTTTTATTGAGTTGGACAGCAAATCACAGAATAAATGCTTTCCCTTGCACTTTAAAAGGATTTAATAGGAAAATATTTTTCCTACATCCTGTTTCAAGGGGAAAATGTGATTTTAAGGGGCATTTTATAGTTCACAACAGGATATTGAAGGGCATTTGGTTTTGCTTAGTTTATTATGACTGTGTTTCTCCAGCATGAAGTAGTGTTTTTTGTGATTATTTAGATAAGTGTGATTATGGTAGATAGGCAGCTATCGAATTATGGAAATTTAGGACTGGAAAGGGCCTTAAATATCATCCAGGCCAAACTTCCTCATTTTTCAGATGAGAAAACAAATGACTTGTCCAAGTTCACATGTTGAGTTGCAGGGGAAAATGAGATTAGAATCTTTATCTTCCAACTGTTTAATGTCCCCCAAACAGTTTTGTGATGAGAGTAGGAGTAAGGAGAGTAGCATTTATTCAAGGAGATCCCTATGTATCTGTAAGCAGTTCTGAATATGAGAATTGGAGTAACTGATATGTGTGGATTTGTGTGTATTTCATTCATTCATTCATCCATTAAGCTAGCCAGTCAGTGAGTCATATTCTAAACATATTCCCAGTGTCTACTCAGTAGGTGGCACGTGCTAGGTGCTGAAAATATAAAAACAAAGCTGAAGTCCCCGCCTTGGAGCAAGTCAAGGAGTAATGGACAGACAAGTGTGTACAGACATAATTATAATTAAACATAAATGTGATAATGGAGTTTGTTGTTTTTTCATGGCAGCTTCAAACCATGAAATTAAAAAGCTACTCTGCAGGGACAGGAAATGATCAGCACTCCAGAAATAGAGTTGGAGAGATGCTTTCCTTATGGTCCATTTCTGGCCATTTCATTATCTCTGTCTTGATGGGACTCTATGGAGCAGGAACCACCTCTTAGCCTGGCATTGTGGCAAGAGCCTCAGTTCTCTGTCAGACAAGCTTGGGTTCAAATCCCAGTCACTTATTAATAATGAGTTCTTTCAAGGTTATTTCCTCATCTATGAATAAAAGATAAAAACGCATCCATCAGGTTGTTGTACATGTATATTAGTCTGTTCTCATGCTGCTGATAAAGATATACCCAAGGCTGTGTAATGTATAAAGGAAAAAAAAAGAGCTTTAATGGACTCACAGTTCCACGTGGCTGGGAAGGCCTCACAATCATGGCAGGAGGTGAAAGGCACATCTTACATGGTGACAGACAAGGAGAGAATGAGAGCTAAGCGAAAGGGGTTTCCACTTATAAAACCATCAGATCTCATGAGACTAATTCACTACCATGAGAACAGTATGGGGGAAACCGCCCCCATGATTCAACTATCTCCCACCAGTCCCTCCCACAACTCGTGGGAATTATGGGAGCTGCAATTCAAGATGAGATTTGGGTGGGGACACAGCCAAACCATGTCAATGTGTTAAATGAGATGATCCATATAAAGTGTGTAGCACAGCATCTGGTGTAGTTAGTCATAAAAAAACCCAGCCATCATGGCAATGGGGATGTTGAGGATGAAACCAGACAGAAGAAACTTCAGACTGGCAATGCCAAGGTAGCTGGAGGTGGTGAGAAGTCTTCTTTAGATTTTGGAAGGAAGCTTGGTTCCTTTCAGTCCTCTATATCACCCAACGAATGTGTGTTGTTCAAGAGCGAAGACTGAGACGGTACCTTGGACAAGTGTTTGGAATTAAAGGAAGCACTTAGAAAGTAATTGGCCACATGGTTTGGGTAAATCTCAGAGAATGTTTCTAGGATTTGGAATATTTATTCTGGAGAAGAGAAGATTTAGGGGTTGGATGAAATGAAAGTCCTCAAGCACATGAACCAGTGGTGGAGAGCAGCTGTTCCCTATTTCTGTTTTGGACTGAATGAGAGGAAACGAGCTTACATTGAAGCATGAGGGATTTAGGCTAAACATGAAGAAGAATTTCCTGGATGTGGGTGTTGTTGGACTTTGGAATGAGTTACCAAGGTGTCTACAATAAGGACAGTGTCTCTCTGGCTGCAGATCTTGAAGTGTGGAAGCATTGGCTCCATGCAGGAATGTCTACACTCACACGCTCTTTCCAAGTGGGAGAGTCTGTGACATTAACGGGATCTTCTAACGTGAGGATATGAGTCTCAGTCAACCCCAAACCACTGTCCAAAACCTTGATCTAGCATAAGAAATGGTTGTGGTAGGAGCTGGATGACTATCTCTGGCAATCTGCAGTTTGACATTCCACAAATACCATGATTGCTTATGTAGGCTACTCCAGCGACCAAACACCTCCCCTCTTTGAAATGTATTAAGAAATTCTCTGCAGGGCTTCTTTCACCAAAAGTGCATTTAATAGAGCTTGGAATTTCCTCACAATGCATTTATTTTTGTTGATATATTTTTAGGTCTCCATTATTACTTGTCTGCACCTTCCTTTGCTTTGTAGGCATAAGCTATCAATAACCGGGCATTGACCACACTGTGGGGGTTCTCCCCTTCCCTCCCATGGAAGCTAAGTCTTTAGCTGTTAATTTCAGAAGGTTTTAAGCCAACCACTAGTTTTCATTATTGTACATCAAAAAGGCAGGCAAATCGCAGCAGCTGTAAGTTCAAAGGACACAAAGGTCTCACTGTGAGCATCACAGCAAATAGTTTTGGGTTCCCCTCACCCCAAAAGTAGCCCATGGTGGGTTAAGTTTTTATTTTTAAATAGATTTAGAGTTGAATAACTAGCCCTTGTAAGGGACTTCAACAAAGAGGCTGTATATTGGCACATATTAAATATGCCCCTATACACCCCAAATTGTTTTGTCCAAAATGTCTCGTTTATTATAATTTCATTGATAAAGCCCTTGATTGTAGCCCAGGGACTTTCACATATTGGCTGCCTCCTGTTGGACCCACAGGCCTCTATTGGTGATTCCAAATCAGCCGTGCATGGCCCTTGATCCCCTCCTGTAGAGGGACTGGGTGATGGTATCTATAAACCAACAGAATAGCTCTTTTCCAGTAAATCCCCCACAGAGTCCAGAAAAATATGCAAGCAGTCCTTTTACTTCAAGTTTCTACCCACACAGGGTCAACAGAGGGAGGAGAGGCAGAGGCAGCTGCCCTAGAAGCAGCCATCGTCCCAGTCCCATAGCCAGTGTGAAATCTTAGCCCTCTTTTCCTTACACATGGCCGTGGCCGCTCTTCTAGTCAGCACCGAAATCTCCTCCCTGAAGAGCTTCTTTCTCTTCCTCCCTTCTTCCTTCCTCCATTTCTTGGTCCACTGAAGTCCCTGGAGATCCCCTGGGTCCTGTCCTCTTTGAGTTGTCATTGTCTTTGCTTCTGTTGCTCATGCCAGGGCTACAGGAAATTTGCTGCGTCCCCCTAGGTACTGTTGTCAGAGTGGACTCTGGGTCAAAGAGTCAGACCTTTCATTGGTGTGCTTCAAGTCTAAGCTTTGCAAGCTCTTTCTCTATGTTACGTCTGCCTCCTTCCTCTTTAGTTTGTCTTTTATTTGTCCTAGCCTTGAGGAGTGAAGGTTCCAGGAAATTGAGGATGGGAATATAGTGGAAAATCCATTCCCCACAGGAAAATATTCTGAAATTTCTGGCTTGGGTGACAGGCTGTCATTGATAGAGCTAGATAACGATGAAGGTGATGATAATGATAGCCAATCCTATGTAGCACTCATTAAGTACCAAGCACTATTAAGTGCTTGAGGGAGAATAAATCATACAATCCTATGTGGCTCGTATTCTTGTCATATGCATTTTGTTGATATAAAAAAAAAATCAAGGCACAGAATGATTAAGACACATACCTGAGGTCATACAGCTAGTAAGTTGCAGAGCAAGAATGGAACCCAAGGCCGGGCGCGGTGGCTCATGCCTGTAATCCCAGCACTTTGGGAGGCTGAGGCTCGTGGAGCACAAGGTCAGGAGTTCGAGACCAGCCTGGCCAACATAGTGAAACCCCGTCTCTACTAAAAACACAAAAAGTAAAATTAGCCGGGCATGGTGGCACACGCCTGTAGTCCCAGATACTCAGGAGCCTGAGGCAGGAGAATCACTTGAACCTGGGAGGCGGACATTGCAGTGAGCCGAGATCGCGCCACTGCAGTCCAGCTTAGGCATCAGAGCAAGACTTTGTCTCAAAAAAGAAAAAAAATGGAACCCAAAATGCTGGGCATGGTGGCTCACACCTGTAATCTCAGCACTTTGGGAGGCTGAGGCGGGTGGATTGCTTTAGGGCAGGAGTTCAAGACCAGCCTGACCAACATGGTGAAACCCCATCTCTACTAATAATACAAAAATTAGCTGGGCATGGTGGCAGGCACCTGTAATCTCAGCTACTTGGGAGGTTGAGGCAGGAGAATTACTTGAACCCGGGAGATGGAGGTTGCAGTGAGCCGAGATCGCGCCATTGCACTCCAGCCTGGGTGGCAGAGCAAGACTGTCTCAAAACAAAACAACAACAACAACAACAACAAAGAATGGAACCCAGGCAACTCATCCCCAAAGTCTCAGGAAGTCATCAGGCCACAAGTGTGTGTGGACCAGTCAGGTGGAAAAGTAGAGCGGCAGGGGCAGGGACTCTGGCTTTGAGGCCAAGTGTGACCTGGAGAAGGAGCTTAGGGAGCCGTCTCACCCTTTGGGCTCCTGGCCCCACTGGGCTGCTCCTGCAGCTCTGCCTTGCTGGCTGAATCAACATCTTTTCTCCATTTCAGTTTCATTCCCTCTTGCCCACACATCTTACTTATTAAAGCCACCCGATCCCACCCCAGGCATCTCCAGGCTTAGTTTGTACTTCCTGCCCTCAAAGTTACTCCTGGTGCCAGGATCTCCGCCTCACCATTCTTCTCCTGCCTGCCCATCCTCAAGGATGGCAGGACATGCAGCATCCCTAGGAGGAATTTGGCCGAGACTAGAAAAGCAGGGACGATGCCGCCTCCTAGGGAAGGAGCATTTTTCACAAGGCGGTTTTTTCCCTCCATCCTGCTCTGCCCCATCTCTGCTCCAGCTCCTAGAGCAGGAAAATGCAACAGCCTCATTTAGAGAATATAATTTACATAAAATAGTTTCCAAATTTATTAAGGAAGCAGACAACAAAAGGAAACCCACAATTAAAGAGGCTTTGCACGCATTCGATATCTTTCCACTGGCTGAAGTATATCATCTTCCTGAATTAACGAGGTCTGGGCAAAAACTGTAGCACAAAAGTATGCTTTGCTTTCAAGACTTCAGGGCCTTTATCATCCTGGGTGGGGCAGGCAGCAGGGGTGGAATTGGCAGGGAAGAGTTAGAGGCCAATCTGTCTTTTTAAGGATGTGTTGCCGGACTGAAATGGACAGGCTGGTACTGTAGGTACAGCTTTTTCTCTGTAAAGAGGGGAAGTGCTTTATATTTGGGGACACCCCAGTTTGTTCATTCAGCAAATCTTTTTAAAGAAATTTTTTTAGAGACAGGGTCTCACACTCTGTCACCCAGGCTGGAGTGCAGTGGTATGATCATAGCTCACTGTAACCTTGAACTCCTGGGCTCAAGTGATCCCCTTACCTCTGCCTCCCAAAACACCAGGAATACAGGCAGGGGAAGGAGCGTGTGTTTGTATGTAACTAAGTATCCATCCATTGATTTTACTGTCATGTCTTTATCATTTACCTAACCCTTTATCCAGCCATCCACTTAACACATACTTTTTTGTTCTCAAAGTCATTCGAAGCAAGTTGCCAGAGATCTGGACCCAAGAGCAGCTGGGAAGGGAAGGGGTTGGGCAGGTTACCGGAGATGCCCAGGATGAGCTTCACTGAAGCCACATGCCACTGTCCCCTTAGTAGCTTGTGATACAGAGAGAGCCTGGCTTTGGAGTCAGGCAGCACTGGGTTTGAATTCTGACTCATTTTGTTACCACCATCGACTAATTCCTTTATCTTATTTCTTGTTTATCTTAAGAATGGAATCACAACCACAAGGGTGTTGGTGGATTAACTAGTAATGTTAGTAATGTGCTTATGATATAATATCTCTCATCGAGGTAGACAGCACATATTTTATTCATTGTCTAAGTATCGAGCACCTGCTGTGTGTCAGGCATCGCCCTACCTGCAGGAACTGTAATAGAAACTACGATAGCCCTGTCCTCATTGAAATTTTTTCAAGTACTTTAAAATTTTTTTCCAGTACTTTTGCTAGTTAAAACCCTACACGAGGTACAAGATCAATGTACAATCTGTATAAACTTTGAAGAGCAAAGCAAATAAAAGATTATCAAGAGCCAGAATTTCAGGGACAGATGCTCATATGATTTCATTATAAAAAGAAACTAACATGGAAAGGAGGCACGCAGAAAGTAACAAGAGGTTTTGATGTCTGTTTTTTGTTTTTTAGAAAACCTATGAGCTGTCTGTAGAAAAGAAAAAGTAAATATGACCTGATGTTTCAGCTTCAGGCATAATAGCCCAGACATTTTTGAAACCCACAAGGGTAGTTTTTACTTCTTCAGAATGTCTTTTTTTTTTTTTTTTCTCCCCACAGTCTGGCTTCCTTTTCCCTTCAATGGAATAACATATACAAACTCTACCTAAGAGTGCTGTGTGAAGTACATGCCAGCCTACAAGACATGTCTCTAACCAAGTCGAAAGAGTGCAGTATTCGTTCATTCACTCATTCATTCATTCAACAAATGTTTATTAATAGGTATTGTTTACCAAGCACTGTGTGTTAAGGAGAAGATGGTATGAAACAAGCAGACCCAGGCCTCAGGGAAGAGAGGCTGTTACATTCAGAGACAATTACCATACACTACAATGAATGCTTTGATGAAGGGAGGCAAAAAAACAAAAACAAAAACAACAACAACAAAAACCCCACAACGATGTGGATCCCTCCCTGTGGGGGTGAGGAGAAAGGAAAACAGCTTCAGGGATCTCCAAGCCCTTGTGCCGGCCACTCTTCTTTCTTCTCTTCCTTCCTCCTCTGTCTTTCCTTTCATCCTTCCTCCTCCCTTCTCTTTGGACATCACTAATAAAAGAGAAACAGATGTCAGAGACGTAGACATGGGGAGGGCTTTAATATCTAGCCTTACGGAACAAAATCCTTGGGACCCAATAGAACTTAGTGTTGCAGAGCTTTCTCCTGAGTTCAGCTAAAACCAGGCTCTTGTCACACGACCAGGGAAGATTAGGCTCCCGGACACATAGAAGGGTGAGGAAAACAGAATTTATTGGGCGAAAAGGAAAAAGAAAGAAAAACTCTCAGCGAAGTGATAGGGGGTCTTGCCAACAACCTCTCTCCTCACAAATTGAATCCTAGGTTACCACAGAGGCCAGGTTCCTCTCCCCTGCAAACTTCGTGAACTTCCCCTGGCTCTACCCCTTTCCCCCAGTAAGAAGGTGGGCCTCATTTAGAGAAAATCGTTTGGGAAAGGGCAGGCTTCATCAGGGACCAGCAATCCAGTTTCTCAGCCTTCAGGCTGTTTTAGCCTTGGAGGTGGGGTTTCACCTGGGACACTTGGCTGCCCCCTGTCTCTAACATTAGATGTCTCTAACATCTATTCCCCTCCCTATCTTTGCTGGACACCTGACTCTCTCCTAGAGCAACCCAGCAAACATCTGTCTGTTGTGTACTTAAATACCCCCACAGATTGGGAACTGTCTCCTTTATGGGAAAGCTCTTTATATTTGGGACACCCCAGTTTGTTCATTCAGCACATTTTCTTTTCAACTTTTTTAGAGACAAGGTCTCACTCTGTCACCCAGACTGGAATGCAGTAGCGTGATCATAGCTCACTGTAACCTCGAACTCCTGGGCTCAAGTGATCCTCCTGCCTCGGCCTCCCAGGAGCTAAGGGCTACAGGCGTGTGCCGCCACTCCCAGCTAGTTTTTTAATTTTTAAAAATTTTTTGCAGAGGTGGCGTCTTGCTATGTTGACCAAGTTTGTCTCAAATTCCTGGCTTCAAGCCATCCTCCCACCTCTGCCTCCCAAAACACTGGGATTTCAGCCGTGAGCCACCAACGCACCTGGCCTCATTCTCCAACTCTTTACAAAGCTTCAAAGACATCCCAGACGCTGGGAATACAGAGACCAATCAGATACAAACCCTGCCCTCCAGCTGTTCGCAGCATTCTCGCTCCTTTGCGGCCACCTCTTCTGCCCTGCTTTTCCACCTTGTCCCTTCTTCTGTCAAGTGGCTTTTGGCTTGGTCACCACTTTGCTGGTGTTTCTCTCCAGAAGTGAGTCCCAGACTTCAGGTGTGGTCTGACTCACGTCCTATCGGGTCTCTCCCTCTGAAAACCGTGCTTGTATTAAAGCAGCTTGGGAGCTCATTAATGTTCTTGGCAGCCAGGTCCTACCCCTGACAGTGCAGGAGCTGCCTGTCCACTTAGGGGACCCCTGTCTTTTTCACACGTGAGTCTGTTAAGCCTCACCTCCCTCATCGCCTCCATGTGTGCGGCAGTTTTCAACAAATGTTCAGAGTACAACACCTGCCCTTGTTAAACGTAATCTTGTTACACTAGTCCCCTTGTTTTAACTTCTCAAACATTTTGAGTCTTGCTCCTGTTAACCAAGAAGACCTAGAAAGCTCCACATCTCCTCTTAAAATGTGTGTGTGTGTGTGTGTGCGTGTATTCGTACGCACACCCCTGGGTACAGCTCTGAGGAGGCCACCTATAGGTTTCTGAACAATCTTCCATGAATACAGCTCATTCATACACACATTTATTTATTCTGCAACATTTATTCAACATTCCCTAACAAAACTTTCATTCTTGAGCACTTTTTGCCCAAGCATTACAGGGATAATAGAAGCAAACGAATCCATACTAAGGAGTGAATTATTGATAGTGCTCACCTGCATTTTTTTAAGCAGAAAGTAGTATTTATTTTGGCCTAATTTCCACCTGTCAGAAAATCAAAACAGTGATGAATTGCATATTGCTATACTACATTTTATTATCAGCATCAAAATTCAAGTGTGCTCTGCTTAAAATTCAGAAGACAAACTTTCTCATTTAGAAAAGTTCATTCTGTTAGTGACTGATCAGAATGGAATAAAAATTTCATGATGCATACATACTGATTGAATTTTTTTTTCTTTTTTTAAAAAAAATGTATTTTATTCTGGATTCAAGGTGTGCATGTGCATATCTGCTACACAGGTATAATTATGTACTGGTGGGATTGGGCATCTAGTGTGTCCATTACCCAAATAGTGAACATTGTACCCAATAGGTATTCTTCAACTCTATCCCCCACTCTAATGATCCCCCCTTTGGGAGTCCCCACTGTCTATAGTTTCCATCTTTATGTCCATCTTTATGTGCCCATTGTTTAGCTCCCACTTACAAGTGAGAACATATGGTATTCAGTTTTCTGTTTCTGTGTTAGTTTGTTTAGGATAATGACCTCCAGCTCCATCCATGTAGTTACAAAGGACATGGTTTTGTTCTTCTTTTTTTTTTAATGACTGCTTCACCTTCTTCTTAACTATCCCAAGGTGTTTGGTTCTTAAACTGATTGGTGAAATCTAGCAGTCATAGCAGAAGCAAGTGGAGACAAGGCTTGTTTAAATAGTATCATTAAGCTGACTCTGACAGAGGCCTTTCCATACACACCCAACCCTCTCCCCTATCAGAGCTTCTAGAGAGGGAGGCTGGCTAACCCTGGGATCCAGAAATATTTGGAGAATCCTCGGGCCGGGCGTGGTGGCTCACGCCTGTAATCCCAACACTTTGGGAGGTTGAGGCGGGTGGATCATGAGGTCAGGAGATTGAGACCATCCTGGCTGACACGGTGTACTAAAAATACAAAAAATTAGCCGGGCGTGGTGGTGGGTGCCTGTAGTCCCAGCTACTCGGGAGGCTGAGGCAGGAGAATGGCATGAACCCCGGAGGCGAAGCTTGCAGTGAGCCGAGATCGTGCCACTGTACTCCAGCCTGGGAGACAGAGCGAGACTCTGTCTCACAAAAATAATAATAATAATAATAATAATAATAATTTGGAGAATCCTCAACATTCTTTCTGCTCATCCCAGTAACCCACTTGACAGCATGGAGCTCAGAAATGTGGGGACCCCAGAAGCTCAAGATCTTCAGCCCCAACTCACAACTTTCTCCCTTGCCATTGGAAGGGATTGAGGACCTTGGCTCAAATCTCTGTTTCTCAAAGTGATTTCTGGCTCAGCCTATATCCAGGTGGAGTAAAGCTTTTACTTATTGTTTTGGAGTAGGTACAGCCGGACTAGGGTTTGCACCCCAGGAGTTAGGTAGAATTGGAGTAGCAGAGCCTTTAGCAGATCTGATCTCTGGGAAAAGTTCTAATGTGGCAATAATACCACTTTTCCATAGGATTATTACTTAGGTTAAATGGCATAATGGCTATAACATGCTTAACACAGTGCCAGGCTTGTGGTGTTTGTAAATGTTAGCTATTATTTTAGTTAGGAAAGCAAGCTAATGCAGAACATGATACCTAATACAAAATCCTCCTTATGCTTAAACAGAGAAGGAGTTATTTTTCGCATACAGTAAGATGTCTAGAAGTAGGTAGTTGCAGGTTTCAGTTCAGGAGCTCAAAAATGATGGGGCCAATGTCTCTGAAATTCTGGACATTTCTTCCTAGATGCAAGAGGGCTGTTAGAACTCAGGCAATTGCATCCTTGTTTAAGCCTGGAGAGAGGGGGAAGACTGCCTTAACCACATCTGACATCTTTCATCAGGAAAGAAAAGCCTTTCCCAGAAATCCATGAGAAAATTTTTGTTTAGGTCTCAAGGGCCAGAACTGGGTCACTAGCTACTCCCTAGCTGCAGAGAGGCTGGGAAAGTTAGGAACAGGATAATCATGATTGGCACACCAGTAATGAGCCATTGCCAGGAAGGAGTAAGCAGTTTAGATCGTAACGGTGATTACCGCAGTGATTGTTACCAGCTCTAGCCTGCCTTCCATCCATCTACTTCTCATTTGTAGCAAATTATCAAGTGGTCTCATGCCAGTTATAAATATTATTCATTGTACTCACAGCTCCCTGCACTAAGCCAGCTTTTCTCTTAACCTTTCCCTGTCCATCTGGATAACATTTCTTATTGTTACTCCTTCCCCAGGAGGATTTCTGTACTAGTCGCTATTGCTGATTATGCTGTGTAACAAATAACCCCCAAACATTAATGAACATTTTTTCCTACTCGCAGGTCTGCAGGTCAGCTGAGGGGACTCTGGCCCAGGATGTGGGTTCAGGTCTGCTTTTGTGTCTCTCATTCCAGAACCCTAACTTAGGGCACACCATGTACCTAGGGGATGCTCTCCTCATGGTGGATTAGGAGAGCAAAAAAGGACAAAACCACATGAGCACATTGAAAGCTTCTGTTTGCGTCGTGACCACTCATGTTCCATTGGCCATAGCAAGTCCCACAGCTGGGTCTGACGAGGAAGATTATTCTTCCCAGGAGAGGGAAGGAGAAAGCAAGTATTTGCTGAACAGGAATCAAATCCATTGCACCTTCTCAAGCCAAAACTAGGTTAGGAGTCCTCTTTGGGCACCCATGGTCCTTAATGCATCCTTCTGTTACAGCTTTGGATTCTCCATTGCCCTTACCTATTCCGTTGTCTGTCTTCCCCAGTGGATTGCAAAAAGATTGCTATGGCTGAGATGTGTAAGTCTTTTATGAGATCTAGGTGACAGCTGATAAGTGTAGTTATGGTCATGATGGTCAATTCTTTAACAGTTTATTAACAAAATAACAAAAGTTACAAAATGAAAATATAAAGGATAAGTTATTCGAGGACTATGGTTGGACTCTAGTTCTGAACATTATTTAAACTCGATGTTAACATGCTGTAGATAATAACATATCCACAGAACAGAAGCTAGGTCTTCCATTGGCCATAACATATGCCTCTAAATGCCCTCCCCCCTACCAAAGTAGCATCCAGAGGTATGTGCTATTACTTGAGAGATCATTCTGCAATTTAAAATTTAAACTCGACAAATTATTAATACCATAAACATTTCAGTGTCAAACACTGAAGATGCAATGATAACACCTGGCTATCCTGCTCAGGTAGCTCACAATCTGAAGGGTAGATGGTGGTGGGAGCAGAGCAGTTAACAGATAAAATGAAAAGTAGTAAGTGGAGCTCTTATTTGTTGCTGGTGGGAATGCAAAATGGTACAGCCACTTCAGAAGACAGTTTGGAAGTTTCTGGCAAAACTAAGTATACTCTTACCATAAGATCCAGCAAGCATGCTCCTTGGTATTTATCCAAAGGAGCCGAAAACTTACATCCACACAAAAACTTCCACTCAGACATTTCCAGTAGCTTTGTTCATAACTGCCAAAACATGAAAGCAACCAGGATGTCTTTCAATAGGTGAATGGATAAACAAACTGTGGTACATACATGCAGTGGAATATTATTCAGCACTAAAAGCAAATGAGCTATAGAAAAGATGTGGGGGTAGATGCTAATTTGACTCCTTAACTTAACTATCTGACCTTGAACTAGTTACTTAGTCTCTAGACCTCAATTTCCTCATCTGCAGAATGTGAATAATGAGTGTTCTTGTGCAAATTAAATGAGATATGTATTTATACTAGATATTGTCATTTTTTCCTTCAGATCCACTGTCCACCTGCTACTCCTTGGTCTCCCTCCCAAGGAGGCTGACCTGCATGGACCACTAGAGGCTCCCTTGTCCTTTGCTTTTTTTTTTGGTTTAGCCAATAGGGTGCCCAGACAGAAGATGAGAGGGAGGGCTGAGAGTGAGGCTGGGGATTTATTCTGAATGCTTGCCCTGCAGCATTGCCTTAGGCTGTCACTATTCCTCCCCAGAAGCTTTCTAGGAGACTCTCCTTCTGTGTTCTGGAAAACTACTCCCTACCCTCTTCCCTTCAGGCTTAAGGACAGGTAACAGCCCTGCCATTACTAGCTCCAGGGCAGAGCATCATCTCTACAACCTGCCACATCTTTGCAAATAATCCCTTTATTAAACTTTCCTAAGAAAATCCCAATTTAAAAAAAAAAAAAAAAAAAAAAAAAAAGAAAAGATGTGGGGGAACCTTAAATGCATATTGCTAGTAAAAGAAGCCAATCGGAAAGGCTACATACTGCAAGATTTCAACTATAGGACATTCTGGAAAAGGCACAACTATGGAGACAGTAAAAAGATCAGTGGTTGCCAGGGGCTCAGGGGAGGGAGAGAGGGATAAATAGGTCGAACACAATATTTTTAGGGCAATGAAACTATTCTGTATGATACTGTAATGGTTGATACCTGTCATTATATCTTCATCAAACCTATAGAATGTACAATACAAACAGTGAACCCTAACGTAATCTATAGATTTTGGTTGATAATAATGTATCCATATTTAGTCATCAATTGTAACAAATGTACCACACTAATGCAAGATGTTAATATAGGGGAAAGTCCGAGAAGAGGTGTTGAGGAAGTTATATGGTAACTATACTTTCTACTCAATTTTTCTGTAAACCTGCAACTGCCCCCCAGAATAGTCTATTAATGTAGAGAACAAGGTAATAAAGTGCAATAAAAGGGATATGTACAAAGTGTTATGACAACACAGAGAAAGCACACAGGGAAACCCTTCCAGGGGAGATGGGTTTGAACTGAGTCTTGAAGGACAATAGAAATTCACCAGGTAGAGCAAGGAGAAAGGTGAACCTGGCGGAAAGCACCACCTGTACCAAGGTGTCAATGACAGGATCATCACCTGTTGTGTCCACTGACCAAGTATCTAGAGTGCTGCCTGCCCTAGAGAGGGCGCTCAATAAATATTTGTTGAGTGAACGGATGGTAACTTGACAGGACATAACACGGTGGAGCTTTATTTCCTAGCTAGGCATAAAGACTATCGAAAAGTGCAATAGGTACTTTTTTTTTTTTTTAAGACGGAGTTTTGCTCTTGTTGCCCAGGCTGGAGTGCAATGGTGTGATCTCAGCTCACCGCAACCTCTGCCTCCTGGGTTCAAGCAATTCTCCTTCCCCAGCCTCCTGAGTAGCTGGGATTACAGGCATGTACCACCACACCTATCTAATTTTGTATTTTTAGTAGAGACAGTGTCTCTCCATGTTGGTCAGGCTGGTCTCAAACTCCCGACCTCAGGTGATCCACCCCACTCAGCCTCCCAAAGTGCTGGGATTATCGGTGTGAGCCACCGCGCCAGGCCAATAGGGCCATATTTTATAACCTCCCCTTCCTATCCATCCTTAATGGTGAAAAGGGTATCAAATGTTTCCAATTGCTCTTTGGCTGGGGAAAAAACATCTTCTTGATGTTGATATTCATGCTCTAAAGGTAATTAGATGCCAGAGAAGAGACCGGATTGTAGGCGATGGCAGCTTGCTTACAGTATACATTTATAAACAAGCAAAATCAAAACTGTAAAGTCGCATTTCAAGATGGTTTTGTGTTTCTCCACATTGAGCCAACAGCCTGTGGACGATATCATATACTCCACTGGAATTGGCCGCCTGGGCCAAATGAGAAAGCTATCTCCATAGAGGCTTTGAAGCAGAAGGTTTGGGCACTGAGCAGGGAGGGAGAAGCGCCACCCCTGCGGGGCTTAGCTCAGTCCACAGGGTCTGGGGGCAAATCTCATGCAAAACACGAGTGGGACTGGTACCAACGTCAAAGAAGAGACACTTTGGAATCCAGCCTCTGTCACCAGGAGCTTCCCCTCCAGGCCTCTGGCAGAGAGGTGTGGTCCTTCCTCCCTGATCTTTCATCTCTTGGAATCTCTAGTTGCTAGGCGCGGGTGAACAGTGTCAAAACCCAGCCCATGATAGATTTATCATCCCCCTTACTGAGAACTGCCTATGGCCACATACTGTGCTTAGCATGTACACATTTTGGTTTATATAAACCTTCCAACAAGGTGCCAGGTGGGTAACGTGATTGAGATTAGGAAACTCAGGCTGAGGAAAGTTAAGTCACTTACTCAGTGTCACCTGGGAATAAGTGGCAGGGCTGGGGTTAGAACTCCCATCTGTCTGGCTTCAAGCTTATGTGCTTTCCATTATGTGCAGCCACCCTGCCAACTACTCAGCAGGGGCCTTCTGATGGACACTGTGAGAGGACAAGACACAAAAGAAATGTATACAATGGAGAAGACAATGATACAAATGATACAAAGGAGAAGACAATGGGCTTCTCCTTTGCCCCTGAGACTTCCTTTGAAAAATAATTTGCAAAATCCCGCTCCCTGTGCCTTGCTCTAGAGTTTGAAGGCTTGGGCCTGTGAACAGTGAGCTCTCAGGAGGCACAGATCGCTCCCTTAGGCACCATGCTTGAGACTTGACCACATTTCAGGCTGGCTCCGCCTGCTCTAGGCTGTGTCTCTAAAGGTGGCCCCACCCCTGCCTTGCACTAAGTCTTTACTCAAGAAAATGCAATGCTACCAAACCACAAAATGTGCATTGTCCCAACCCAGCTTGCACCAAATTGTTTTCAGGAATTCTCTAGTGACCCCTTCTGTAATTTCCATTTCCACATAAACCCCAGGCCCTTTTTGTTCCCCCTTCTTCACTTCCCCAGCATCCCTTTTTGTTCTCTCTCTGTTCTCCCTTCAGAAGCCTCAGTCCCCTTTAATTGGGGCTGAGTTCTGTCTGACCTGGAATCTCCCCCAAAGCAGGAGTCTGAATAAAACCTGTCTTGCCACCTTTCACAAGTGTTTTGCGCTGTGTGTGTGTGTGTGTGTGTGTGTTTTTTTTTTTTTTCATTGATAGTTCAAATCCTATTTCCTCTGGGTATTGTCTGTGTGTCCTTGGGTGAATCACTTCACTTCTCTGAGTCTCAACTTCCTCATCTTCAAAATGAGAACGTAGGTAGGCCCACCTTGCTGCAAGGTGATGAGGGAAGGCCCTCGCCAGGGGCCTGTCACTCCTTACTCAGGAATAATCACTGACCCATCCCCACAGTGCTGGAACTCTTCTAGGCATTGGGAGTAGAGAGAAGCAACACAGAGTTCCTGCCCACAGAGAGTGGACTTTCTAGTGAAGAAACAAACAACACACAGGGAAACCTATCTGTATTTGTCTGTTTTCATGCTGCTGATAAAGACATACCTGAGACTGGGCAGTTTACAAAAGGAAGAAAGGTTTAATGGACTTACAGGTTCACATGGCTGGAGAGGCTTCACAATCATGGTGGAAGGCAAGGAGGAGCAAGTCACGTCTTACATGGATGGCAGCAGGCAAAGAGAGAGCTTGTGCAGGGAAACTCCCATTTTTAAAACCATCAGATCTCACGAGACGTATTCACTATCGCAAGACCAGCACAGGAAAGACCTGCCCCCATGATTCAATTACCTCCTACTGTGTCCCTCCCACAACATGTAGGAATTCAAGATGAGATTTGGATGGGGACACAGCCAAACCATATTACCATCTTAAAATATCAAGCAGTGAAAGCATGATGAAGAAAGTTAACACAGGTGGAGGGATGCAGGTGACCAGGAGGAGGAGGAGCTATTTTCCAAGACCTCTCTGATGGGGGACATTTGCACAGGGAGCACCATGTAGAAATCTTGAGGGTTCACACTCCAAGCAAAGAGAAGAGCAAGTGCAAAGGCCCAGAGGCAGGAGAGCACTGGACCTGTTCCAGAAACCTCCAGCAGGCCAATGTAGCTGAAACACAGCCAGGCACAGGGGCTGAGACAGGAGGTGGGCCAGGCCATCTAGGGCTCAGGGACCATGGTCAGGACTCTATATTCATCCCAAAGGTGATAGGGAAGCACTAAGGTTACAGTGTAACCATATCCATGTCTCAATCACCTGCCTAACTCTACTAGAAGGAGGGAACGTGTCAGTGCTGGTTGAATTGTGACTTTCTCATGGGGTAGGGGGTGGGTTATAGGAACATGAGATATAAAACGTACCAGAAAAGGTATCCAACCTCTAGGCGTCCCCCTCCTTGGACACCTTCAGGTTCCATGGCGATATGATTTGGCTCTGTGTCCCCACCCAAATCTCATCTCAAATCGTAATCTGAGCAGTGGAGTAATATGATCTAAGCTTTATACATCCTATATATTTAACACCATCTCAAATTTACAAAAAAAGTTACAAGTATGGGACAAATAATTTTTGTCCCTGAGTCATCTGAAAGTAAGCTGCCAGCATGATGCCTGTCACCCCTGGACACTTTACTATGCATTTCCAACAAACAGAGAGAATGACCATCAAAATCACGACGTTCACAACATGCATTTTTACCATTTGAACCTCAGACCACATTCAGGTTTCATCCTTTGTCCCAATAATGTTCTTTATAACAAAAGGAGCCAGGGTGGAATCACACATTGCCTTTAGATATCAAGCTCCTTTAGTCTCCTTCAGTCTGAAATGTTTTCTCAGTCTTTCTGTGATTTTCGTGACCTTGACTCTTTTGAAGATGACTGGCCAATCATTTGATAGAATATCCTTCAATCTGCATTTGTCTGACCTTTCACCCTGATTAGAATTAGGATATGCATCTTTGGCAGAAATATCACATGAATGGCAATGTGTTCTCTAGGTTGCATCCTATCAGATGCACAAGAACTCAATTTGTCCCATGACTGATGATGTTCACCTGCATCACCTGGTTAAAGTGGCATCTGCCCACCTTCTCCATTGTGAAGTTACTATTTTTACTGTTCTTCCCTCTGCAGTTGATAATTATTTTTATATAAATATCCTGTTCCTCATGAAACCTTCAATGTATTCAGTTATTAATAACACTGTGGACTCCTGTTTTCCTGTTTTATTCTGTGGGCCATAATTCTTAACTCTCATTACTTATTTGTATTTAGATTACTCCAGAAATGTCCAGCAGTGGCTTCTGTGTTCTGGCATGTTTCCATCATTGTTTGGGTGCTTAATTTCTGGGTAACAAGATGTTCTAGGCTCCTTTCTGCCTCAGTCCCAGAATCAACCATTTCTTCTAGGGTGCATCTTCCTTTTAGTTGAGATGAAATTTGGAATCCAAAACCTGGGTACAATGTAGGCTCACTGCTTTTGGAATGTCAGTGCCCTCAGGTTCTCTCAATAGACAAAACTAAGGAATATATGTGTTTATATACACATCTAGTTGCAAGTATACATACATGCACACATCTTTCATCTATATTTCTATGTCGATTTAGGTATTGAATGTTATGAGTTCCTATCAATACCTCCAATCGCAATCCCCTCTACAAGGGTCTTTCCAGATTCTCTCTTTCCATATTTGTAACTTGATGCTCCAACAGCAAGAAATCTTTCTCCTTTGCTTTTAATATATTTGCCTACCTGATGAGTCCCCATGGGTATAAATAATCCTCCATCTCCATTGCCATTCTCTCCCTTAGAAGGATGTTATTCTTGGTCCACTGGGGTCCTGACAGCTGGTGCTAGGCCTTCTCCATGCATGGATGCCCTGCTCATCCTGCCTGGCCTCTGACATCTTTATGGGGTCACTTTTCTCTCCTTGTATCTAACACCCTACACTGAGCTGCCCCTTTTGGTGCTTTCTTCATTTAGCCAGAGCTCAAACACTCATGCCTGGCAGCCCTCCTCCTTGGATGCCTTCTTCAGGTTCCATGGTGATATGGTTTGGTTCTGTGTCATCACCCAAATCTCATATCAAATTGTAATCCCCATGTGTTGGAGGAGGGGCCTGGTGGGAGATGATTGGATCATGGGGGTGGATTTCTCCCTTGCTGTTCTCATGATAGTGAGTGAGTTCTCACAAGATCTGATGGTTTTAAAGTGTGACACTCCCCTCTTTCCACCCCTCCTGCTATCATGCCTTCCACCATGATTGTAAGTTTCCTGAGGCCTCCCCAGTCATGGGAACTCTGAGTTAATTAAACCTCTTTTCTTTATAAATTACCCAGTCTCAGGTAGTTCTTCATAGCGTGTGAAAACGAACTAATACACATAGCCTGATATTCTGCTCCAGGCCACCCTTTGATAGAGGCTCTCCTTACTCCACCTGTCCCACCTGACCAGCTGAAAGGAGGCACATGTATCACACCTGTTCAGTGGCAGCTTAGGCCCTCTCTCCTTGGAAGGGTATATCAATTTTCACAGTTTGTGGCTCTGCCATTTTCAAAGGCTACAGTGAAATCTGAGCAGGAAATGAAAATCATCCATTTCTGCAGTACTCCCTGAAATCATTACATCATCACTAACTTTCCCCGAGTTCCCATGTGATGTTGGAGCTGGAAGGCCCCCATTTACCAGAACCAGATAGCTTATTTCATGCCTGTTTGCTTTTGCACAGGCTGTCTCTCTGCTTGGAATGCTTTTCCCATGTGCGATAAACCCCTCCATTCCAAATATTTTAACTCTGTGAAACTTTCTTTGATCCCTAAATTTGACCCCAAGTTAATCATTTTTCTCCCTCTGCTACAATTTTCACATTTAGCTTTTAAAAGATATTTAATATATTGTGCACCTCTTATACTAGGCTGTGAACTCCAACTCCCTGAGACAAGTTGTTCATTCATTCGTCAAATATTTATTGAGCTCCTACCATTGTAAAAGGCTCTGTGCTAAGTACTAAGGATGAAAATGGAGAACAAGATGCAGCACTTTCCCTCAAAGAGCTTGCAGTCTAGTGGGGAGTTTCATTAGGTAACCAAGCCATCCTAATCCATATTGCTGGCTTAGAGTCTGACACATGGAAGATGGTGAATGAATGCTTATTGGAATTTCTAAGACTGGTGGCAAGAGCATGGAACACAGTACTCATTCCCTGCTAAAGACTGTTCTCGCTGTCTCTGTCCTCAAGGAGCTGGTTGTTTACTGGGAGAGACAGACACCAACTGTATATAAAAAGAGCACTAGAGTGTTTTCCAGGCCATGATGTGGCACACTCACTGTGAGCTGCTGCAGCAGACACCGTTGGGTCTGCCCAGGGCCCTCAGATATCCTGCATGCCCTTTTCTGGCTCTGCATGCCCATCCTCCATGCTTCTGTGAGCTCCACTCTTAAGACTCACCCTGCAGCCTTCTTGGAGGGACTAACCTGGGCTACTGCAGCCACTTCTGCAATGGCAGTGAGCGTCAGCATTTCAAAAACAGACAGGCAGGAGGGTAGGACAGCCCGTGTTCCTTGCCTCCAAGCAGATGTAACCTACTCTGGGGAGCTCGGGATCAGGCTGGGACTGGGACTTCTGATGTGATGTCCTTGTGTGGCCTCTTCTCCTTTCCTCTCCTGCTTCCTCCACTCCCCTCTTGCTTTCTTGTGAGAGCACTTCCTTCATAAATACTTTGCCCAGTCATTCTCCACGGGTTAGCATGTGGGAAACCTGGTCCAGACACTGCGTTCGCAATACCTGGCCCTGCTAATGTGTAGCTCACAGGGCAGGTGTGTGCTCCAGCCGGGAATCCAGCCAGCTAAGTATCTGATATAGTTTGGCTGTGTCCCCACCCAAATCTCATCCTGAATTGTAGTTCCCATAATCCCCAGTGTCGTGGGAGGGACCCAGTGAGAGGTAATTTAGTCATGGGGGCTGTTACCCTCATGCTGTTCTTGTGATAGTGAATGAGTTCTCATTTGACAGTTTTATAAGGGGCTTTTCCCCTCTCTGCTCAGCACTCCTCCTTCCTGCCCCCATGTAAAGAAGAACGCGTTTGCTTTCCCTTCCGCCATGATTGTAAGTTTCCTGAGGCCTCCCCGGCCATGCTAAACTGTGAGTCAATTAAACCTCTTTCCTTTATAAATTACCCAGTCTCAGGTATGTTTTTATTAGCAGCGTGGGAATGGTCTAATACAGTATCCAACCAATCAAGTGCAGCTTCAGAGACCTTGGGCTTTAAGAAAAGGGCTGAAGGCCAGAGAAGATTTCTCAGTGAAGGTGAGTTGAGCAGGGCCTTAGGGGAGGGTAGGTCATTAGGTAGAAAGTTGGGCATTGCAAGGCGAGAAAACAGTGTATGAGCTGCTGTGAAAGACATGGGAAGGGGAGAAGCTCAGGCTGTTTCTCCTCCACCAGAGAATGCCCTCCTCCTTCCTCCCCCTTCCTCCCAACACACACACACACACAACACACACACACACACACACACACACCAGTTTTCTCCCGGAAACTGAGCTAATCCAGCCACGCCCCGACAGACATTTGCAGTGATTTTACACACACACACACACACACACACACACACCAGTTTTCTCCCTGAAATTGAACTAATTCAGCCAGGGCCCCCCTACAAACGTTTGTAGTGATTTTACTCCCAGCGTGGACTCTCCTGCCCGGTCAGCTTCAAGGATTCCTTTGGTCCCAGAAATAGCCAAGGTGGCGGTGAAGGGAGGAGCTGTTTCATTTCCGAAATGAAAAAGTTTAAGATAATTACACAGACGGCTTGAGCCTGCAATGGACAAAAAGTTTCATTATTGGACCCCTTTGGGGAAGGCGCCTCCCATCCCCAAAGGAGCGGGTTAACCGCTCGGCTGGCGCGGCCCCGCCCGGGTCGCCGTCTGAGAGGGACGGTCGCGCCCCCTTTGAAGTGCGGCCGCGCCTAATGAGGGACTCGCTGGGCCTCGGGATCAAGTGTCAGCGCCGCCCCAGACGCCGCAGGGCAGACAAAGGGCGCGGGCCGCCTGGCGGCGCTGGGAGGAGCGTGCGGCCCGCGGCGCTGAGCGGGACAAAGGCGGAGACGGGCGCGCGGCGGGGTCCCACGGGCAGAAGAGCCTGGCCTCCAGCGCCCGGCGCCCGGTTCGCTGCCTCCGGAGCCCCCAAGAGCCTCTCTGAGGGCGGGAGCGGTAGCGCAGGCCACGCCGACGGCGACCACAACGCGCCTGCGCCAAGCCCCGGCCCCAGCGTAACCTCGTGGGTGACAGTGTGACCTGGGTTTTCTCCGATACGCGCGATGTGCCCGCTGAGGGCAATATAGCACCCCCCTCGCACCTCACCCTTAGGCGTGCCAGGCACTCTTCTAAATCCGAGCTTCTATTAACCCATTTCCTGTCCTGCATCACTTTGCAAGGTGGGTGGGGTGAGTAGCCCCATTGTCCAGCTCACTCCATTCTACAGATCAACCCATTGTATAGCTCACCCCACTGTCCAGCTCACCACATTGTACACGTCACTTCATTGTACACATCAGCCATTGTACAGACCACCCCATTGTACAGATCACCTCGTTGTACAGATCACCTCATTGCACAGATCACCCCATTGTACAGATCACCTCATTGTACCGATCGTCCCATTGCACAGATTGTCCCATTGTACACATCACTCCATTGCACAGATCACCCCATTGAACACATCACCTCATTGTACAGATAACCCCTTTGTACAGATCACCTCATTGTACAGCTCGTCCCATTGCACAGATCGCCCCATTGTACACATCACCCCATTGTACACATCACCCCATTGTACAGATCACCCCATTGTATAAACCACCCAATTGTGCAGATCCCATTGTACAGATCACCCCACTGTACAGATCTGTGAAGCGAGGCGCAGAAGGAGTCCCAGATCACAGAGCTAGAAGGGATGCTGCTGGGCAGGGTGGCCTCAGAGTCCCAGACAGATGTTTAAATATTTGACATTTTTGTCGTCTTGTGTGTGTATGTGTTTTTAAAAACCCTTCATTTATTTATTTAAATTTAGAAATATATTTACTTTGATTAAAAATATATTACATTAAAGTATTCTTTATCTTGGTTATTGAGATTTTGGGCGCCCTCTTAAATTTTGGGTCCCAGGCGAGTGAGGCCCTGTCTGGCTTTTATGCCTCTTTACTGCCTGGGTCGAGGCTTTGGATCCTCACAACAAGCTCTCGCAGGCAGGGTTACTGACCCCTTGGATATTTCAGAAGGGGAAAAACTGAAGCTCAAAGATGTGAAGTGACCTGCCCAGGGATGCCCAGCAGGGACTGTGACACCAGCTAGTTAAGGTACCAAGTCAGTACCTTGCAGGCCCTTAGCTACCTTTGTTTTGTGGAGCCTGGCCGTCATCATAGCAAACTTCAAAACACATTACATATGGCCTTTTTATTCCATAATATCTGAAACTATATTTTAAAAATAATTTTGATTTTGCTTTTAGTTGGCTACAAGGCACTAATTTACAGTGGCTGTGATTTCACAGAAATGATTGGGTGTACTGGGAAATTCTTGCAAAGTGAGAAAATTAAATCCTTTTCACATGTAATGAAATTTTTAGGAATAATTAATTTAGCATTTTAATGATGTTGACACGGTGCTACCTTCTGTAGACATTTAATTAGACATTTATTAGTTTTGACTTTGTAGTTTGCTTTCCTCCTGGTGGAGCCAAAAATTACTTTTCCAGGTCTCCAGCATTTTTGTTGGAAATCCCTTCCAGCAGCATGGGGGTCCCAGGCAACTTTCTTAGGGTACCCAACCCCTAGGATGGTCCTGCCCACTTCAGTCCCCCACCTCCTCCCCATGCTAGGGGTGGGGCACCTCCCATCTTTCTAGTGTCCTGGCTTTCATGTGAGCAGGACCTTCTCAGGTCAGGCCCTGCTAAGCTGTAGATTCCCTGGAGTCCAGTGTGATTGTAACCATGTCTCAATCACCAGCCTAACTCTAATAGAAGGAGGGTACTTGTCAGTGCTGAATTGAATTGTGAGTTTCTCATGAGAGGTTGGGGTAGAAGAACATGAGATATTAAGTGTACCAGAAAAAGGATGGGTAGTTCTGGTGTGTTTCAGTCAGCTCTGGCTGCTATAACAAAATACCATAGCCATAGGGTGGCTCAGATAACATTGACTTCTCATAGGTCTGGAGGCTGAAAGTCCAAGAAGTAGGGGCCAGCTGATTCTTGTCTGGTAAGGGCTCCTGTCCTGGCTTGCGGATGGCTGCCTTCTTGCTGTGTTCTCACATAGTGGAGAGAGAGAGGGAACAAGCTCTCTGGTCTCTTCCTATAAAGGCACTAATCCAGTCATGAAGATCCCACCCTCATGACCTCATCTCAACTAAACTATCTCCAAAGGCCCCACCTCCAAATACCAACCTTGGGAGTTAAGGCTTCAACATATGAATATGGAGGGAACACAAACATTCTGTCCATAACATGGTGCTACTACTCATGTTGTGTGTCCCCAGGGAAGTTTCTGCACCTCTCTGTTCCTCAGTTTCCCCTTCTGGAAAATGAAGGTGGATCAGAAAATTTCCTATCTGAAGCTCCTTTCAGTGCCATCATTCTCTCATATGGGTTCATGGAAGAAGCAGTTTGGTTTCATGCAACTGAGCATTAGGGAAAGGTAAAGTTCTAATGGCCTACTTTCGCAAATGGGGTCAAATAGATATTTTCTCCAGTGATAGCCTGTGATTCTCTGTGATTTTTTTTTCTGGGTGCACTCTCCTCACTTTTCCTTGAATCCTTAGCAGACACTGCCATGGTCTTTCTGTGTGTCTCATGCCATTGTGACTTGTGTGACCACCAGGCATTGGGCTTGGCATGTGGCAGGTGCTCATTGCAGGAGGGAACATCTTTTCCAGATGAGGAAACTGAGGCACAGAGAGGTCTGAGTCAATGCAAAAGCAATCTAACTGCTATGATGTTTCTGCACAGCCTTCTCTGGAAGAGGAGAGATTTTATATATCTGCAAATTGCATGGACTTTCTTCTTACCTGTACCCAAACCACAGCTGCATGAGGTCAGTGAGGGACACTGTGTTCCCACTAGAACAGCTTTCAGGGCAGAAGACAGCTTTCCTCCTTACAAAGGAATCTCACATCCAGTCCTCCACAACCTATTTTACCCAAAGGCTTCTGACTAAAGACAGCTGTCTGGGGGCCCAGGAGCCAGGGTGCCAGTTCCAGCCCTGGCACAAGCATTCTTTGTGACTTGGAGCAGGTCCCTTACCCTCTTGGAGCCTTTGTTTCCTCCTCAGGGAACCAGAAGTCTGGACTAGATCAGAGCTTCTCAAATCATCCGAGGATCCTGTTAAAATGTGGAGCCTGATGAGGAGACCTGCTGGGGGCAGACATCCTGCACTTCTAACAAGCTCCCAGAGGATGCAGTTACTTTTGCCCATCTGTGGATTCACTGAGGAGCAAGCAGGACTTCTAAGGTCACCTCTTGCTCTGAAGGGACAGACCTTGAGCCCTGGCAGTGGGCACAAAGAGAGTGACAAAAACAAAAAACAAACAAACAACAACAACAACAAAAACCCAGTTGCCCAGATTTGGGTCAGCCAGGAGAGCACAGAATGTGAAATGATTCCAGAGGGATCCTTCCAACCACAGATACAAAAATCAACATCGTCATCGTCACCATCAGCAAACATTTGTGCAGTGCTTTCCCCTGTCCTGAGCAGCTGTCACATCCTTGAACCCAGTTGACCCCTACAGGCACCCTGGTGGGAGAGGAGGACACGGCTGAGGAATCCATTCAGTCCCGGTGGAGGAGCTGGGCAAGAGCACAATAGTCCCTGAAAGGATTGTTTCCATGCAGCCCTTTGATTTTCTTAGCATTTTTTTTTTTTTGGTGCCTGCTTTCTGACCCCTTCTTCCTTTGTCTCCTAATGCACCCCCACCCCGCTCCTAATTCTTCCCTCCCCCAACACACACACACACACACACACACACACACACACACAAAAACGTCAGGAGGAGAAAATCAGTGTATCCACCCACAGATTTCTCACTTTGATCCTTTCCTGTCTCACCGCCTGGAACCCAGCTTCAGAGACCAGGATTCTGGCTCGTTTTGGGGTGACCCAGTCACTTCCACTCTTCTCACTTGTAACTATGCAATTTTCCTTAAGGTGACATTTGTGAAGGATTTATGTTGTCTGGGCACTATGCTGAGTGACTTCATTCTCACTTCACCCTAGGGAGTGGGAACTCTTAACTATCTCCACTTCATTGGTGAGAAAACTGAGCCTTTAGGATGTTTGCCTGCCCAAGGTCACCTAGTTAGTAAATGATGGAGTCAGGACATTACCTGACCTTGGCTGACTGACATCAAAGATCATTGTAGATGAACGCACAGTTGTAAGAAGTAATACAGAGAGATTTGTGTAACTCTTATCCAGTTTTCTCCAAAGGGAGCATCTTGCAAAACTGTACTACAATATCATAACAAAGATATTGACACTGATAAAATCCACCAGCCTTATTCAGATTTCCTCAGTTTTACTTGTCCTCATGTGAGTGTATTTAGTTCTTTGCAATTTTAACATGTATGTAGGTCCATGTATGTAGCGCCACAGTCAAGATACACAACAGCTCTGTCAGCACAGGCTTCTGCAGCCTTTAATAATCACATCTACTTCTCCATGTCACCCAGCATCCCTCATTCTTGTAACACTAAACCTGTTCTCTATCTCTATAATTTCATTATTTCGAGAATGTTCTGTAAGTGGAAGTATATGCTTCTGGGATTGGCTTTTTGACTCAGTCTAATTCTCTTGAGAGTCACTGAGTTATGGCATGCATCAGTAGTGTTTTGTTTTTTTTTTTAATTTTAACTGAGTGGTGTTCCATGGCATAGAAGTACCACAGTTTCTTTAACCATTTACCCACTGAAGAATATCTGTGTCCAGTTTCTGGCCATTATGAGAAATGCTGCTGTGAACATTCACGTACAGGTGTTTGTGCAAACAAAAGTTTTTACTTTTCTGGGAAAAATGTCCAAGGGTATAAAGTCCTTGCTTTTACTCCCAACGTTGTGTGGCCCTCTAGGTTGGTTGCAAAGATCTTTTTTAAAAAGAGCAATGTAAGTTGAGATCTTACTATATATTTGATACTATGGTAAGTACTTTGCATGGATCAACTCATAAGTCCACAAAACAACCTTAGGCTTAAGTACTGGTGATATCCCCATTTTGCAGATGAGGAAACTGAGGCGTAGAGAAGCTACATAGTCTAAGGACACACAGAGTGTAAACAGTTGAGCCAGGATTTGAGCTCAGGCTGCCTGACTCCAGATCTGGCTATTTAACCAGCCTATGAATGAAGTTTCTTGTTTTGGCGAGGGGCAAACTTCTTCTGAAAGTAGAACTTGTATCCAGCAATTTGCATAACTCAAGTGCCCAGCACTAAGAACTTTTACAAAATGATGAATATCCCCTTGGAACCACCACTCAGATCAAGATATGAAGCCTGATAGATGCCCTGAAGTCCCCCTCCTATGTGCCTCCTGTCATTATCCCCTAAGAAAGGGAACCGCTATTTGTACTGCAGTTGCTGTATATTAGTTTTGCTCATTTTTGGATTTTATATAAATGAAACCATAGAGTAAGCTGTCTTTTATATCTGGCTTCCTTCATTCAACAATGTGCGTGCAAGACTCCTCCCTGTAGCCGTGTATAGTAGTCATGTGCTCTTTCTTCTTGCTGCCCTGTATTCCATTGTATGGATATGCCACAGCTTGTTTATTTCTTCTCCAGTTGAATGGCATGTGGTTTGCTTCCGGTTTTGGCTATCATGATTTATGCTGCTATACACACATAAATATAAATATTTAGAGTTTTCCTAGTTATGTTATTATTGATTTCTAGCTTAATTTCACTATGATCAGAGAGTATAACTGTATGATGATAAACCTTTCAAACTCATTGAGATTGGCTGGGCATGGTGGCTCTCGCCTGTAATCCCAGCACTTTGAGAGGCCCAGGCAGGAGGATCACTTGAGCCCAGGAGTTTGAGACCAGTTTGAGCAACATAGTGAGACTCCATTTCTACAAAAAATTTAAAAAAAAATAGCTGGGCATGGTGATGCACATCTATGGTCCTGAGGTTGCGGGGATAGCTTGAGCCTCAGAGATTGAGGCTGCTGTGAGCCACGGTTGTGCCACTGCACTCTAGCCTGGGCAACAGAGTGAGACCCTGTCTCAAAAAAAAAAAAAAAAAGGGAATATGTAAACTGCAGCTGTTGGTTGCATTGCCTTTTTTTTTTTTTTTTTTTTTTTGAGACAGGGTCTCATTCTGTTGCCCAGACTAGAGTGCAACGACATGATCTCGGCTCACTGCAACCTCTGTCTCCTGGGTTCAAGTGATTCTCCTGCCTTAGCCTCCCCAGTAGCTGGGATTACAGGCACGTGCCGCCATACCTGGCTAATTTTTATATTATTAGTAGAGACAGTGTTTCACCATGTTGGCCAGGCTCGTCTCAAACTCCTGACCTCAGGTGATCCACCTGCCTCAGCCTCCCAAAGAGCTGGGATTATAGGTGTGAGCCACCGTGCTCGGCCAGCTCTATTTATTTTTATTGGCTCCAGTTCATTAATCATGTTAAAATCTTTTATATCTTTACTGAATTTCTCTCTGCTTTTTCTTTCAATAACTGAGAGATGTATTTTAAAATCTCCACTAGGATAATGGATTTGACTGTTTCTCCTTTTGTCCCACTTTCTTTGAGGCTATGTTTTTTGCTGCATGCAAATTTTAAATTATTATCTTATTAAATGACTTTTTGATATTATAAAATATCTCTAGTAACAAATCTTGCCTTACAGAATGTATTGTCTTTATATGTTATATAACTACATATGTATGTGTTATAATTATGTAGTGTTGTTATTAAGTATATGTTAATGTAGTTATGTATCAGCTTTTCCTGTCCTTTTAATTTCAGTTTTTCAGACTCCTTATCTTTAAGGTAAATGTTTCATATAATCACAATGTAATTGGGTTTTACTATTTTAGATATCTGATAATTTTTGGATTGCTAAAAAAATTTTGAAAATTATTCCATTTTCCCCACCCTGCTAACTTATTCGTTATGCATTCTGTATTATTCCTGTACCTGTTCCCGTAGAGCAGCGGTCCCCAATCTTTTCCGCACCAGGGACCAGTTTAATGGAAGACAATTTTTTTCATGGATCGGGGGCAGGGGAATGGTTTTGGGATGAAACTGTTCCAGCTCAGGTCATCAGGCATTGTTAGATTCTCATAAAGAGCCTGCAACCTAGATCCCTGGAATGTGCAGCTCACGATAGGGTTGGCGCTCCTATGAGAATCTAATGCAGCTGCTGATCTGACAGGAGGCGGAGCTCAGGCGGCAATGCTCGCTCACCCCTCACTCACCTCCTGCTGTGCGGCCTGGTTCCTAACAGGCCACAGACTGCTACCTGTCCATGGCCCAGAGGTTGGGAACCCCTGCCCTAGAGAGTAGAATACTCATTGTTGGCTTGTTACATTCTGTTTAGTTTTGGATGTTACCATGGCAAGTGTTGTTAGTACAACACCATTAGTCCATTTCTCTCCTTCTGCTTTTTGTGCTACGTTATCATGTATTTAATTCTACATATATTTTAATTTCCTGAGAACATTGTTACTTTTGGTTTAAGTTGTCAGAATTTACTTATATTTACCCATATACCAATATATTTACCATTCCCAGCACTCCTCATTTATTTCTACCTTTTCGTGTTTCTATCTTGAATCATTTCCTTTAATACTTCTTTTAGTGTTGGTCTACTGGCAATGCATTTTCAAAGTTTTTTCTTGCCTGAAGTATCTTCATTTTACCTTTATTTTATTTTTAATTGGTGTGATGGTTAATATTAGGTGTCAACTTGATTGGATTGAGGGATGCCTAGATAGCTGGTAAAGTATTGTTTGTGGGCGTGTCTGTGAGGGCGTTGCCAGAGGAGATTGACATTCGAGTCAGCGGGCTGGGAGAGGCAGACCCACCCTCACTCTGGGTGGGCACCATCCCATCAGCTACCCAGACGGAGTTTTACTATGTTGGCCAGGCTGGTTTCGAATTCCTGACCTCAGGTTATCCACTTGCCTTGGCCTCCCAAAGTGCTGGGATTATAGGCATGAGCCACTGCGCCCAGCCCAGACTATATATTTTTATGTTTCATGCTAACAGTTTTCAGATCCTACCCACCTTTCTTCCCCTTTTACTCCACATCTGGGCTTTACCTTTGTGATCTAATCACCTCCCAAAGCCTTCACTTCCTAATACTATCACCTTGGGGCTTCGGTTTCAACACATGAATTTTGTGGGAGGACACAGACATTCAGAACCCAGCACCAAACAATGAATCACCACAATCTAGTCAAGTTGACACGTGCAATTCGCCACCAACTGCTCCATTTTTTCTCTCCTGTATTCTTGTGCCTCCAATTACATGTTGTTAAATATCTTCTACTTGGTCCCATATATATGTCTAATTTTCTGTATTTTTATCCTTTTTCTCTCTGCTTTAGTTTGAATATTTTTATATTTCTATTTTCTGGTTCACTTGTTCTCTCTTCTGATAGGTATACTGAGCTAACAATTAAAATTTTACTTTCTATTGTATATTTTTCAATTTTAGGATTTCCAATTGGCTATTTTTAAATAGATGCCAGTTTCTGGGGATTTTCTCCACCACTCTGCCTGTCTTTTGGCATTGTAATCATGGCTATTTTAAAGTTTATGTCTGGAAAGTTCAATACCTGGTTCTTCTGCTGTCTGTTTTTACTCTCCATTTTTCTCTTGATTTTCAGCATTTAATCATGTTGCCTGTCCTGCCTGGTAATTTTTTATTGCAGGCTGAAAATTGCATATGAAAAGTTATAGAGCTTATGGTTGGTGTTATATTCTTTCAGAAAGGGTTTAATTTTCTTCTTATTGGCACATAGAGTATGGCCAAATCATCTTTATCTAGTCACAGCTGGCCTGTTTCACATTTCCTCTTATTCTAACCCTTTTTAGGGTTTCGGTGGAAAGCTTGAGGTGTTTGTTGGGAGCCCTAATCCTTAACTTGCTGTGAACTCCAGTTTTTATTTCCCCAACCCCATGAGACTGCCATGTTCTCTGCTCATCTTTTAGCTTTAGAAGTTGCTTTATAGTGGGGTTCTCTGGGCCTCTTTCTGTGATTACACAGGATTTCTCTTGGGGAGAAATCATATACAGACTGTAGGACTCACTTCTCTGTGGTTCCCCGTCATCTGGTATCTAGTCCCTTATGTCATGGCCACTTTTTACTCCAAACTCTAATTTTTCCAGTCTGCAGCACAAAAGAGGGTCCTCATCAGAACCACACCATGCTGGCAACCTGATCTCAGCTTTCCATCTTCCAGACTTGTGAGAAATGAATTTCTGTTATCTATAAGCCAGCCAGTCTGTGATATTTTGTTATAGCAGCTTAAACTGATGAAGACCAAAACTGGTACCAAAAAGTGGGGGTGCCTCCTATAACAAATACCTAAAAATGTGGAAGCAGTTTTGGGTAATGGGTAGAAGCTGGAAGAGTTTTGAAGTGCCCACTAGGAGAGGTCAAAATTGTTAAGACTTTTGAAGTGCATACTAGGAAAGGTCAAAATTGTCACTAAAAACAAAAAACAAAAAACATAAAAACAGGATCTTGCTTTGTCACTCAGGCTGGAGAGCAGTGGTGCAATCATGGCTCACTGCAGCCTTGACTTCCTGGGCTCAAGTAATCCTACTGCCTCCGCCTCCCCAGTGGCTAGGGCTACTGATGTGTGCCATCACACCTGACTAATTTTTTTGATTTTTAGTAGATAGATGGTCTTGCTATGTTGCCCAGGCTGGTCTTCAACTCCTGAGCTCAACTATTCTCCTGCCTTGGCCTCTCAAAGTGCTGGAATTACAGCACTTTTGGCCACTGTGCCTGGCCAAAAGTACTTTTAAAGATGATTCAGAAAGGAAAGATGAGAGGTATTGAGAAAGCTTCTGTCTTCTTAGAGAATACATAAATAATCGTGTACAGAATGTTGGTGGAAATATGGCTAATAAAGGCCATTCTGATGAGGTGTCTGACAGGAATGAGGAACAAATTGTTAGACAATGGAAAAAAGGCAATCCTTGTTATAAAGTGGCAAAAAACCTTGGCTGAATTGTCTTTGCATTCTAGTATTTTTGTGGAAGATAAAACTCGTGAGCAGTGAAAGTGGATATTTAGCAGAGGAGATTTCTAAGCCAAGTGTTGAAGAAGTCACTGGCTTCCTTCTGACCACTTAAGGCAAAACATAAGAAGATGGAAATGGCTTGAAGATGGAATTATCGAGCAAAAGGAACTAGAACTTAAAGATGTGGAAAATTCTCAGCCTACTCATATTGCAAAAATGGAGAAAGTGTGTTTGGAAAATAACACTAAGGGTGTGGCTAACTGACCATTTGATATGGAGGTCAGTATAGGTGTGAACCATGGACTTAATCAACCAGCGGTTTCCCAGCAGGACAACTGTCAGTTTGAACTAAATAGGAAGGGGATGGTAAAGAATGAAGGAAAGTTGTTGGACTTTTTGGATTTTACAGGACAGGACTATAGAGCTATTCAGTTGTGAATGTGTGCTCTTGTTAAAGACAAGGGGAAGAATGAACCCAAGGGCAATGCAGAGGTCAGTAGGTTACCTTCTTAGTTTCAAAAGGAGGGACCATTGCCTTGCTTTCAACAGAAATGAGCTCCACCCAAAGCTGTTGGGGATACCACCTCCTGGCAGAGCCCTGGAGCTGCAAGTCCTGTCCAGCAGAGCTTTTTGGAGAAGACCACCTCCCAAGTGGGTCTGCAAGACTGTACCTCTGCCCCAGTGTGTCCAGTGGCCCTAGAGGGGAGAGCATCAAGCCACAGAGGATTATCTTCAGCCTGAAGACCTGGTGAAAGTTGTCTTGTGAGGTTTGGGACTCCCTTGGGATCTGTTAACCCTTCTTTCTTTTCTATTTCTCCGTGTCAGAATGGGAATGTCTATCTATGTCTGTCTCACCACTGTATTTTGAAAACATGTTTGGTTTCACATGTTTGCAGCTGTGAATTTTGCCTCAGAATGAATTGTACTCTGAGTCTCACCTTATCTGATTTAGATGATACTTAGATAAGAGTTTGGAGTTGATGATGCTAGAATGAGTTAAAACTTTGAGGGCTTTGGGGATGGAATGAATATATTTTACATGTGAGAAGGATATGATCTTTGCGGGGTTTGGAACAGAATGCAGTGGACTAATGTTCGTGTTACCTCCAAAATTTCTATATTGAAATCTTAATCCCAATATGATAGTATTTGGAAATCAGGCCTTTGGGAAGTGATTAGGTCATGAGGGTAGAGCCCTGATAAATGAGATTGATGCTTTTATAAGAAGAGGCCATTTCATATGGAACCAAAATAGATCCTGTATAGCCAAGACAATCTTAAGCAAAAAGAACAAAGCTGGAGGCCTCATGCTATCTGACTTCAAACTATACTACAAAGCTACAGTATCCAAAGCAGCATGGTATTGGTACCAAAACAGACATATAGGCCAATGGAACAGAACAGAGGCCTCAAAAGGAACATCACACATCTACAACCATCTGTTCTTTGACAAGTCTGACAAAAACAAGCAATGGAGAAAGGACCTCCTATTTAATACATGGTACTGGGAAAACTGGCTAGCCATATGCAGAAAATTGAAACTGGACCCCTTCCTTAAACCTTCTACAAAAATTAACTCAAGATGGATTAACGATTTAAATGTAAAACCCAAAACCATAAAAACCCTAGAAGAAAACCTAGGCAATCATAGGGATGGGCAAAGACTTCGTGAGGAAAACGCCAAAAGCAATTGCAACAAAAGCCAGAATTGATAAATGGGATCTAATTAATCTAAAGAGCTTTTGCACAACAAAAGAAACTAGCATCAGAGTGAACAGGCAACCTACAGAATGGGAGAAAATGTTTGCAATCTACCCATCTGACAAATGTCTAATATCCAGAATTTACAAGAAACTTAAACAAATTTACAAGAAAAAACAAACAACCCCATCAAAAAGTGGGCAAAGGATATGAACAGACACTTCTCAAAAGAAGACATTTATGAGCCAGCAAACACATGAAAAGAAGTTCAACATCACTGATAGTTAGAGAACTGCAAACTAAAACGACAGTGAGATACCATCTCATGCCAGTTGGAATGGCAATTATTAAAAAGTCAGGAAACAATAGATGCTGGTGAGGCTGTTGGTGGGAATGTAAATTAGTTCAACCATTGTGGAAGACAGTGTGGCAATTCCTCAGGATATAGAACCAGAAATACCATTTGACCTAGCAATCCCATTACTGGGTATATATGCCAAAAGGAATATAAATCATTCTACTATAAAGACACATGCACATGTATGTTTATTGCAGCACTATTTACAATAGCAGACATAGAACCAACCCAAATGCCCATCAATTGATAGACTGGATAAAGAAAATGTGGTACATATACACCATGGAATACTATGCAGCCATAAAAAGGAATGAGATCATGTCCTTTGCAGGGACATGGATGGAGCTGGAAGCCATCATCCTCAGCAAACTAACACAGGAACAGAAAACCAAACACCGCATGTTCTCACTTATAAGTAGGAGTTGAACAATAAGAACACATGGACACAGGGAGGGGAACAACACACACCAGGGCCAGTTGGGGAGTGGGGGGCATTAGGACAAATAGCTAATGTATGTGGGGCTTAAAACCTAGATGATGAGTCGATAGATGCAACAAAACACCATGGCACACATATACCTATGTAACAAAACTACACATTCTGCACTTGTATCCCAGAACTTAAAGTAAAATTAAAAAAAAAAAAAAAAAAAAAAAAAAAAAAAAGGACTGTGATCCAGCTAGCTTTCTTTCCACTATGTGAGGCTACTAGTAGAAGTTACTATGCAACCCAAAAGAAGGCCCTTACCATAACCTGACCATGCTGGCACCCTGATCTCAGACTTTTAGCCTCCAGAACTATAAAAAAGAAATGTCTGTTGTTTATAAGCCAGCCTTTTTTATAACAGCCAGAATGGACTAAGATGATTCTTCTTATCCCAGTAAGATGCTGCCTCATGCTCTAGCTCACTGCTTTCAGTTAGGTCTCTGTGACCCCACATTGTGAAATATACTGCAAGGGATGAAACCCACAGGGGATGCAGCACTCACTTTAATGTTTTTCTCTGGGGTCTTGATCCCTCAAGTCTGGCCTGCCTGGGATATTTTTTGATGCCTTCAAACAGACCTTTTAAAAAATTTTCAGCTTTTACAGTGGTTCTTGGTGACAAGTTAGGTCTGATAACAGCAACCTATCTTCAGGCAGATGCAAAAGTTTGAATTAAGTTTTGCATAGTACTTGGCATGTAAGAAGTTTTTTATTCAGTGTGGGTTCTCTTCCCTGATGAAAAAAGGTTAATGGTTTGTCTGGACAGGAGAGGAAGAACACCCTAGCATTCTTTGATTTTTTTCTAGACATGCAGTTGTTCTCATTGCCCTGAAAGGAAGCTCACATTAGAGAATAATTGGTGTAGAGTCGTTCGTTGCATGCATCATGCGTAGGACCAGGGTGGGGAAACATTAAGACTAGTAGGCACTACAGAGACCACAGGGGGTTCAAGGACCCTCTCATGATGTTCTTTAGTGTGTGCCTCTGAAATTTCAAGCAGAGATTGGGCCTACCTGCACATGTGTTTTTATCAGATTCTCAAAGGATCCTTGAGACAATGCTAAGATCCAGCGATCTAATCTGAGGAACTGAGGCAGCATGAGAGAAGGTGTATTCACCTGCCTTGCTGTGACAACACACAGCCTTTCCCATGTGCACATGGAGAGAGGGAGTTCTTTGGTGTCTCTTCCTCTTCTTCTTCTTTTTTTTTTTTTCTTGGCGATGGAGTTTTGCTCTTGTCGCCCAGGCTGGAGTGCAATGGTGCAATCTTGGCTCACTGCAACCTCTGCCTCCTGGGTTCAAGCGATTCTCCTGCCTCAGCCTCCCAAGTAACTGGGATTACAGGCACCCGCCACTATGCCTGGCTAATTTTTGTATTATTAGTAGAGACAGGGTTTCACCCTGTTGGCCAGGCTGGTCTTGAACTCCTGACCTCAGGTGATCCACCCACCTCGGCCTCCCAAAGTGAAGGGATTACAGGCATGAGCCACTGTGCCCAGCCTCTTCCTCTTCTTCTTTTTTTTTTTTTTTTTTTGAGACAGTGTTTCACTCTTGTTGCCCAGGCTGGAGTGCAATGGCATGATCTCAGCTCACTGCAACCTCCGCCTACAAGGTTCAAGCAATTCTTCTGCCTCAGCCTCCCAAGTAGCTGGGATTACAGGCTCCCACCACCATACCCAGCTAATTTTTGTATTTTTAGTGGAGACGGGATTTCGTCATGTTGGCCAGGCTCGAACTCCTGACCTCAGGTGATCTGCCAGCCTTGGCCTCCCAAAGTGCTGGGATTACAGGCGTGAGCCTCCATGCCCGGCTTTCTTCCTCTTCTTATAAGGACACCAGTCCCTATTGGATTAGGGCCCCACCCTTATAACCTCATTTAACCTTAATCACCTTCTTAAAGGCCCTATCTCCAAACAAAGTCACCTATTGAGGTTCTGAAGGCTGGGGCTTCAACACATGAAATTTGTGGTAGACAATTTAACCCATAACAGAAGGACTAACCAAGATTATGGTTAGTGACAGCACTGAGGCTGAAGACGGACAGCCCCTAGTGCCTCCTTGACCCCCAAGAAGGAGGCCCTCAGCGGAAGGATGTGTTTTCTCAAGTCCACAGCTTCTGTGCCTACATAGTAGGTGCTCAATAAATATCTTATGGATCCCAGGGGTTCTAACTGCAATCTCCTCTCAGTGCAATATATACATTTTCCCTTCCCTAAATGTAATGACTGGGGCCCAGAGTCAGCAAATGATTCACCTGCGATTACACAGTGACTTGGTTGCAGAGGGAGGGCTAGAACCCAGGTCTCCTGCCTCCAAACCCAGGGCTCTCTCCACCACCCCCAGGTGGGCCTCCTGCCCTCATTGCTAAAATCAGAGAAGAGGGAGCAAATCTGTGAGTCTGGGAGTCAGCACCGACTCATTTCCTCTTACAGGATATTTGTATTTAAATCTGTGTGCCAGGCCAACGAAGAGAAATCGAAGCCATGTGTGTGCAGTGGGCTCCCAGCAGCCTGGAGGGCTGGGGAGGTCATGGACCTGAGGCCGTGAGACAGGGTCACACTGGGGAGGGCTGATTCATTTGGCCTCCTGACTTTCCTATCCTCCCACCCGACTTCATTTTGTGATGCTGCGATTGTGTGTGTGTGTGTGCGTGCATGCACACAAGCACACACATGCAGAAAATTTGAAAGAATTGGATGAGGTTTCTGCAACACTAAGCTAAACTAACTAGTGTCTGCAAACTAACATGTGAGTTTTCCAGCCTCAAATCCCAAATGAAAGAAATGCCAAGTTAGCTCGTGTCTTCATATCTGAGTTATAATTTGGAATAAAAATGAAAGTGAAATATTCTTAAGATGTTGAGAAAAAAGTTTTTCCATTCTGTTTCCAGAATAGAGTTTAAAACAATGCAGCCACAGAGGCGGACAGCTTTCCGTGGAAAAGAGTAGATCTTTCATGGATGGTTGAAGTTGACAGGCAGGCATCCTGTCTTTCAGGGCTGGGGCTGGGAATGGCGTTTCTGACTTCGCCATTGATGGGCTAGCTGGTGCTTGGCATGTGACTGTCATCTGGAACTGTGATTTTCTCATCAGCTTTGGTTTGCTCATATGGAGGGAGTAGCATGTGTTAGGAGTCCCATCCCTGCCAACTGTTTCATACACATTGCAGCATTTCATCCTCACACCCACCCTGTCATGTGGGTATTACCATCCCATCTTATAGGAGGGAAAGTAGGTACATGAAGGCACTCAGCTTTGAAGGATGAAGCTGGAAGACACCACCAACTCTTCTGCCTCTGTGGTGATCTTTGCAGTTTTTTGAGCAAGGATAACTGCATGATCTTCGGCAAGACCTTTAACATCTCTGTACTTTGGTGTCCGTGTCTGTAAAGGAGACTGTTGGAGACCAGAATATGCCACCCCAAAACATGAAGGACTGTTGAGCCAAAGACAACTAAGAAGTGGATGCAGGAAGGCTCTCTGCCCTCCCTCTATTTGCCTAAAAGCAGGACATAGATTTACAAAGACAAGAGGTATTCCACCTCCACTCTGCAGGGAGAACAAAGGGTAACCATGGAAGACAATGTTAGAGCCCTATTGTCTGGAGATGGCACCAGGTCCAGCTTCGTTAATCCACCTTGATCTGCCTGTTATTGCCTTCCCACAAGTGGCTACCCCTAGAGACTCAAAGTCCTTTTTCCCTTTGTCTTGTCACTGTCTAAAAATGTGCTGGGTTTTTTTGTTTTTGTTTTTGTTTTTTTTGTTGCTGCTGTTGTTGTTGAAGATGCTATATAAGCTATAAGCAGGAATCCAAAGCCACCTTGAGAACTACTCGTTCCCTGGTTGTCTGCCATATATATGTGAAATATACTTGATAATAAACTTCGGTTTGTTTTTCTCTTCTTGTTAGTCTGTCTTTTGTTACAGGGGTCTGCTCCAACTAAGAACTTATGAGGATTGAAGAATAAATTATTTTTCTTCTTCTACAGGATCATGATAGTATCCACTTTAGGGCGTTGCTATGGGGATTAAATAAATAAAGCCCTGGAGCTTTATTAAATCAAAAAGGTGGCACCTGGCACATAGTAAGCACTGAATTCAGTATTAGCTGCCACCGCTAGTCCTATCATCCTTCAAATCTGCACTGTGAAGGGTGGAGGCAAGTCCCTTTGGCTATAAGCAACAAACACCAACTCCGGCTAACAGAAGCAAAAAGGCAAGCTCTAGGGAGACTGTCCTAGCTCTTAGATTCAGGGAAAGGCTGACAAACCAGGCTTCAGAAGGACAGGACCTGCATGCCTGGGAGGATATGGGGAAGTTGAGCAACTCAAAGCCCATGCTGGTGTCAGTCAGCTCCAGCTTTCCATTCTGTGTCACACCTCTTTGTTCACGACTGAAGTCCAGGAGAGGGAGAAAGAGGCTGTGTAAGTTTCCCATTGCTGCTGTAACAAAATGACCACACATCAGGGACTTCAAACAACACAAATACTTTCTCTCTTACGGTTCTGGAGGTCAGAAGTCTGAAATGAGTTTCCTTGGACCAAAATCAAAGTGTCAGCAGGCCCGTGTTCCTTCTGGAGGCTCGAGGGGAGAATCTATTCCTTGCCTTTTCCAGCTTCTAGTCTCTGCCTTGGCTCTTGGCTCATTTCTCCATTTCCAAAGTGAGCAGTGTAGCAGCTTCTCTCCTATCTGACTTCTGCCTCCATCCTTACATCTTCCTGTTAAGAGACTTGTGATTACATTTGGTCTTTGTAGTTAAGCCAGAACAATCCCTCAGCTCAAGATCCTTAGTATAATCACATCTGCAAAATCCCCCTTGCCACGGAATTTCATGTATTTGCAGGTTCCTGGGACTGGGACAGGGACATGTTTGGGAGCCACCATTCTGCTGACTGCAGTGGCCACCCAAGTCCTTTAATTTACATACCTACCGCTGGCAACGGCCTATGTCAGAACCACTGGGAGGGCTTGTTGAAATGCGGATTGCTGGGCCCCACTCCCAGATTTTCTAATTCAGTGGGTTTAGGGAAGGACCTGAGAATTTGCATTTCTTATGGATTTCAAGGTGATACTGATGCTGCTGTTCCTAGAATCACATTTTGAGACCCCCTGGGCTAAGAGAAGGTAGAATTCCTTGACTTGGTTTCCCACAGAGCCCACATATTTATGGGGAGAGCAATTTCCTAAAAGATCCATGGGAAGCAGAAGCCAGGAGAGAGGGAAGGGTTGCATGTGGCAGGGACTCCCAGGTCCAGCTTGTTAGGGGCTTCTGCTCTGGAAAAATGTGTGATGCACCAAGGAAGGTCTAAGAGGAAGGTGCTCAGAATGATAGAGGAGGGTAGAGAGAGGCTGACCGGGATCTTGGTGGTCACTGAGACCCACGGGGTGGTGGGTCCCGAGTCCTGGCTGGGTGCTCCATGGCCTGGCCACCAGTGCTCTGCTTGGAATTCTGGCTCAGTGGGACCCTGTACCGTGTGGTCCCAGAGATGCTGTTATTGGGACAATTTTGCCTGGATCTTGGAGCCAGAAAACAAGCCAGAGGGAGAATCTGCTTTTAATTCTCAGAAACGAGGAGGTTGGATCGAATGACCTGTGGGACCAGCTGACCTGCCTAGCCTGTGATCCTACACGCTCGAGTCCCAAAGCTAATGATGTCATAGCCCTGGGCTGCGTCCGATCTGTGTAGTTAGGTTGATGGGATTAATCAGCTCATGTTAACAAGCTGATGATCATGAAATAAAGATGACCATTTCAATAGGATACTCGGGGCTGAGGGACTGAAGTGAAATCATTTGGACTTCTACAGAGGTCATGGTTGAATTATCACAAAACTTCCTTTACTCAAAGCAGATGCTTATTAAGATTAATTTAGTGTGAAAAGTGAACCAGACTGAGTACAAAGGACATTGTCTCCTCAATTATGTAATAAGACACCTCCTCATTGTCCTGTACTCACTGAAGATGATTGTGCATTTCCTCAGGGACATTTCAGCGCGGTGAGCTGAGCCACTGCGCAATCCCTCTTTTGGGGATGTTCAATGAAATCTCAGTGTTCACACAAAGACAAAGTGGGCAGAGACAAAAGGGAACATCAACTGGGAAGGGGAAAAGGGGGCTGAAGACAGAACCCATCTTTCTGCTAAAACCACACATTCAGCAATTCCAGAGATGTCCCTTGTCTGAGGATGAAAAAAAGAACTGGGGAATGACTTTGCCTTCTTATAATGATGGTTTGTGCCAGTGACGGCTCATGGCAGTGGTCCCAGTATCTTGGGTCCAGAGAGGCTGAACAGGACCACTGGCTAGGACCACAGCTATTGGACCTACGTAGGCTCTAATCGTCTTTCTGGGCCTCTGCGGGGTTGGTCACCTTCTCACTTTTTGTTTTTTTTTAACGTCAGTAAGTTCTATTCCTCTTGTTTGTCTGTGTTACAAAAAACTCCATTTTAAAACGTTTTTCTCTTTGCTCCCTAGACTTCCCCTGCCCAGGCTCTCCTCCCACTTTTTGGCTTCCTCTCCTAGTCCCTTCCCTGGCTCCTCTTCCAATGTTGATTGCATGAGTATTGCTGTTCCCAGGGCTCCAGCCAGTCTCAGCTCTCTATTTCTACTCATGGAAACACTCTCTTCCTCAAGTTAGTTCATCCACCCACATGGCTTCTTCTGTCATTTTAAGCCTAGAGATACCTGGGAGGCAGTACAGTACCTCCCAGTAGTGGTATTTTTATTTAATGAAATAAAACCAAGAATCTCCCAGGTCAGTACTGAGAGGAGAGCTTCTTGGTGAAATGGGGCAGCTGGCCACATGGCCCTTGTCTGAGTTTTATTTTCTTTGGAATTCTTACTTTCTAACTCCCCACTCCTCTGGGGCATGTCAGGAACAACCTGCTTTCTTGCAAATGTCTGACTTACTAAGTAGAAGCAAATTCCTTTCCCTTAGTTTTCCTAAAGCATGGTTGAGATGGAAAGAAGCTTTCTTCATATGTTCTAAGCACAAAGGAAAACACAAAGAGGAAAACACAATGAGATCAGGAAAGGTAAACAACTTGGCTTACAAGGTATAAACTAACAGAGCTTGTATGAATTGTCTGTTGCTGTGTAATATAATTTATAACATAAAGTTTAATGTATAACATAATCACATATTATACTAATCATTTCCATGGGTCAGGAATTCAGGAAGGCCTTAGATAGGTGCTTCTCACTTGAGATTTTGCATGCAGTTGCACTCATATGCCACTTGGGGCTGCAGTTTCATCTGAAGGCTTGACTGTGGCTGGAGGCTACGTTTCCAAGGTGGTTCACTCACATGGCCAGCAAGTTCTTGCTGGCTATTGGCTGGAGGCCTCATCTCCTCTGCCCATGGGACTCTCCACAGGACTGCTTGAGAGTCCTCATAGCATGATGACTGACTTTCCTTGGAGGGAGCCATCATTGCAGGAGCAGCAATGCTTTTCATCTAACCTCAGAAGTCACACATTTCCATTTTCTTAATATCTGATTGGTCACAAAGGGGCAGCCCTGATTCAATATGGCAGATGACTACACAGGGCATGAATATTGGGAGGCAGAGATCACTGGGCACCATCTTAGAATTTGGCTATGACGTGAGCCAACTTTTTCTTCAGGATTTGCAGGACTGTCCCACTCCATGAGGATCCCTGGGAAGAGAAGCTTTTTAGACCATTACTTTTTGATTTCACCCATAGCCACAAGTTAAGCACTAACTTGCTGAGAGCATTTAGGGCCACCCCTTCTCCAGCTTTATCTTTGGACATCAGAGTGGATGATTAATCAGTCTTACTTCTCAACTTATGGTATACTTTCATCCTTTGTCTATATGAGGCTCCTTTTTTGCTTTATTCATTTATTCTTTTTTTTTTAATCTCCAGTCTATACTTGTACTCTCTCTCTTGCACCCCCTCCCTGAGAACTGCCACAGGCAATCGCTTTGAAATGTTTGATGGCTGTCCTTGCGTTTTTATGCATGCTTATAAGTATGTAGCACTGTTTTGTCTGTTCATGGATTTGTCTGTTCATGGAGTTTTCATGAATATTGAACTAAAAGATTTATTCCGTATCTCATTTTGTTCATTATCTGTGCACTCCAGGAAGGATGTCTGTTACATTTCTGTCATCCATCTTCCTAGTGATGGATGGATACCCAGATTACCTCCAAACCCTCTGTTATAAGTGATACTTCAAAGAATCCCTTGTCCCTTCAGGTTCTGAGTGAGTATTTCTCTGGAGTTTCCATCCAGGTGAGGGTCCCTGGGAAGGCATGCTCATACTCCATGTGACTACAAAACAGCAGGCAGCTCTCCAGGGCACTCTCTTCTCCCAGACTCCAGTCCAAAGAAAAAGGATGTCTGCTTATCTCCCTTCCAGCCTTCCTGCTCAGGTCCAGGGTTTTGATTGAGAAATGCAGCTCCTCCAGGAAGCCAGATGAACTGTGGCCCACACAGGGATGACAGTTCACCCTTACAGGTGCATTTGCAGGATATACCCTCACATGGCACCCGACATCTCCAGAAAATGACTGCCATTGCCGTGCTCTGAGAAGGCATTTCCTCCTGCTCCCAACTGCATGTTTCAATCCCTTACCTCTCTGCTGGAGGTCTGACCTGTTTATCCCATTCCCTGCAACACATCCCCCTTTGAATGTTCCAAAGGCCCCTCAGCTGCAACTTGTTCATACGAAGACTCTGCCTTCATGGCAATTAGTTGACCCAATGATTGCACAACATATTAGGTATACACTGAAAAGAAATGAAAACAGATGTCTACACAAAAACTTGTACATCAATATTCATGGTGACATTATTCTTTTTTATTTTTATTTTTTAAAAATGGAGTCTTGCTCTGTCACCCAGGCTGGAGTGCAATGATATGATCTCGGCTCACTGCAACCTCAGCCTCCCAGGTTCAAGCCATTCTCCTGCCTCAGCCTCCTGAGTAGCCAGAATTACAGGCGTCCACCTGGCTAATTTTTGTATCTTTAGTAGAGATGGAGTTTCACCATGTTGGCCAGATTGGTCTCAAACTCCTGACCTCAAGTGATCCACTTGTCTCAGCCTCCCAAAGTGCTGGGATCACTGGAGTAAGCCACAGTGCCTGGCCTCATAGTGGCATTACTCTTAATGACAAAAAAAAAAAAAAAAAAAAGCTGGAAACAACCTACATGTCCATCAACTGATGAATGGGTAATCAAAATGTGGTCTATCCACAAAATGGAATATTATTCAGCCGTAAAGAAGAATGACTTACTGATACATGTTACAGCATGGACAGACTATGAAAGCATCATGCTAAGTGAAAGAAGTCAATCCCAATGACTCCATTTTCATTTCATTTATATGAAATGTCCAGAACAGACAAATCTATAGAGGCAGAAAGTAGATTAGTGGTTGCCTGGGGCAGAGGGGGATGGGAGACCATGGGTAATAGCTAAAAAATACAGGGTTTCTTTTTAGGTGTGATAAAATGTCCTAAAATTGATTGTGGTGATGGTTGCACAACTCTATGAATATACTAAAAACCCTTGACTTGTAGACTTTAAATAGGTGAGTTGTATGGTATATTTAGTATATTTTATAATATACTACTGTTGCCAGAAATATGGTGTAGTTGGCTGGGCACAGTGGCTCATGCTTGTAATCCCAGCACTTTGGGAGGCAGGTGGATCACCTGAAGTCAGGAGATGGAGACCAGCCTGGCCAACATGGTGAAACCCCGTCTCTAATAAAAATACACAAATTAGCTTGGCATGGCGGTGTGCACCTGTAATTCCAGCTACTCATGAGGCTGAGGCAGGAAAATCGCTTGAACCAGTGAGGCAGAGGTTGCAGTGAGCTGAGATCATGCCACTGCACTTTATCCTGGGCGACAAGAGTGAAACTCTTTCTCAAAAAAAAAAAAAAAAAAGAGAAATATGATGTAGTTGTGATTCAAGCACTGGTTTGGATAATTTAACACAGTGATTCCACTATTAGATATATACTGAAAAGAAATGAAAACAGATGTTCACACAAAAACTTGTATATGAATGTCCATAGTAGCATTATTCTTTTTTTTTTCTCACTTCATGGGACCCATGTTCTGTTCACCCATTGGGGTGCTGCTCAAGTTGAAAGCAACTTTGAAAACTGCCTTCCACATGTATAAAACCCTGGCATAAATCCTTGTGCCGTAAGGAACTTTAGCAAGCACGTTGTCTGTTGCCTACTCATTTTGCAGAGGAAGAAATAAAAACTCAGAAATGTCAGGGGACCTGCTGATCCCATGCAGCAGGTTTGCAACAGAGCTGGGACTAGACCCACTCTATGCCTGACAATTTCTGCTGCTTAAACATTTAAGTAGAAGGGTCTGGTCCTCATCCTTCCCTCCTTGCAAAGTGAGACCCGAACTGTAGCCCTGGAGGCCTGAAGGAATGAGGCAGGGGTAAAACTGTGCTCTGGCCAAGAAACTTGTTCGTTACAATGGAGAAGCAAACCATGTCTATCGCCTTCTCCTGAGCAGGCACCTCTGGGCCCCTGACCCCGTTTGAAACCACAGTCTGAAACACGCTTCGTCTTTGCCAGGACAGACAAAAACTCACATTAAAGAAGCAGTGGGCTGCTGCCCACGCTGAGGTGAGGAGTGGGCAGGAGGCTGGGATATGCCTCCACTCCCAAGGGGCAGGGGCTGGCCAAGGCCAAGGGCAGGTGCAGATGGTGAGCGGGGAGGTGAGCCGAGGGTCACTCCAAGGAGAGTGGGGACTTTTGTCCCTTTTTGTCAGTGGGAGGCTGGGCTGGGAGAGGAGGCAAGGAACAGCACACTGTAGAAATGGAGAGTGAGGAATGGGAGAGGCCCAGAGCTCAGTATGCAAGCTGTGTACAGCGGAGGTTGCCGGACTGTCTCTGATGGGCTGCTAGTGGGGTGGTGCTGGGGAAGGTTGACTCGCTAAAAGAAAGGCTGCTGCAGTCACATGTTATAGGGTACATCTGTGAGAATTAGGGAAAGGAAATTGCTCCGTGTCAATGCAGTCTTACCCAGGGCACATGGCTTGGGGATGATGTATGAAGTGGACTTTAGTTCCCTGGGTTTAGTTCCCTTGTTGTGCAGTGCACGGCTTGGACAAATACATGGGTGGCCTTGACTAAAAGGCTTTGGTTCAACCAGGTGCTTTTCTCATCGCAGCTTAACTCCTGGCTTCCTAACACTCCCCATGCGAGGCAGCCCCAATTCACCTCTAACCCTGGGAGGTGCCAGGAAACAGAGTTGGAGCCGCATCTACTGCTTGACTTCTCAATGCAAACTTAACTATTTTAAAGTGTACAGTTCAGTGGCATTCAATAAATTCACAATGTCGTGCAGCCACCACCTCTGTCTAGTTCCAATACGTTTTGTTATTGCCTCAAAGGAAACCCCGTACCCACGAGGCAGTCACTCCCCATTCCTCCTCCTCCAGCACCTGGAAACTACTAATTTGTTTTCTTTTCCTATAAGTTTGCCTATTCCGAACATTTTGTATAAACAGAATCAGACCAGATGTGACCTGTTGCATCTTGTTTCTCCCGCTTAGCATAGTGGTGGAAGATTCACCCATGGTGTAGCATGCATCAGTACTTGACTCCTTTTTATGGCCTTAGGACAGGCCAGGGCATATGTATCCCACATTTTACCACATTTTGTTTATCCATTTATCTGTTGATGGACCCCTGTGCTGTTCCCATCCTTTGGCTGTTGTGAATAGTGCTGCTATAAATATGCATTTACAAGTTTTTGTTTGAACACCTATTTTCAGTCCTTTGGGGATACAGAGCCAGGAGTGGAACTGCTGAGTTACACAGTAATTCAACATTTAACTTTTTGGAAAACTGCCAAACTGTTTTCCACGACATCTGCACCATTTTACGTTCCTGTCAACAATGTGCAAAGGTTTCCATTTCTCCACCTGTGTCAACACTTGTTATTTTCCATTTTAAAACATTATAGCCACCCTTGTTAGAGTGAAGTAGAATCTCATTGTGGTTTTTGATTTGCATTTCCCTGATGACAAGTGACATTATACATATTTTCATGTGCTCATTGGCCACTTGTGTGTCTTCTTCAAAGAAATGTCTATTCAAGTCCTTTGCCCATTTTTAAATTGGTTGTTTGTCTTTTTTTGTTGAGTTGTAAGTGCTCTTTATATATTCTGGAGGCTGACTGACTTTTATTCTTCTAAGTCAAAGGTGCTTTAGCCCAAGTCCTGTCACTCAAAAAGAAGGCTGGGTGCAGTGGCTCTTGCCTGTAATCCCAGCACTTTGATAGGCTGAGTCAGGAGGATGACTTGAGCCCAGGAGTTTGAGACCATCCTGGGCAACAGGGTGAGACCTTATCTCTATAAAAAATGTTTAAAAAATTAGCCAGGGACGGTGGCATACTCCTGTAGTCCCAGCTACTCCAGAGATTGAGGCATGAGGATTGCTTGAGCTTGGAAGGTCGAAGCTGTGGTGAGCTGTTGATTGCACCACTGCACTCTAGCCTGCGTGACACAACCACACTGTAGCCTGTCTCAAAGAAAGAAAGAAAGAAAAGAAAGAAAGAGAGAGAGAAAGAAAAAAAGAAAAAGAAAGAAAGAAAGAAAAAGAGAGAGAAATTCTAAACATAAATACTATCCCTCCCTTGTTTACTCTCGAAAATGTCAACAAGCTGCTGGGCAATTCTGTGCCTCAGTTTCCTCATCTGTGCAATGAGGTTAATAATAGTACCTGTTTCCTAGGGCTGCTTTAAGGATCGGATGGGATCATGTGTGTAAGGTACTTAGAATGGTGCCAGTTGTACAATGCAAGGTCGCCATAAATGTTAGTTATTGTTATTGTTATCATTATAATAAACTAGGACAATCATGATCATGGACAGCTTCACTTTAGGTCCTAAGGCCGGGCAGAGGTGAGGGAAATGACCCCATTTGTGAGGTCCTATTATACTCTAATCACTTCCGTTATATTTTTTAGATTTCTCCTCCCCACATCCCTTTGAGGTAGATAAAATGGTGTTCATTTAAGGAAACTAGGCTCAGAGAGGTTGGGTGACCTGCCCAAGATCCACAGCTCATTTGTAAGAACAGGATGGACATGGATCAGCTGCCCAGGTCTCTCCCCAGCCCCTTTCCATGGTGGCCTGCATCTGGCAGATCAAGGTAGGGGTGTCCCGGCTCTGCCAGCATGGCCCAAAGCAGGACAATGCTGAAGAGCTGTCCCAGCTCCAGAAGCAGCCCCAGGATCATCCAAGGCCATGGCTGGACCTACACTGCAGTTCAGCTTCTCTCTCTGTCCAATCCTGATTCCATCTTCTGTCTCCGAAATAAGCATCCTGCTCATGCATATGTAGGTGTGGGTTGGACTGACAGCTTTCTCGGGACCGAGAACTTTCAGCACCAAAACTGGGAATGTCCTGGGTCTACTGGGAAGAGTTGGTTCCCTGTGCATGCTGAACTCCACCAGAGTCTGCCTCCTGGGGACCCCTTCTGTGACTGCAGCTCACAGCGAGCTCAGTCTGGTGCTCAAGATCAGGCTGTGTCCGCCACGCACCCCAGAGAAGTTGTAGAAGGAAAAGAGAAGCTCAGGGCTGCTGCTGCTGTCCACTTTGCTACCTTATGCTGTCCAGCTTGGGGCAAGACTCGGTTCTTTCCCAGATTGAGGTGAAAGTCATCAAGGCACTAGAAGGTGAACGCGCGAGGTCCAGGGCTGGGCTGCTGCTGCCGTGTTCTTAGCTCCTGGCACGTGGTAGGGGCTGCAAATTCGCTCAAGAGGAGGGCTGCTCCCCTGGCCCCGACAGAAGGTCGGGGAGCAGGAGGCCCAGGCAGTACAGCCTGTCACCTGTGCTTCATAGCCAAACCCCCAGGCTTTTCTGGAGATTTGAAAAGCAGCTGAAATGGTTTTCTGAATATCCCTCGTCTGTCCGCTTAGGCTCCAATTGCCCAGGCCGACTTCTCTGTTAGAAGCCAGCTGATCAGTTTGCTACAAAGCTGTATAAACAAGATAAACGAAGCTCACTGTTCCCAGATTGTCTGTAAGGTTCCCCTCATCTCTTTTCTCTCTTTTAGACCCTGGGTTTTTTTCTCTTTGTTGTTTGGGGTTTTGTGGGGGTTTTGGGTTATTTTCTGCCTTTGTTTCCTGACAATAGTGTATGGCTATCTCCCTTATGTGTGAGTGTATTGTCAGGATTCTTCAATAGGATATATACGACATATAACATAAGACATATAACATGTCGTCTACATCCTAGTATATGTTATATATCCCATAAAGCTATTATATATTATATATATCCTATATATATAATATATAACATTACACACACACACACAAAATAAGAAATTGGCTAATTTGATGATTATGGAGGCTGAAAAGTCCTGACCCAGGAAACCCAATGTAGAGTTCCAATCTGAGTCTACAGGCCTGAGAACCAGGAGAGTCAATGGTGTAAGTTCCAGTCCAAGTCTGAGTCTGAAGGTCAGAGAAGACTGGCTCAAAGGCATTTAGACAGAGACAAAGAATTATTTCTGACTCAGCCTTCTGTTCTGTTCAGGCCCTGAACTGGCCGGATGAGACCATCCACACTGGGGTGGGCAATGTTCTTTCCTCAGCCTACGGACTCAAATGCAAACCTCACCTGAAATGCCCTCACAGGCACACCCAGAAATAATAGTTAACCAAACATCTGGGCATCCCCTGGCCCAGTCAAGCTGACACATAAAGTAAACCATCAGAGCGAGTGGATGGGCATGCAGCAGTCTAATCTGAATGCGTCTGGGTTGTTCTTTGGCCATGCTCAATACACAGTTATTGACTATTGACCCAATGACCAGTTACTCAAAGGGGCAATTGTATCAGATACCTGATACTGTTAGGATGTGGGATTTGGGATGGACAATCTCAGGGCGAGTTGAGAGTAGTTATAGTCCCAGAAACTTGGATCTGTCTCTGGGTTGGACCATGTACCCTAAAAACTTCATGTCCACCCAGAACCTCAGAATATGGCCTTATTTGGAAGTAAAGTCTTGGCAGATGTAATTAAGATGAGGTCATCCTGGCTTAGTGATGATGTCCTTATCAGAAGGGGACACAGATACACATACAGAGAAGACAATGGCATGAAGGCAGAGGCCGAGTGGAGTGATGCAGCCACAGCCAGGGAATGCCAGGAACCTCTGGGAGCTGGAAGAGGCCAGGAAGGATCCTCCCCCGGAGCCTCTGGAGGGAGTGTGGCCCCACCGACACCCTGACCTCAGCCTTCTGGCCTCCTGAACTGTGAGAAAATAAATGTCTGTTGTTTTAAGTCCCCTAGTTGGTTGTTGCATTATTCCGTTTTCATGCTGCTGATAAAGACATACCAGAGACTGGGTAATTTATACAGAAGAAAGGGTTTAATGGACTTACAGTTCCACATGGCTGCAGAGGCCTCATAATCATGGCAGAAGGCAAAGAGGAGCAAGTCATATCTTACATGGGTGGCAGCAGGCAAAAAGAGAGCTTGTGCAGGGAAACTCCCCCTTATAGAGCCGTCAGATCTCCTGAGACTTCCTATCACGAGAACAGTACAGGAAAGACCTGCCCTCATATTCAGTCACCTCCCACCGGGTCCCTCCCACAACACGTGGGGATTCAGGATGAGATATCAGTTGTCATTCCTTGCGGCAGCCCTAGAAAATTAGCACAGCCTCCTTCTTGCATAAGCATCCACTGGGCCTTTTTGCCCCTCAAGGGTGATTGCCTGATGCCATTTCTCTTTCTGGAACACTCCAGCAGTTTGGCAAGATTCCCCTGTCAGGGGCCTTTCCCCCTTACCTATAGATGCTGGATCCCTAGTGTCTGGCTTGGCTGGATTTTAGTAGACCTTTTTTTATTTTTTTATTTCACAGTTGCTTATCAGGGCAGGAGGTTCAGATTAACTTTGAGGAATCATTTGTATTTGAGATAGGAAAGGCCTGCTAACTTTGAATGACTGCAGAGGGGAGCTGAAATCAGAACCCATTTGGGTCCTTGAGGGTCATAAGAGAAGTTTTCTTGCAGGGGGGCACTGCTGAGCAAAACCCCGTGACCTGGGGAGGTTTATGGTGCCCATCTTGCAGAAGGAGAAGTCACACACAAATGCACTGGGATCTGCAGGCCTCCAGTCCCTCCCAGAATGTAAGCTTTGCTATTTTTTTCTTATTACAAAATAAATATGTATTCACTGGGAGCAATGCAGATGAGAACTAAACTTTTTTTCTTTAATCTTGCCCAAATTCCTATCTAAGGGGTCTGGGGAGTCATGCCCTACAAATCATAAATTCTCATCAGATGGGTTTTATTTAACCCTATATATGGTGACTTACTTTCCATCCTGACTGGTGTATCATTACAAGACAAGGAATCAAAATATTTTACTCCAAAACATGTTTCTTTGCCATATTTTGAAATGGCCCTGCAAAGCTGTTCTTTATGGGGGAAAATTTGCATCTGTAAAGAATCTCTGTTAACACAGCTAGAACTTTTTCTTCCAGACCCTCCCAATCCTGAAGAGACTAACTAAGATCTGAATAGGAAACATTTGTCATCTATTGTCTCTAAGGGCAGCCACTATAAGACTTCAAAGAACTTTGGTCTCCGTAATGTTTATCTTAACCTGAACATTCCCTTCCTGTCAATCTCAGGTCTTTAGACAAACTCAATCAATTGTCAACCAGAAAATGTTTAAATTCACCAATAGCCTGGAAGCTCCTGCTTTGAGTTGTTCTGCCTTTCTGGACCAAACCAATGTATTTCTTCAATGTATTTGATTGATGTCTCATGCCTCTCTAAAATGGATAAAACCAAGCTGTACCCTGGCCACCTTGGGCACATGCTCTCGGGGCCTCCTGAAAGCTGTGTCGTGGGCCATGGTCACTCATATTTGGCTCAGAATAAACCTTTTCAAATATTTTAGAGAGTTTGACTGTTTTGGTTGACACAGACCATAATCATAAAGGGGTAAAAATGCTCCTTACTGTCTTGCTGCCTAACATGAACTTCCTAGCGTGAACACCGCATCGGCTGTTTTCCAATTCCTCCTGTGTGCTCATCCATACCCATAGATGCCTTCTTTGCCTGTTTTGACATTAAGAACCGTGTGTACTGCACATACCATCTTGTGAGCTGCCTTTTCACATTATGACATATTGTGCACATCATTCCATGTCCATAATTATGAACTGACATCATTTTATTTATTTATTTATTTTTGAGAGAGAGTCTCGCTTTGTCACCCAGGCTGCAGTGCAGGTGCGGTCATGGCTCACTGCGATCTCAAACTCCTGGGCTCAAGCAATCCTCCCGCCTTAGCCTCCCAAGTAGCTGGGACCACAGGTGAGCGCCACCATGCTCAATGAATTTTTTTACTTTTTGTAGAGACAAGATCTTACTATGTTGCCCAGGCTGGTCTTGAACTCCTGAACTCAGGCAATCCTCCCACCTCAGCCTCCTAAAGTGCTACCACGTCCAGCAATATCAACATTTTAAGTTTCCACCACAGCCTACCAAAGTGCTGCCATGCCTGGCAATATCAACATTTCAAATTGCTGCGTAGTTCATTGTTGCCGGTGCCTCCTTTCTTTCACACTCCCCTGCTGTTGGGTTTTTAGTTAGAGTGTGCAGGTGGGGAGGATAGACACGTATCTGGCTGAGGAGTTTCAGCCTGAAACCAGTCAGTGTTAAATTGCTTTTCCTTATGACTTTGTTTTCCTAGATATGAAATGGAAGCATCTGTGTTTTTGCTGTGATCAGAGTGACAATATGCTATAGAAATGAATGAGAGATGGCGATTAGCTGGTTAGAAAGTCCTGGATTATGAGTTCAAAGTTCTCAAGTGGGGTGTGTGTGTGTATGTGTTGTTTGGTGATCTTTCCTTCATCAAGGACAATCAAAGAGGAAGCCGTATGGAAGCATGTTGTTTCCTGTTGGGTAGGCTCTAGCATTTGCTTGTGTTCTATCTCCAATGGGCAAGTGGGGAGAAGGGAGTCTATCTCCAATGGGCAAGTGGGGAGAAGGGAGTCTCTGGACCCTGGAGCACTGCTGTGTTTAAAGTTCAACCACAACGACTAGCTGAATAAATGGGGGATGAGAGGGGGGTTATCTGAGCTTGGTTTGCCTCCGTTTCCCCATTGAATTAGTTTCCTGTGGCTGCTGCAACCAATGACAACAATCCGGGGGTCTTAAAACAATGGCGATTTATCCTCTCACAGTTCCAAAGACAGAAACCCAGAATCAAGGTGTCAGCAGAGCCGTGCTCCCCCTGAAACCTCCAGGGACAAATCCTCCCCAGCCTCTTCCAGCTCCCGTGGGTTGCCGGCATCCGTGGCGCCCTTTGGCTTGTAGCTGAGTCACTCTGATTTCTGCCTGTGGTGTCACATGGCCTTCTTCCCTCTGTGCTTCTCAGTGTCCAAATCACATTTTTTTTTTTTTTTTTTTTTTTTTTTTTGGGATGAAGTCTTGCTCTGTCGCCCAGGCTGGTGTACAGTGGCTCGATCTTGGCTCACTGCAACCTCTGCCTGCCGGGTTCAAGCTGTTCTCCCACCTTAGCCTCCCGAGTAGCTGGGGTTACAGGTGCGGGCCAACACATCCAGCTTATTTTTTGTATTTTTAGTAGAAACGGGGTTTAGTCATGTTGGTCAGGCTGGTCTCGAACTCCTGGCCTCAGTTGATCCACCCCGCCTTGGCCTCCCAAAGTGCTAGTATTGCAGGTGTGAGCCACCGCGCCTGGCTTTTTTTTTTTTCTGATAAAGACATTAGTCATTGGCTTTAGGGCCTAACCTAATCTAATGTGACTTCATTTTACCTCGAATACATCTACTAAGATGTTGTTTCCAAATAAGGCCACATTCTGAGGTCTGAGTGGACATAGATTTTGGGGGGACACTTGCTTAACCCCCTAGTAACATTCTTTAGGAGGAGATGTAATTTGGGGAATTAGTTAATACACAGAAAACACTTAAAACAGCAACTGGCCCAATGACATCCTCAAAAATATTGGTGGATGCATGGTTGAGACCTTCGAAAGGGCTCAGGAAGCTGATATGGAACTCCCCGGGGAAAGTCACCTCCTGACCAGGCATCCCCCGAGTCCCCACCCCCACCACACCTTTTGAGTCTTTATGTCTCATACACCAGAATATTAGGTTTTCCTCTTGCAACCCTTCCATTAAAGAATGGTTTTCTGGCGAGTTGTTTATGCGTGGAAAATACATAAAAATTTATAAAATAAACCCATTTACTTCCAGGCGAAAGTTAGCGTTTTGCCCGGAGTGAATTTTTGTGGCTGAGCTATAAAATTCCGAAAATAAGTGTTTCTAATGAAACTGCGCTACCCTTTAATGAATATCACCGCCCTCGCTATAACAAAGAATGTACAATATTTGGCATGATGCACTCTGGAAAAATCGCTTAATATGTAATGTGAGTGATGGCTGTCTTTGTGAGCCAAGCTCTGTTTTCATTTTGTGGGAGTAATTCAGCTCAACAAATATTTTTCAAGTGCCTACCACGTCCCAATCACCGTGCTAGGCAGTGGGTATATAAAGTTACCCCCAACCCCAAAATGAGTGGGGGGTCCTGTTTTGTAAACACTAATGAGCTCTTCAATGGGCACATGCTGGGCACCCTGCTGGTGTTTTATGCACATTAACCCATATCATCCTAACAGGGTTCCGGCAAGGGAGGCCCACTGTCTGTATCCCCATTTCCAGATGGGGCACAGAGGTCAAAGAAATTTGCCCACTATTATGCAGCCAGCAAGTAGACAGTCAGGGTTCAAATCCAAGCCGTCGGTTGCAGAGTTTCTGTTCTTAACCGCTGTCCCATACAGCAGCATCAGAGTCACAGCACAGGGAGGTGAGTTCAATGCTACTGGGGTCAGCCCAGGGACTGCGGAGGCACAGAGGAGGGGCACCCCTCCCACATAGTCTAGGGGGTGCAGAGAAGGCTTCTTGGAGGGGTGGGTATCCTTATGGGGAATTGGAGCCGGGGCCAGGAAGAGGAGAGGGGACAAGCGACACAGGCCCTGAGCTTAACGACAGCATGGCGTGTGTGTGCATGCGTGTGTGCTCGCGTGTGGTAGGTGTGGCAGGCTCCTGCATCGAAGGTGGGAGATAATCAAGAGATGAATCCAGAGAAGTGGGCAGACGTCAGCCCGAGGCACAGCGTGGGCGCTACCCACTGGAACTCAGGAGGAGGGCGGGAAGGAAGGCCTGAGTCAGGGTTTTTAGGAGGAGCAGTAATTCAAACATTTCAGGATATGCCGCCTGGAGGTTCTTTGCAGGGATGAGGGAAAAAAAAAAGAAATATAGACGAGAAAAAATACAGATTACTATTTCAAAATTCCACCTAGCCTGGCTTTTTTTCCCTCTGTCATTAGATCTATTTGTGCCGTCTACTTAAGGGTGGAGGGTGGGAGGAGGGAGAGGAGCAGAAAATATTACTATTGGGTACTGCACTGAATTCCTGGGTGAGGAAATAATCTGTACAACAAACCCGTGTGACGTGAGTTTACCTATGTAACAAACCTGCACATGTGTCTCCGAACCTAAAATAAAAGTTAAAAAATAAAAAAAATTAAAAAATAAAAAGGCTACAGAGCATTAGAAAAAAAAAAGATCTATTTATGCCCATTTCATCATTTAGCCCCCAAAGTCTGAGGTTCTTATGTTTTTTGTTGAGTGCGGGATGTTCCTGCTGACATAATAATAATAATAATAATAATAATAATAATAATAATAATAATAATAATAATAATACTATCAGCCAGGCGTGGTAGCTCTCACCTGTAATTCCAGCACTTTGGGAGGCCGAGGTGAGAGGATCACTTGAGGCCAGGAGTTCAAGACCAGCCTGGGCAAGCTAGCAAGACCCAATCTCTACAAAAAATACAAAAACTAGTCCCAGCTACTCAGGAGGCCAAGGAGGGAGGATCACTTGAGCCCAGGGGTTTGAGGCTGCAGTGAGATATGATGGCATCACTGCACTCCAGCTTGGGTGACAGAGTGAGACCCTGTCTCTAAATAAATAAATAAATATGTAAGTAAACCAACACTTGCAAATGCTTCTTATGGGCTGAACATTGTTGCAAATATCTTACATGTTTCAACTCATTTAATCTTCGCCAGGACTCTGCGAGGTAGGCACCACTGGTATCCCCATTTTTAGATGGGAAAATCTGAGGCACAGAGAGGTCCCCCAGCATCATGAGGTAGGAGGGGTTGAGTTAGGATCTGAGTCCTGCCAAAAGCTCCTTCCTTCAGCTCCATCATTGCTCCTATTGGAGTCTTCCCATAGGCAAGCCATACCACGCTTGGGCGTCACTGGCAGGATTCAGGTGAGCTGTGGACTGAATTGCGTTCCCCACAAATTCCTATTCTGAAGCCTCAGCCCCCAGTGTGATGGTATTAGGAAGTGGGGCCTTTGGAAGGTGATCCGGTTTTAGATGAGGTCATGAGGCTGGGGTCTCAGGATGAGATTAGGGAGCTTGCTCTCTCACCACCATGGGAGGACACAGCGAGAAGACGGCCACCTGCAAGCCAGGAAGGGGCCCTTGCCGGGACCTGACCGTGCTGGTGCCCTGACCTTGGATTTCCACCTGCAGAATGGTGAGAAAATCCATTTCTATTGTTTAAGTCACTTGATCTGTGGTGTTTTGTTACGGCAGACAGAGCAGACTAAGACAAGGTGTTCCAAGACACTGAATCTAGTAGCCCTCAGAGTGGCTACTCTGATGCAAGCTCGCCAGCTGCTTCTGGCTGGAGCAGCCTCCGTTGTGGACCCAGTGAGCCACTAGATAAAATATATGTGTGTGTGTGAGCCATAGCCAGATCAAGGCCGTGCTTCAGTGTGTCCTGCTTTAGAATAAAGGGTGTTGTTAAACTCATGACAAATGGTACTTTCTGTTGGAGGTGTGACCTTGGGACAGATACTCAGGGGCAAAATCCAGCTCTGCCACTCCCAGGGTTCTGTGTAAACTTGGGCCTATTTAACCTCTCTGAACCTCGGTCCTCTCACCTATAAAATGGGGGTACTGATACTTATCTCTCAGCATTGATGTGACAATTACATGAGGTACTCTAGGTAAAGTGCCCAGCACTTGGTGAATGCCTAATAGGTGGTGGGGATTTACATTCATATGATAAAATTTTCCCTTCAATACCCAGCTCAGGTGTCTCCTCACCTAGAAACCCTCCCTGGCTCTGTCTGCTGTCCCCTCTGTGCCTCACACACGGTGATGGCCACGTCCCACATTTGGTTCTGTGTGACCTGCTGACATGTTCACCTGGCTGCCCAGTTGCACAGACAGATTCTTTAACATAAACAGGGATGGGAGAAGGGCTGTAGCTATGTGCCAGGCAGAGGAAGGAAGGAAAGAAGGGCATTTCAGAACAAGGTAGAGAATTGTGCCAGGTGGCAGTGACTGGGAGGAGAGGGGAAGCTGGCGGGTAGGGACGCTGGCTGGGTGGCGTAAACAAGGAGGTTTTAGGATGAGCAGGGCACTGGGAGCTGGGGCTTTGTCCTGAGGACATGTGCACATACCCCTGTGGGGATTCAAGCGGAAAAGGGCTTGTTTGGATTTGCTAATATGTAGACAGGAGCCGTGACTGCAGCGTGGAGATGCCCCGTATGAGTGAGTGTGGAACCAGTGAGGCCAGGCAGGCTGTTGGGGTGATTATGGAGAGGAGCCTGATCCCATGGTGGCTGGCCATGACCAGCATGCCCCGGGGGCTGGGAGCACAACTGTCTGGCTGACACAGAAAGTTCAGGTAGAGGATTAGGGTCGATAATTGCCCTCCCTGGCAGGCAACAGGGGTCTCCAGACCCCTCTCCATAGGACTCGACTCTTCTCTCCCCATCCCCAGAGGTGTGATGGGGAAGCAAGGGCTGGAATTTGGAGGCTTTTTTCCTTTTTTTTTTTTTTTTTGTCCCGTGATCATTAGGGTTGCTGATAAGTGGGAATTATTAATTAAAGGGATAAAGCGTGTGCTTCCAAGGGTGATTACCATTACTGTAAATCAGACTTAATGGCTGCAGAAATTCATTAGGGATTCATTTCCTAATGATAACGAATTGGTTTGAGCAGATGTCAGACACAGCCGTGACCGTAATTCTAATGCCAGGTGCAAGGAGGGAAAAGTGTTATCCCTGCCCTATCCTGGGGCTGGGACTGAAAAATCAGGTGGCTTCTTGGAACTTTGGGCCTCAGCCATGGGTTTGGTGCCACAGCAGCCACTGGAACTTGGGCTTCTCTGGAAAAAATTCCCAGCCTTCACGCTTGCTGTGTCTTCTTCCAGGAGCAACGTTCCTGCTACCACTTTCCTTGAACCTCACTTTTCTTGGAAGACTTCCCTGACTGCTCCCAGGTTGGGTCAGGGGCCCATCTGAGATCCCGAAGCACTGAGCACATTGTGATGTCACTGTCTTCATCACCCGGACTCCCTTGGAGCCAGGCACTGGCTTAATCCTATCTCCATTTCCCCTGTGCCCAGCACATAGTTAGTGCTCCAGATGATGGGAGACTCAATGGAGAGACACGTGAGTGGATGGATGTTTTGCTGAAGGCATCCAATGTGGCAGAACCGGCAGCAGCAAACTGATTCTGTCTGGAATTTGGAAGCCAGGGAGGAACAGCCTCGAATGGACAGGGTAGGCCCCCAGGTTGTCTGGAACACTGCGCCCTACTTCAATCTGGCCTCCCCAAGTGGACCTTTGTGAGCCCAGGTTCTTCTCCCAGGCACACAGATGCCTGGACAAGGCAGGTCCTGGGGCTCATGAAATTCCCAGGAAATTAACCCAGGCAGCAGGAGCTAAAGGACACCAAACCAGCTGCCAAGCCTGGGTTTCCTCACCTGTGAAGTGGGGTCTCAGTCGTCATTGTAAGGTCTAGATGAATTAATATACATTAAGAGCTAGCACAGTGCCTGGCACAGGGGAAACAGTGAACAAATATTAGCCATTATTATGATTATTATTATTTTGCTGAACTGATAAGACAGAATTGCCAACTTTGTGAGCAGGAGGAAGGTAGATAAGGACCCACGCTCAGGATGACAGACCAGGCTTTGAAAGGGTGCGGTGCGGTGCATATGGGTAGGAAGGGAAAAGGAGAAGAGAACAGCAAGTATATCCCAAGAGGTGCCTTGTGGTCAGGCCTCCTGGAAAGGGTATGGTGTGCCGAGTCAATGCAGAAGGAAGGACAGACAGGCTGCCCAAGCCCTGCGCAGCTCATGTAGCGCCAGGTGGCCTGGAGTGGCTTAAAGGTACAGCCTCCGCAGCCCTCCAGAGCAGCTGGATCAGGAAGCCCAGTGTCGGTGGGGTCTTTACTTAAGCAGACAGAATAGTTATCCTCAACACGTGACATGTGTCTAGCCCCCACTGTGTCTGCTCGCTCCAGCCAAGTGCTTGCAAAGTAATTTTATTCCAGGTTTGGGTCCTTTTATGAATGAGTAAACGAGCTTGGCAAGGTTGAATGACCTGCCCACGGGCACTTAGCCAAGACGCAAGCCCCATCTGCTTGCTTCCACACCGTCTGGAAGCCTCACTGGCTGGGTTCAAAAAGGGAGGGGCCAGGCACAGTGGCTCACGCCTGTAATCCCGGCACTTTGGGAGGCCGAGGCAGGCAGATCACCTGAGGTCAGGATTTTGAAACCAGCCTGGCCAACGTGGTGAAACGCTATCTCTACTAAAAATACAAGAATTAGGTGGGCGTGGTGGCGTGCACCTGTAATCCCAGCTACTCAGGAGGCTGAGGCAGGAGAATCACTTGAGCCTGGGAGTGGGAGGTTGCAGTGAGCTGAGATTGCGTCACTGTGCGCTTGGGTGACAGAACAAGACTCCGTCTCAAAAAAAAAAAAAAAAAAAAAAAGAGGGAGGGCTCCTCTCCAGACATCAGGCTAGTTTTGTGCATCCCAAAGGGAGGAAAGTGCTTTCTGATATTGTACTTCCTTTGCAAGACCTGGACTTAAAGTTTGGGTCCTTGGGGATTGCCAAAACCTCTTGAAAATGTAATCTGTAAGTATCTATTAACATTGAGAAATACACATTCCCTTTGATCCAGCAATCCCACTTCTGGGAATCTCTCCCACAGAAATGAAAACCCCAAAATATAAGGACATAGGAACAGGATGTTTATTGCCACACTGTTAGTGGTGGCAGAAACCTGGAAGCAATCTGAAAGTCCACCGGAACTGGAAAGGTTAAATACGTTATGATACATGGCTTTTTGGAATACCAGTCTTTCCAAAATTAGATTTCTACATAATTATCTGGAGGGCTCTTCCTGACATGTTATTAAGTAAAACAAACAAACAAATAACCAGATAACCACCCCCTGAAGTTGGCCAGTAATATGAATTATACAATGCCTCTTAAAAAAAAGACAAGTTTTGAAATGTTATCCTATTTTTATTTATGCATAGAAAAGAGGTGAAAGATATTTACAAACGCTCACAGTTGCTTGATTGAGGAGGGATGAAATAGTGTGATTAAGGCCGACATGCACACCACTGGTAGAGCGCTGAATGCTAAGACCCCACCACTGTTTCCTTCCACTGCTTAACGACTGTGGGAGTTGGTAAATATCCTACCCCCACAGAACTTCAGCTTCAGCATCAGTCCAATGGAGCGAATCATCTGCCTGCCTCATAAAGCCTCCCAATATCCATGTTTTAGTGGGAAGACTTATCACTGCATCATCCGTTCATCCATTCATGTGTTCTATAAGCCCTGGCAGAGCAGCCACCATGGCCTGGCCCTGGGAATGGGCAGAGTGGTTTAGAGATAGTGAAGATTTATCCTGTGCCCCCTAGAAATTTGCAGATGTGCCTCCACTGACTACAGAGGAGAGAGAGGGAGGGATGCTGTTGACTTTGAAATCAGAGAGGGCTTCCTGGAGGAGGTGATGTTTCAGCTGGCGCTTAAAGGAGGAGGGAGACTTCACCAGGTGGAGTGTGATACAGATATATATTCTGAACCAAGGGAATAGTTGAGGGTGAGTATGGGGACTTGAGACACAAAAGTATTTTTTGAAATCTGGGAGTAGCTTGCTGTTGCTAGATTTTGCACGGCTGTACATGCCTGGAAATTATTAAGAGTGGAGGCAGGAAGGAGACTGGAGCCAGGTTGCGTAGTGCCTGACACTAGAAAATATAACTAGGAGAGAGAACACACAGGTAGCTGTCAGGAGCCAGCCACGTCTTAACTCAGTGAGTTCTCACAACAGTTTTTGTTGTTGTTGTTGTTTTGTTTTGTTTTGTTTTGTTTTTTGAGACAGAGTCTCACTCTGTCACCTAGGCTGGAGTGCAGTGGCATGATCTCAGCTCACTGCAACCTCTGCTTCCTGGGCTCAAGCAATTCTCATGCCTCAGCCTCCCCAGTAGCTGGGATTACAGGTGTGCACCATCACACCCAGCTAATTTTTGTATTTTTAGTAGAGACAGGGTTTCACCATGTTGGCCAGGCTGGTTTCGAACTCCTGACCTCAAGTGATCCACCTGCCTCGGCCTCCCAAAGTTCTGGGATTACAGGCGTGAGCCACTGTGTCCAGCCACAACATTTTGATGAAAGGGGATTTGTCCCATTGTACAGATGAGGAAATTCAGGCACAGAAAGATTAAGACACTTGCCAAAGGGCAATTGGCCAGCTAGTTGTAGAAAGAGAATTCCAACCCAGGCAGGCGTGCTCCGGAGGATCTTTGGCTATCACGTCCAACTGTCTCTGTGCTGGGCAGGCTGTGCTATTCTCACAGATGGTCTTGACCAGAGATTTTGAGCCCCATGATAACAGCAGCTCTGTCTGTGTTTCTGGTGGCAAATCCAGCATCTACAGTTGAGCCAGATCCCTGGCAGAGACCTGCCCATTCTTCAGACTTGGAAAAAATGAATGAACTTTGTGAGAGAGGGAGTACTATGCCCATTTGACAGATGTGGAAACTGAGGCCTTGGATAATTAACCATCTGCCCAAAGTCTCCCAGGAGATGGCATGCCCAGGATTTCTCTACTTTCCCCATGCTGCTTCACAGGGCTCACAGCAACTCCGTAACATCAAAGGTGTTGCACCTTTCCAGATGGGGAAACTGGGGTCTGAGAAGTCAGGAGCCTGCCTGAGTTCTCATGGTTAAGTGGAAGGAGAGAATGGTCTCATTTGATGATGTTGGATCTGGCCTAATTCCTCAGGCACGTTGTTCTCGAGACACATCTGGATCTGGTTGGGGAAGGCCCCTCGTGTGGAAGGCTTTCTTTCCGAGTGCCTTTTTATAGACTTGGAATGAAATTCTCCTGTGCCTTGCAGATTCCAGCTTGCTGCTTCAAAGATCATTTCTTCTCCAAACGGAAGACAGAGGCTTTTTGTTTATTTTCACAACAGCAGTAGAGACGGGTGTACCTCTCTTAGACATCTCCATTGCTGTTTGAAAATGAGTCTTTACATGGTTGGGGGCAGGAAATAACAGTTGCAATGGGAGAAACATCGTGAGATGTGCTTTAGCTGTGATCTCACTTAATGCTCCTGACATCTCTGCTGGGTAGGTATTATGCCCCCATTTGATAGAATAGGAGACTGAAGTTCAGAGACAGTATGGTTATTGCCCAAGAACAGATGATGGAGGCAGGCAGGCCGTGATGTTGGAATATGTCTTGCACCTGGTACCCTCCTTAGCTGTTTTCTATGTGGCTGCTCTCTGGGTCCAGGATGCTTTCCACCTCTCTTCTGGTCCATTGCACATTCTAGTCTCTGTGCCTCGGATCTTGCCCTCTCCCCAAAGCCTTCCCCTCGCTGCCTCCAGATTTTCCCAAACTATACATCTCTTTAGCCATTCTCCTGCTTAAAACGCCAATGAGTCTCCAAAAGCCTTGGGAGGAAATTCAGTTCATCAGCTCCACTTCTTCTCTTTGGCATTGGAGCTTCTTAAAAATAAGTTTTCGGCTAGGCGCAGTGGCTGACACCTATAATCTCAGCACTTTGGGAGGCTGAGGCGGGTGGATCATGAGGTCAGGAGATCGAGACCATCTTGGCTAACACGGTGAAACCCCATTTCTACTAAAAATACAAAAATTAGCCAGGCGCGGTGGTGGGCGCCTGTAATCGCAGCTACTCAGGAGGCTGAGGCAGGAGAATGGCATGAACCTGGGAGGCGGAGCTTGCAGTGAGCCAAGATAGCGCCACTGCAGTCCAGCCTGGGCAAAAGAGCGAGACTCCGTCTCAAAAAAATAAATAAATAAAAAATAAGTTTTCATAGGAGTCTCCTTTTAGAGAGAGGATTTTATGACAGAACAGATCATGAGATAGAACAATAAAAATTGGCCAGGTGTGGTGGCTCACACCTGTAATCCCAGCACTTTGGAAGGCCGAGGCGGGTGGATCATCTGAGGTCAGGAATTTGAGACCAGCCTGGCCAACATGGTGAAACCCCGGCTCTACTAAAAACACAAAAAATTAGCCGGGCGTAGTGGCAGGCGCCTGTAATCCCAGCTACTCGGGAGGCTGAGGCAGGAGAATCGCTTGAACCTGGGAGGTGGAGGTTGCAGTGAGCCGAGATCGTGCCACTGCACTCCAGCCTGTGCAATAGAGCGAAACTCCATCTCAAAAACAACAACAACAACAAAAAACCCAAAAATTAGTCAGGCATGGTGGCATGCATGTGTAGTCCCAGCTACTTGGGAGGCTGAGGCAGGGGAATCGCTTGAACCCGGGAGACGGAGGTTGCAGTGAGCTGAGATCTGATCACTGTACTCCAGCCTGGGTGACAGAGTGAGACTCTGTCTAAAAAAAGAAAAAAAACAAGAGAGTAAGATAAAACAATACTAATAACAAGCCGAATGGTATCACAGATTTATACCCCACTCCTCAAACAGGTGAAGAAAACGAAGCTTCTATATTTCCGGTAAATGGCCTAACTATGCTGCTGGGTAGCTGTGGAAAGGGAGAGGGACATACAATTTGATGGTCATGATAGCTCCATCCCTCCCACAATTCGTTGTCTGCTTAGTCTCCGTCAGCTGTGTGCTCAGATGTGCAGAGTTCTCCTCCTATCTAAGATGGCAGCCACAAGGATTGGGGGAAGACATGGAGCAGTATCTGGGCATGCAGGTCATTGGGCTGTCCCTGGATCTTCTTAGCTCCTCTCTGGCATATCCAGTTTGGTATGACTTGGCTCCTGGGCCCCTGTGTGGAGTCCCGTGAGAGGCAGCTGAGTCCAACTGGCCTTTTGGGGTATCATCAGGGCACTCTTGCAAATAGTCTTGGCCATTTGCTCCTGCCCTCAAAGTCCCTGAATTCCATGGCTCTGTCCTTCTGACTTGGACTCTGCTGGTCCCCTGGTTCTCCCTCACCTCACCAGGGCACGTGGGAACCTGCATCCTCATTGATCATGGAGAATGAGCAGCACCTCCTCAGGGCCAGTGTCTAGACATTCTCTTTGCTGATGCCGCACTATTGCTTTCGGCCATATATTGGAAGTTGAACCAAATGCAATGTGCAGCTTCTCCTAGAGGCTTGGAGTCTCCTCTGGCTCTGTATGAGCAAGCAGCTCGTAAGCCTAATGCTCTCTAGTTTTCTCAAAATTATTTACATACTTTTACCTCAAGGTCATGGGCACGTCCTGTCCTACCTCCTTCTTCCTCCTCTTAGAGAGCCAGGTGGGTTTTATCTTACTCCCCTTCCTGTCTAGCAAGAACTTCTAGGTCAAGCCCTCTTCTTCTTCTCCTATTCCCTAAGGCTCTAAAGCAGAATGGCTCACAGGCAACAACATTTGCAATAAGGTAGAGAGGATAAAAAACACATCTCTATGATACATCCAAATATTATTCATGTTATAGTAAATCAGATGAAGCCTTGAGCTTCTCAGCAGCCACGTAAGGCTTAAATATGAGGGAACAGGGGCTCTTAGAAGTGAAGTGACTTCTGAAAGATGCACAGAGAATTAGGAAAGAGTCTGAATTCAACCCTGGAACCCTGACTTTCAGGTGAGTGCCTGGCCCACTAAAGAATGACAAAGCCATGGGGAGTGGCATGGAAAGCATGAGCTTTGGAGTTAGACAGGCCTGGGTGTGAATCCTGGTCACCCCAGTTCTGTTAAAGACCTCAGAAAAGTTACCTAGCTTCATTAAGCCTGTTTCTTCAGCCAAAAATTAATGGTGTTAACGCTTACCTCTCAGGATGGGGGTCACAAATAAATAGAACGACATAAAGTACATAATACATCAATCAGTTAGGATGTATTTGGCTACAGGCAAAAGAACAGCCCTCCTCAACTGGCTTAACCAACAATTAACCTATTATCTTACATAAAAGGGAGTCTAGAAGTAGGGATGTTCCAGGTTTGGCTAATCCAGCAGCTCAACCATGTCAACACAGACCGGGTTTTCTCTGTCTTGCCTTTTTGCCATTCTCAGTGCTTTCATGGGCTCCCTTTATGCTTGCAATATGCCAGCTGCAGCTCCAGACATCAGCTTCTCACATACCTATGTCCAGAAGCAGAAGAAGGACATTTCTCCCTTGTGCATTTCTACTGAAGACTAAATATTTCCTGCTTGGCCCCTATCAGTCTTCTCCTCAAGTTTTATTTGCTAAAACAGGTAACATGTTCTGGGTATCTGTAGATGGGTCATTAAAAAATCATCCCAAAATTTAGTGACTTATAACCACAAAGATAATTTATTTTGCTTACAAATTTGCATTTTGGGCAGGAGTCAGCAAGGACAACTTGATTTTGCTCCATTTCTAAGCTGAGGTGGTTCAGCTGGAAACTGGAGGAGGGTCTGATTTCAATGGCTCATTTGCATCCCTGGCAAGCTGGTGCTGGCTCTTGGCTGGGACCTCAGTTGGGGCTGTGGGCCAAGGTCTTGGTTCCTGTCCATGTGTACTTCTCCACAGGCTGCCTGGGCTTCCTCACAGTATGGTGGCTGTGTTCCAAGAACAAGTATCCCGAGAGAACCAGGTGGAGGCTGTATTATCTTTATGATGTAACTTCAGAAGTCACATTGAATTCTTACTCCATAGACACAAGCCTACCCAAATTCAAAGGGAGACAACCTAGACTCATCCTCTCAATGGGAGGTCACATAGTTGAAGAGCACGCAGGATGGATATCTACTGGTATGATCATTTTTGGAAAACACAGTCTGCCACGTATGCTTACCTCTTAACAAATTAATAACAAGGAGGATGAGCTCACCATGTGTAGTTCGGACCTATCTGCCTATCTGGATTTACCAGAGTAATGGTGGCTAGGGCCTTGGAAGAAATGGAAAATGGCTGTTAGGCAACCCAAAGTATTTGCCTGTAAAGCTGCTCAGCAAATGATAACATGTTATTGTCACTGGTCATCTAGCTCTAAGACCAGGCAAATATGTATTGAGAATCCTGTGTGCAGCTAGTTAGAGCAGAAATGTCCTCCAGAAAGAGTTTCTTTTTATTTTTTATTTTTATTTTTATTTTTTTTGAGATGGAGTCTCACTTTGTTGCCCAGGTTGGAGTGCAGTGGCACGATCTCAGCTCACTGCAACCTCCGTCTCCAGGGTTCAAGTGATTCTTATGCCTCAGCCTCCCTACTAGCTGGGACTACAGGTGTGTGCCACCACCCCCAGCTAATTTTTGTATTTTTAGTAGAGACAGGGTTTCACCATGTTGGCCAGGCTGGGCTCGAACTCCTAACCTCAAGTGATCCACCCGCCTCAGCCTCCCAAAGTGCTAGGATTGCAGGCGTGAGCCACTGTGCCTGGCCCCAAAAAGAGTTTCTTGAGAGCAGCTGTACATGCTAAGTTTACTCTTCTCCTGCAGTTCCCTGCCCCATTATGAGCTATCTTCACGGCTTTACTTTCTCTCATGCCTGAGGGCCAATGTTTTGTTGGTATGGGATATTCTAGTTTGACAAGTTAGTGACCAGTAGAGGCTGTTCTGAGGCGACTGCTGCCATTGTTCTTTCATGGCTGTCTATTTTTCTTGTAGCTGTTTTCTGGTGTTAGAAAATTGGATTAAGCTTTAATCACATTTCCTCCTAAACACAAAAGTCCAAAATTAGTAGCATATTTCTAACAGACCTCACTTAAAGCCACATCAAATTAAATAGGGCCTTTTAAGATGGGTCCTCCTGTATGTGTGTGTGTGTGTATATATATGTGTGTGTGTGTGTATGTATATATGTGCATACATGTATGGTGCAGCATGGATTGGAAAAGTTTAGGAAGTGAGGTATGTTTGTAAATACTGGAAAGCTCAAAATTATTTGACCCTGTGATATTTGACCCATATTCTTGCAAATTGTACTCAACTTGGAATTGCCATCTTATGGATTTGCAGCCCTTAACCCCTGCATATTGCTTTGGAATTTCATTACAAGCTCTTTTGATGATGTTCTGTTTTTATAAACCTTGATGTTATCTGAGCTTGCATAGGATCAAAAGCTACTGAGGGCAGAAGCCTCCTTTGAGACCTCCTATTTAGCCCCCAGAACTCTCTCAACTTAGACATGGACAAACTGAGGCTCAAGGAGGTGAAATTAATTTATCTAAGCCACACATGGTGGTGGTGTTTGGGTTGGATGTTGAATTCAAGGCTCCTGATAGCAGAATGGGGAACTAGAGTGCAAGCATACTTTGAAGGTACACAGGCAGGTCTGAATTCCACACCAACCTACCTTACTTACTAGCTGTGTGACCTTGGCTGGGTTGCTAATTTCTTTGCACCTCAGTTCCTTCTGCCCCTGCAAAGTGGGGACAAATGTCCTTATCTCAGGGTGGTTGCAAGAGTGAAATGAGATAAATGTGAGGCACAGAGCCCAGAGCCAGGCTCCTAGAAGGTTCCTGTCTTAGTCCATGTGGGCTGCTATAATAAAAATACTGTAGAGTGGATGGCTTATAAACAATAGAAATTTATTTCACACAGTTCTGGAGGCTGGGAAGTCCAAGATCAAGGTGCTGGAAGATTTGGTGTCTGGTGAGGGCTCACTTCCTGGTTTATAGATGGCACCTTCTCACTGTGTTCTCACATGGCAGAAGGGGCAAGGGAGCTCTCTGGAGTGTCTTTTTTATAAGGGCACTGATCCTCCTCATGAAAGCACCACCCTCATGAGCTAATAATTCCCCAAAGGCCCCACTTCCTTATACCACTCTGTTGCCCAGGCTGGAGTGCAGTGGCACAGGCTCAGCTCACTGCAAACTCCACCTTCTGCGTTCAAGCGATTCTCCTGCCTCAGCTTCTTGAGTAGCTGGGATTACAGGCACCTAACACCACGCCTGGCTAATTTTTTTGTATTTTTAGTAGAAATGGGGTTTCATCATGTTGACCAGGCTGGTCTTGAACCCCTGACCTCAGGTGATCTGCCCGCCTCGGCCTCCCAAAGTGCTGGGATTACAGGCGTGACCCACCGCGCCCAGCCTGGGGGTTGGAATGTTGAATGGGAGAAGGTGATGATTGATTTAGTTGGTCAAAGACCAGATTCTTAGTTTCAGGTGCCCAAGAAAAAGTAAGAGGTTCTGGAAGGTGGGTGTCACACGATGACTGCACATTCAGGTATCGAAGCCCTGGCAGGCGGGGAGAATAAGAGGCTGCCCCTCTGTGCCTTCGCCCATGGGAAATCTTAGACTCTATTCATTTGTCAAGATCAACTCAAAGATCATGTTCCTAAGAAGTCCTTTTATCCTTTCTCCTTTGTGCACCTTGGGCATTGTGCACTGAATTAGGGACTATGGTTGACTGCATGCAACAGAAATATTACTGGAGGACCTTAACTAAATTTTTGTTTCTTCATATAACAGGAAGTCTAGAAATGGGAAGACCTGGCTGCCATAGCAGCTCAGTGGTGCTCCCAGAGGCTCGGGCTCCCTGTGTCTTTCTGTTCCATCATCTGCAGTACATGGCACCCATTAACACGGTTGCTTCCTCGTTACAAGATGCATGTTTCACCCCAAGTTTTCTATTTGAGTTCTAGGAAAAGGAAGAAGAAAGCAATAGTAAAAACGATGTAAAAGCTTTTCTAAAAATCCCTGGCAAGCTCTACTTACATGTAATCTTAGATTTAAGATCAACCACCACCCTCACTGAGAGGGAAGGCTTATGTCCTCTCCCTTTGAATGCGGGTAGGGTCTTTGACTGCTCTACCATTAGAATATAGCAGAAGTGATGCTATGCTAGTTTCTAGGTCCAGGCTTTGAGAAAATGGCAGCTTCCAGTTCTTCTTAGAACCCTTGCTCTTGAAACCTAGCCACCATACTGTCAGGCAGTCCAAGTTACCCAGTGGAGAACCCCATGTAGAGAGGTACCGAAACCCCCAACTACAGTTTCTACCCTACAGCCAGCCACGGGAGTGAACCACCTTGGAAATGGATCTTCTAGATGACCTGCCCCAGTTGATGCCATTGTAGGGCTAAGTGAGCCATCCAAGCTGAGCTGTGCCCACATTCAGATTTGTAAAGTAAATTACAAACTGCTTTAGGTGATTTGCTGTTTAAAATGAATAGGTTTTGGATTGTTTTGTTGCATTTTAACAGATAATCAGGACTTATGCCATTGGCCATAAGTGTGTCACATGGTGACCTCTTAACTGCAAAAAGATGCTGAGGAATATAGAATTTTAGCAAACACATTGACATCCAAAAAGAAAAATCAGAGCTCTCTTAGTAAAGAAAAAGAAACAGATAGAAAGTCGGCAGCCAGCATTGCTCAACTGGTACCTGTAATTTTTTATCTGCTTCATTATTGACGTGTCTTTCATCCTCTTTGCTGCTGTCTGCATTGAAAAAAAAATGTTGTTTACCCCATAAAAAATTTAGCATGCACTCCATGTATTCGCTTGTCTAGAAATTATATATTTATACCTACGAATATATTATGAATGATAAAAACCTTACACAAAAATAGAAATTTCAAACCTAGGCACGGTGATATGTGTCTGTAGTTTAAATAATCAGGAGGCTGAGGCAGGAGGATTGCTTGAACCCAGGAATTTGAGGCTGCAGTGCATTGTGACTAAGTCTGAGAATAGCCACTGGACTCCAGCCTGGGCAACATAATGAGACATTGATAATGGTTTGGCTGTGTTCCCACCTAAATCTCACCTTGAATTGTAATAATCTCCACGAGTCAAGGGCGGGGCCAGGTGGAGATAATTGAATCATGGGAGCAGTTTCCCCCATGCTGTTCTCATGGTAGTGAATAAGTCTCATGAGATCTGATGGTTTCATAAAGGGAAGCTCCCCTGCACATGGCCCTTGCTTGCCACCATGCCTTTGCCCTTCCTTTGCCTTCTGCCATGATTGTGAGGCCTCCCCAGCCATGTGGAACTGTGAGTCCGTTAAACCTCTTTTTTTAAATAAATTACCCAGTCTCAGGTGTGCCTTTAGTAGCAGTGTAAAAATGGACGAATACAGGCATCATCTCTAGACAATTTGATTAATTTAAAAATAATAACAATAGCCAGGCGCAGGACTCACGCTTGTAATGCCAGCACATTGGGATGCCAAGGCAAGAAGATCGCTTGAGCCCAGGAGCTCGAGACCAGCCTGGCAACATGGTGAAACCCCATCTCTACAAAAAATACCAAAAATGAGCTGGGTTTGGTAGTGTGTGCCTGTAGTCCCAGCTACTCAGGAGGCTGAGGTGGGAGGATCACCTGAGCCCTGGACATCGAGGCTGCAGAGAGCCAAAACTATGCCACTGCATGCCAGCGTGGGTGACAGAGTGAGACCTTATCTCAAAAAAACAAACAAGCGATAATAATAATGATAATGATAAATAAAAACTTCAAAAAGAATGTTAAAAGATACTCAAAAAGAATTTTAAAAAGATTTAAAATATTCTTTCATTGTGTTCATTCATAGTACTAAAACAAAAATTATTAATAATGTTTCGGGTATTTTCACATAATCTTGAATATCTCCAGACACAATATATAATCCTTTATGGAGAGAATTATTGCTAATGTTAGTGGTGTTGCTAACATTGCTAATGTTAGAGGTGAATTATATTCAGCTCTTTTCTCAATGAGCACTCTCTCTCTCTCTCCCTCTTTCTCTGGTTGACTCCCACTGCCTCTGATTAGATTCTCAGGGGTTGTACCTAAGGGATGACAATGAACTCATATTTGAAGGACAAACACCAAATCTGCTGTTTTCTTGTTCTCTCAGGCTTCCATGTTTACAATTGTCTTCAATCCATGGCTCCCTTGCAGGAATTCTGTTCATCTGTGGCTCCACAATGAGAGTTCGTGTGACTAACTAGACAATATAAAGTTGCAAATTCTCTTCACAGAGCACAGATAGCCACAGAGCACTGAGCAGGCTAGTGGATGCAAGGCGCCCTCACCCCCTGGGTCCCCCAGCCTCTGTGAGGAGCTCTCACTCTTCCCATCTGTATTAGTTTGTTTTCACACTGCTAATAAGGACAGACCCGAGACTGGGTAATTTACAAAGGAAAGAGGTTTAATGGACTCATAGCTCCACGTGGCTGGGAAGGCAGAAGGTGAAAGGCACATCTTACATGGAGATAGACCAGAGAGAGAATGAGAACCAAGCAAAAGGGGAAACCCCTTATAAAACCATCAGATCTCATGAGACTTATTCACTACCACGAGAACACTATGGGGGAAACCGCCCCATGATTCAATTATCTGCCACAGGGTCCCTCCCACAACATGTGGGAAAGATGGGAGCTACAATTTAAGATGAGATTTGGGTGGGGACACAGCCAAACTATATCACCGTCAGATGCTCTCAAATGCCCACCAGACATAGTATGCTCCTGGGCACCAGGGTTGACCCTCATAATAAATACAGCATGACTCAATTTCCTAGCTCCTGCTACTTATCTGATACAAATGAATATAAGCAGAGACTTGAGGGCTTCCCCACGCCCCAGTGCATCATCTTGCCTGTCCCTAGCATGCATTTTCGCCCACTTTGGAGACCACTGGCCTCTTAGATTATGAGCTACTTGTGGGCAAAATGCATGTTGTGCTCACCTCTGGGTCCCTTCTGGGACTGTTCTGGCACCCAGAAGGGGCTCGCTCAGTGTTTGTTGGACACATGAATGAAAGAATACATGACCAGGATCAGTCCATGAGCAGTCCTAGAGCAGGACTGAAGCTCTAGGATGGGGCTGGGGGTGACATTCTGGAACTGGGAGGGCGAGCTGAGGGTGGGGACCTGGGAGCTCGTTAGAGCCAAGGGCACGGAGGACCCACTGAATCTCTTCCCACTTAGCTGCTTCATCTGTAACTGAGAATCATCATGGTAATACGCACCACACCTCTTGTCCAGAGAGTCCAGGAAACAATGTACAAGAGAGTGAATGAGGAGCCTTCTGGGCCCTGACACTGTATGTGCTCAGTAAACATTTGCTCCTTCCCCTGGGAAAATGAAATAAAATATAGTGGCAAGGCCAGTGCCTGGAGGCAGCTACAGTGTGTGTCTTAGTGTCCTTGGCTGCCGTAACAGATGACCACAGACACATTGGAGGTCAGAAGTCTCATGTGGCTCGCATTAGGCTAAAGTCAAGCTGTCGACAGGGCTGGTTCCTTCTGGCTCTTGCCTGTTCCGGCTTCTAGAGGCTGCCTGCATTCCTTGCCTTCTGGCTCCTTCATCTTCAAAGCCAGCATTGCGTCATTGCAACCACTGTTTCTATTTTCATATCTCCTTTTTCTGACTTTAACCCTCTGTTTCCCTCTGATAAGGATCTTTGTAACTACTTTGGGCTCATCCAGATAATCCAGGATAATCTTCCCATCTCAAGATTCTTAATTGAATCACATCTGTAAAGTCCCTTTTGCCAATCATAGGTTCCAGGGATAAGGACGTGGACATCTTTGTAGTGGTGGTGGTAGTATGCTATTGTTCAGCTGATCACAGTGAACAACCAACCCGATTTGCCTGGGACTGCCAGACTGATTAACTGATTTAATTTATAGATCGTCTATAAATTTTCACTCTGTCACCCAGGCTGGAGTGCAGTGGCGCCATCATCGCTCACTGCAGCCTCGACCTCCTGGGCTCAAGCCCTCCTCCCACTTTAGCCTCCTGAATAGTTGGGCCTACAGGTGCGAGCCACCACACCCAGCTAATTTTTTTTTTTTTTTTGAGATGGAGTCTTGCTCTATTGCCCAGGCTGGAGTGCAGTGGTGCAATCTCAGCTCACCGCAACCTCCACCTCCCGGGTTCAAGCGATTCTCCTGCCTCAGCCTCCTGAGTAGCTGACATTACAGGCATGTGTCACCACACCTGGCTAATTTTTGTGTTTTTAATAGAGACGGGGTTTCACCATGTTGTCCAGGCTGTTCTTGAACTTCTGACCTCAGGTGATCCACCCGCCTCGGCCCCCCAAATTGCTGGGATTATAGGCATGAGTCACCGCGCCTGGCCCACCCAGCTGATTTTTAAACTTTTTGTAGAGATGGGATCTCACTGTGTTGCCCAGGCTGGTGGGCTCAAGGAACCCTCCCATCTCAGCCTCCCAAAGTATTAGGATTACAAGCATGAGCCACCATGCCCAGCCTGGGATGGCCATTTGAACACTGAAAGTCCTGTGTGCTGGAAAACCCCTCAGTCCCATTCATACCGGGCCCGAGGGTCATGCTAGCAGGCAGCATAACATTAGTGGCTAACAGAATGGGCTGTGGAATTAGAGACCTGGGTTAGGATCTCCCTCCAGCCACTAACTGGGTGTGGTACCTGGTGCAAGTTGCTTTAGTCTCAGTTTCTTCCTCTGAAAAGTGGAAATGATAACAGCACCAACAGGTTGATGGGAGCTTGAAATATGAAAATGTATGTAATGGTGACACATACAAGAGTGGCAGCTATTACTGTTTTTATATGAAGAGGTCTACATGGGGTGCTATGGAGCCCAGAGGAGCCGCTCCCAGCCACAGTCCCTAACCCCTCAGGCCTGAGTCTCCTTTCTCCTCCAACTCCAGCCCAGCCGAGCATGGCCCTGGCTACCCTGTTACCTCTTTTCCCATGGTCCATGCTAGGGCCTGTGCTCAGTGAGGGCTGGACACTCTGTGAGCATGGCCAGGTTCTGGTGGCCCCAGAAGACCTCTGGCAGAGGAGAAAGGCTGCAGCAGGTAAATCAGCTCCACTGTGCTGAGCTCAGTCCTGCTCCTGGGCTGTTCGTGGGGGCGGGCAGGTGGGTGGGGTCTTCCTGAGTTGTGAGCCCACCAGGCCTCTCAGCCAGCAGTTGTGGGTGTGGCCAGCGGCCTTTGCAAAGCTTCTAGCAAGAAGGAACCTTCCTGGGCATCTTCCCTGCTTCCCTGCAAAAGGAAACAACACAAGGAAAGAGCTCTCCATATCCACGTGTCCAAACACAACAGCTTATTTCAGTGTATTGTGAAGTCATTGTATTTCACTTTGTGCTGTTTTGCGGGTTGGTATTTGTTTAGCTGGCAGATGTGCTCTGCATGAACAAGTCAAGGGTGTTTCCATCCCTGATTGGCTCATCAGGAGGGGGATATAGAATCTGGGGGCAGTGGGATCTTGACCTTGGAGGAGCAGGAGCTTGAATGAGATAATTCTGCAGGTGCCTTGTGCGTGTATCTTATCTGAATTTTACTTCCTGCCTTGACATTTGGAAGTGCTGAGCAGTCCAGAGATGGCTCCCTGCATTAGAGTCCCTTGCCTTGTCAGGCCTTTGAAATGAGGGTTTGCCTTGATGGAACAGACAGCTTTCATGATGCAGTGTCTGATATATTCAGACTTGTAATGTAGGGTGCCTAGGGCTGTGGGGTATAATGGGGGAGCCTGGGAGAGCATAAGCTCCTAAGGCTCCCTCTTGGCCTGCACTAAGTTAGCTGCTGGGCCAGGATGGTGAACAGACAGACCCAGCAGCCACCCTCCTAGAGCTGACAGTCTAGCAGGCAGACCCCCTGATTGCAGAGTTACACAAATAATTGAATAAAAATCACAAGTGTGGAAAAGCACAGAGCAAGAGAATAGGCCTGGGGCTGGATGATGTATCTCTGGTCTCAGCAGGGTGACAGTCCCCTGCCCAGCTTCACTCCTGGTGCTCCTGGCATACCCACTCTCCCCCCGCCAAGATGAGCAGCTTCTCATTCTCTGAACAGATCAGCCGTGTCTTTGCTTGGGCTGTTCTCATTGCCTGATAAACTCCTACTCATCCTGCAAAATTCAACCTAGGTCTCACTCCCTCCAGGAAGCCCTCCCTGCCCTCCTGCTGGCCCTACACTTTAGTTATTCCCTCCCCTGAGTAACCTGCCATTGCCCTAATCACACTTTATTTTAATTTACCACATTTGTTTTTAGAGTAAATTTTATTGCAATGTCATTCGCACAACATAAAATTTATCATTTTAAAGTATACAAGTCAGTAGTTCGAAGTATATTCACCATGTTGTGTAATAACCATTCCCACCAATTCAGAACATTTTCATTACCTCCAAAAGAACTCCCATGCCTATCAGCAGCCCCTCCTGATTTCCTCCTCCTCCAGCCCCTGACAACCACGAATCTGCTTTTGTGTCTCTAGATTTGCCTATTTTGGACATTTCATATAAATGGAATCATACAATGTGGGATATTTTGTGTCTGGCCTCTTTCAATTAACATAACGTTTCCAAGGTTTACCCTCACTGTAGCATGGGTCAATGCTTCATTCCTTTCTATGGCTGAATCATATTCCATTGTGTGGATGTATTGCATGTTATTTACCCATTTGTCCATTGATGGATGTTAGATTGTTTCCACTTTTTGGCTGTTATAAATAATATTACTATGAATATTCACATTGAGGTTTTCGCATAGATATATGTGTCATGGTTTGGATGTTTGTCACCTCCAAACTTCATGCTGAAATGTAATTTCTAATGTTGTAAGTGGGGCCTGGTGAGAGGTATTGAATCATGGGGCGGATCCCTCATGAATGGCTTAGCACCATCACCTTGGTGAAGAGTTCTCATTTAGTTAGTTCACATGAGATCTGGTTGTTTAAAAGAGTGTGGTGCCTCCCACCTCCTCTTTCTTGCTCCCACTTTCACCATGAGATGCTAGCTCTCCCTTTGCCTTCTGCCATGATCGTAAGCTTCCCGAGGCTTCACCAAAAGCCAAGTACATGCTGGTGCCGTGCCTGTACAGCCTGCAGAACTGTGAGCCAATGAAACCTCTTTTCTTTACAAATTACCCAGCCTCAGGTATTTCTTTACAGCAACACAAGAATGACCTGATACCATATGCTTTCAATTTCCTTGGGTATATACCTAGGAGTGGAATTGCTAGGTCACATGGTTACTCTTATATTTAACTTTTTGAGGAACTGCCAAGTATTTTCCAAAGCAGCTGCACCATTTTGAATTCCTAGCAGGAGTGTATTAGGGGTTCATTTTCTCCAAATTGTCCTCAACACTTGTCATTATCTGTCTTTGTGATAAAAGTCATCATCTTACTGGAGGTGTCGTGTTATCTCATTGTGGTTTTGATTTGCATTTTCCTGATAAGTAGTGACATTGAGCATATTTCTTATGCTTATTTGCACACTCCATTTGCATATATTCTTTAAAAAACTATCTGTTCAAATCTGTTGCCCATTTTATTTTATTTGAGACGGTGTTTCACTCTTCTTGCCCAGGCTGGAGTGCAATGGCACAATCTCAGCTCACGGCAACCTCTGCCTCCCGGGTTCAGGTGATTCTCCTGCCCGAGCCTCCCAAGTAGCTGGGATTACAGGCACCTGCCACCATACCCGGCTAATTTTATATTTTAAGTAGAGACAGGGTTTCTCCATGTTGGTCAGGCTGGTCTGGAACTCCCAACCTCAGGTGATCTGCCTGCCTCGGCCTCCCAAAGTGCTGGGATTTCAGGCATGAGCCATGGTGCCCGGCCTCTATTGCCCATTTTAAAAATTATTTTTTATTGTTCAGTTGTAAAAGCTCTTTATATATACTGGATACTAGACCCTCATTAGATATATGACTTGCAAATATTTTTTCTCTCATTCTGTGGGTTGTCTTTTCACTTTCTTGTTGGTGTCTTTTGATACAGAAAAGTTTTAAATATTGTTGAAGTACAATTTATATATATTTTTCTTTGATTGTACTTTAGGTGTCATATCTAAGAAAACATTGTCTAATCCAAGGTAATGAAGATTTATACCTATTTTCTTCTAAGAATTTTATAGTTTCACCTCTTACATTTAGGTCTTTGATATTTTTCAGTTAGTTTTTATTGATGGTGTGAGGTAAGGGTCCAAATTCTTTCTTTTGCATGTGGATGTACAGTTGTCTCAGCACCGTTTGTTGAAAACACCATTCTTACCATTTGACCCAGCAATCCCATTACTGGGTATATACCCACAGGAATATAAATCATTCTATTATAAAGATACATGTATGCATATGTTTATTGCAGCACTATTCAAAATAGCAAAGACATGGAATCAACCTAAGTGCCCATCAACGATAGATTAGATAAAGAAAATGTGGTATATATACACCATGGAATTACTATGCAACCATAAAAAAGGATGAGATCATGTCCCCTGCAGGACATGGATGGAGTTGGAGGTCATTATCCTTAGCAAACTAACACAGGAACAGAAAACCAAATACTGCATGTTCTCACTTATAAGTGGAAGCTAAATGATGAGAACACATGGACACATAGAGGGGAACAACACACATTGGGGCCTATAGGAGGGTGGAGGGTGGGAGGAGGGAGAGGATCAGGAAAAAGAACTAATGGGTACTAGGTTTAATACCTGGGTGATGAAATAATCTGTACAACAGACTCCTGTGATACAAGTTTACTTACATAACAAACCTGTACATGTACCCCTGAACTTAAAATAAAGGTTTTTAAAAAAGAAGGAAAAGATAATTCTTTTCCCAGCAAATGGTTTTGGCACCTTTTTCGAAGACAAATTGACCATAAATGCAAGGGTTCATTTCTGGACTCACTCTTACTCTGTTGATCTATATGTCTATCCTTATGTTAGTGTCTCACAGTCATGATTACTATGTGTATTTTTTTCATTTTTTGGATTATTTATTTATTTAAATTGTGGTGAAGTATACATAACATAAAATTTTTCCTCTTCATAATTTTTTAGTGAACAGTTCAACAACATTAAGTACATTCACACTGTTAGGTAACCATCACCACCATCCATCTTGCAAAACTGAAACTCTGTACTTTTTAAATAATAACTCCCTGTTCTCCATCCTCCACCCCTGGCAACCACCATTCTACTTTCTGTTTCTGTGAATTTGACTACTCTAGATATCACATATTGATTATTATAGTTTCATAGTGAGTTTTGAAATTAGGAAGTCTAAGTTCTCTGACTTTGTGTTTTTAAAGTTTGTTTTGGCTTTTCTGGGTCTCTTACATTTTCATATAAATTTTAATAGCTTGTCGGTTTCTGCAAAAAGGGCAGATGGAATTTTGATAGGCATCATATCAGATGCAGATTAATTGAAAAATATTGCCATCTTAATAATATTAAGTCTTCTAATCCATGAACATAGGATGCCTTTTTAATTATTTGGGTTGTCATTAATTTCTTTCAACTATGTTTTCTAGTTTCAGGATGCAAGTGTTGCACTTCTTTGGCTAAATTTATTTTTAACATTTTGTCCTTTTAGATGGTATCAAAACTGGAATTGTTTTCTTAATTTTTGGGCGAGGTTATGAGCCACTGGAGGGCAGAGTCAGTTGGCACAGGCAGCCAGCTGTGCATCAAACCTAGTTTCCCTTTCCCCAGGCAGCTACATGGGGCCCTGTGTCTGTGCCACTGGAATGTGAATGGAAATGATGTGGCCACTTCCAGGCCTGGCCTGCCAACCTCCTGGTATAATCCTACAGATGATCTTCTCCCACCTCCTAGCCAGAGGTCAATTCCCAGGATGACTGTGGAAGCCACTGTGTGACATGGCAGAATTTCCATCAGCCTGAGCTCCTGAATGACCCTGAAGAAGAGAGCAGACAGGTGTATCTGTGAGGGAGTGAGAAATATTTCATAAAGTCACTGAAATGTGGGAGTTTACTTGTTATAGGAGGTAATATGATTAAAATGGATACAATCATCCTTATTTCTGAATCTCTAGCACCAATATGTATCATACCTAAGAGGTACTCGATGAATTTTTTGGAATGAGTGCACTTTAAGCTTTCCTGGCTTGGCACTTCAAAGATGTCTTTGATTTCCCCTTTTCCCTCTTCTCCTACAGTTAAGCAAATGTCCGTTGAGTGAATTCATCCCAATGTTGCCTGCAGTACAACAAAATAATATTTTGGGAAAGCATCAAAAAGTGGAAATCTGTAAGATGGTAACAAGCATCCTTTCATTCGCAAAAACCTCTTAGGTAGAGTTTAAAAATTGTTTTTACTATGTTTTATCTTCTGATCCCATAGTATTCTTATGAAGTAGGTACGACGGTTGCTATTGAGAGTCAACTTGATTGGATTGAAAGATGCAAAGTATTGTTCCTGGGTGTGTCTGTGAGGGTGTTACCAAAGGAGATTAATATTTGAATCAGTGGACTGGGGAGAGGCAGACCCACCCTCAATCTGGGTGGGCACCATCTGATCAGCTGCCAGTGCAGCTAGGATAAAAGCAGGCAGAGTAACATGGAAGCACTGACTTGCTGAGTCTTCTGGCCTCCATCTTTCTCCCATGCTTCATGCTTCCTGCCCTCCAACATCGGACTCCAAGTTCTTCAGCTTTTGGATTCTTGGACCTACACCAGTGGTTTGCCAGGGGCTCTCAGGCCTTCCATCACAGGGTGGAGGTTGCACTGTCAGCTTCCCTACCTTTGAGGTTTTGAGACTTGGACTGGTTTCCTTGCTCCTCAGTTTGCAGACAGCCTATTGTGAGACTTCACCTTGTGATCGTGTGAGTCAATACCCCTTAATAAACTCCCTTTTTTATATACATCTATCCTATTCATCCTGTTCCTCTACAGAACCCTGACTAATACAGTAGGTATACCAGCTACCCCATTCAACTGATGAGGACACTGAGGTCCAGGAATATGAAGTCCTTGGCCCAAGGTGGACCTAGGTATATGGGCCCAGGAACATGTCTCATTCCATCACCTCCCTCTGAGCATCAGGGGTCACACTAGAAGGGGGTGGCCATGGTAAGTGTCTTCCCTCCCTGTCATTGCATATACTATTTCCTCAGCCCAGAGCATCTTCCTTCCCTTGCTGATTCCTACTCCATCCACACAATTCATCTTGGGGCTCCCACCTTCAGGAAGCCTTCCAGGATGCCCCTTCCCCACTGAGCTTGGGGTAGCTGCCTTCTCAGAGGCCATGCAATGCTTTCTTCGTCAGAACCATCACTAGAGTAAGTGAGAGTGTGGACTCTAGAATGGACTTCCAGAATTTAACTAGTGACTTCAAGTGACTTTACTGTCCTCAGATGCCAGATGGAGATGGTCCTAATCTGACATAGCTTGTGAATTTGTCATGAGGACTAAATGAATGACACATGTGCAGCACTTGGAATGGTGCCCCCCACATGCAAGTGCTCAGCAAATGGTGGCTTTTCTCTATCATACCACAACCTCATTGTCTGTTTATGTATCTCTTGACTGTGGCTCCTTGAGGCAGGGACCTGGTATGTCGTAGGTGCTCAGTAAATAGCAGTAAAATTGGATTAATAATTGCAAAATGGCCCAGGCGCAGTGGCTCATGCCTGTAATCCCAGCACTTTGGGAGGCCAAGGAGGGAGGATCGCTTGAGTCCAGGATTTTGAAACCAGCCTGGGCAACATGGCAAAACCTTGTCTGTACAAAAAAATACAAAAAATTAGCTGGCATGGTGGTATACACCTGTAGTCCCAACTACTCAGGAGGCTGAGGTGGGAGGATCACCTGAGCCCAAAAAGTCGAGGGTATGGTGAGCTGTGATGGTGTCACTGCACTCCAGCCTGGGGAACAGAGTGAGACTCTGTCTCAAAAAATAAAAATAAAAAATTGCAAAATGAGCAGAGCTCTCACCTCTCTGGCTTACCTCTCTCAGTGTGTGGGTTAAATGCAGGAATGGAAAAGAGCTCTGTGCCATTGTTCAAGTCCTGTAAAAATGTAGGAGATTGGGATTACCAGAATAATTTTGTATCAATATGCCATTGTTAACAGTCTTGTCCCTTGGGTTTGTTGAAGAATTAACTTCCTACTTGACAGCATTCGTGGACATGATCTTCTCAAAGACAGAAATAGAAATGGAGAACCAACCCTTTGATTCAACTTTGGTTAAAGTGAAAAGGAACGGGCCGGGCGCGGTGGCTCACGCCTGTAATCCCAGCACTTTGGGAGACTGAGGCAGGCGGATCACAAGGTCAGGAGATCGAGACCATCCTGGCTAACACGGTGAAATCCAGTCTCTACTAAAAATACAAAAATATTAGCCGGGAGCGGTGGTGGGCGCCTGCAGTCCCAGCTACTCGGGAGGCTGAGGCAGGAGAATGGCGTGATCCTGGGAGGCGGAACTTGCAGTGAGCCGAGATGGCGCCACTGTACTTCAGCCTGGGCGAGGGTGTGAGACTCCGTCTCAAAAAAAAAAAAAAAAAGTGAAAAGGAACGATATCACAACTTAATTGGATAAACCTGGGACAGAAGAATTTGATTATAATGAGTACTTGACACTTTCAAAGTGTCTTGCTGGTGAGGTGAGGCTGTTTACATTCCACAGCTGCAGGAGCCCAGAAAACAGAGATTTTCCTTAGGAGGGGAAAAGGTCGGTTTACATTTAATTTTATAGAAAGCCTTTTGTCCATGTTTTCTGAGATGGAGCAAAAACTTCTTGGAGAAACAGTAACTCTCAGTTCTTTTTGGATTCTCATTCATTGATAAATGGCGAATTCTTGCTAAATCTCTCCAGAATGTAACCATCAGTCTCAAAGCATGTATACATCATTGCACATTAAGCTACCAAATATTCTATTTGCACTTTAAGCTATGAGATTTTTTTCTTTTTCTTTCTTTCTTTCTGTCTTTCTTTCTCTTTCTTTCATCTTTTATTATTATTATTATTATTTTTGACAGAGTCTTGCTCTTGTTGCCCAGGCTGGAGTGCAGTGGCACGATCTTGGCTCACTGCAACTTCCGTCTCCTGGGTTGGTTGAAGCGATTTTCCTGCCTCAGCCTCCTGAATAGCTGAGATTACAGGCACACAACACCATACCTGCCTAATTTTTGTATTTTTAGTAGAGACGAGGTTTCACCATGTTGGCCAGGCTGGTCTCGAACTCCTGACTTCAGGAGATCCACCTGCCTTGGCCTCCCAAAGTGCTGGGATTACAGGCATCAGCCACCACACCTGGCCTAGATTTTTTTCATAGCAGATGTAGCTTGTTCATTTATATTGTAACCAGATTCACCAGCCTTGAATCAATTGCTATATGCATGGTTTAAGCTCCTCTCAGAAAATCTTGGATCCCTGAATCTAGGTTTTCTCCTTTCAAGCTGCAGATAATGTAAAATAATGCTTCTAGTGCGCTTAAGTCCAAACAAAATGCCCATCTAGTTTCTTCAACACGGGGGACTTCTTGGCACTTTGGGGAATTAATTTTATGCAATAAGAGATGAGAATTAAGCAGCTTAGTTGGAGTGAGACATCAGATGTAGCCAGGACCCACCAGCCAGAGGCAATGGGGTGGAGTCTGCCAGGAGGCCCAGTGCATTCACGACACAGAGAGAGGATGAGTTGCTGGTTTTTTTTTTTTGTTTTTTGTTTTTTTTTTTTTTTTTTTGAGATGGAGTCTCGCTCTGTTGCCCAGGCTGGAGTGCAGTGGCGCGATCTCGGCTCACTGCAAGCTCCGCCTCCCGGGTTCACGCCATTCTCCTGCCTCAGCCTCCCGAGTAGCTGGGACTACAGGCATCCGCCACCACGCCCGGCTAATTTTTTGTGTTTTTAGCAGAGACGGGGTTTCACCGTGTTAGCCAGGATGGTCTCGATCTCCTGACTTCGTGATCCGCCTGCCTCGGCCTCCCAAGCTGGTTTTCTTTCAAACAGAGGCCAGCTAGAGCCAGGGACGGCAACTCGGAACGTGTCTAACGAGATCCTTTCTCAGTTGTTCACTCATTCTTTATTTCATCTATTCATTCACTCAGAAAATGTTTACTGCATATCTGCCACATGACAGGCACTGGTTTAGATATTAGGGAAACAGTGTATCTAAGACCACGATTCTCTACTCCATTATTTGAAATGGCAGGAAAGGGAAGAAGAAAGCAAACCAAACCCACAATGACTGCCATGTAAGAGACAGTAGTAAGTGCTACGAAGAGAAACAAAGCAGGTGAGGGCCAGAGAACAAGGGGTGCTCTTTTAGACGGGGAAGTCCCCTCTCTGGAAGGTGACATCTGTGCAGAGCTAGGAATGAAGTGAGAGGGTGAGCCCAGAGGTTATCTGGCGGAAGAACATTCCAGGCAGGGACTCAGCAAGTGCGAAGACCCTGAGGTGGGCGTGTACCTGGAATATTGGAGGAAGAGCAGGGAGGCAGATGTGCTGGAGTGCAGGGAGTGAGATGAAGCCAAAGGGAGCTGGGACCAGCATTTCCAAGAGCTTTCTCTGATCTGGACCTAGGGGGATATGTGGGGAGCACAGAGATCCTATCGCCCCCATCAGCACCTCCGATATGGGCTTCAGACACTCCTACCTGGAAGATGGGCAACTGGCAGAAACGCCTTGAGCTGGAAGCAGGAGCGTCAGGTTTGAATCTCTGCTCCTTCCTTTATCAACTGTCACTCGGCTGAGTGGACCTTTCTGAGCCAGAGTTCCTTTATGTATAAAATGGAGATCACCACATCTACTTTTGAAAAACTGATGGAGACTGGGCACAGTGGCTCACGCCTGTAATCCTTGAACTTTGGGAGGCCAAGGTAGGTGGATCACCTAAGGTCAGGAGTTCGAGAACAGCCTGGCCAACATGGTGAAACCCTCTCTCTACTAAAAATACAAAAATTAGCTGGGCGTGGTGGCAGGCGCCTGTAATCCCAGCTACTCGGGAGGCTGCGGCAGGAGAATTGCTTAAACCCAGGAGGAGGAAGTTGCAGTGAGCCGAGATCACGCCATTGCACTCCAGCCTGGGTGACAGAGTGAGACTCTGTCTCAAAAAAAAAAAAAAAAAAAGAAAAAGAAAAAGAAAGAAAAAGAAAGGAAACCAATGGAGCACAGTTTGTTCTCTTCATTCCTCAGGGAAAATCCATCTCTTGCTCCTTAACGCTTGGCCTGGTTCCTGCACTCTAAGCTGGGAGATAGTTGAGACATAAAATTACAAAGGTGGCATGCAGAACTATAGAACTTACAGAGCTTTATACATCTCCTTCAGCTCTTCCGGCAAACAGAGAGTGATGGATGTATGTATTATTAGTAATTATTATTTTCCTGTTTTACAGATGAGGAAACTGAGGCCTGGGACCTGATGTGAGTTGTTCAGGTGGCCAAGGGAGGAACTGAACACAGATTTGTGTGACTCCAAAACCCAAGTATTTGGGCTGTTTTTTTCTCCTTTTGGTTTGTCACTTATAACTTGCCTGTCCCACATGTGGCCATGACTCTGACTTTCAGTTCACCTGTGTCCCTGTGCCCAAACCTTTGCTTTGTCAGCCTCCCCCATTAGACTATGAGGTGCTTGAGGACAGGGGAAGGTGTCACCTGTCTCCACATTCCATTGAAAAAACTGGATAACACTGAAAGAGGTTGTGTGCTGCAAAGAGCACTGGGCTGGGAGTCTGAACCCTGCCGGCAGGTGAGGCTCCTTCTTAGCAGACGTGACTCATTTGTGGAGTAGTTGCATTAGTCAGGGGAGGCTAGGCCATGCCAAGGTGACAAATTAACAGACATCTCAGGGACTTGACACACCGAAAGTATATTCCTCGTTTGTGTCACACGTCAGTGCTCTCCTGCAAGTGGTGACTTGGGGGTCCAGGCTTCTTCCATCTTGGGACATCATTGTCATCATTGTCCTAAACACATGGCTGCCAAGGTCACTTTGGAAGGTGCAGGGAAAGTGAGGATCAGCCAGGATGCTTTTTAAAGACCACCACAGCTGAGTGGCTTTCACCCCTCTGCCATATTCCTTTGGCCATAACTCAGTGCTATGGTCTCCAGTCTAACTGCACAGGAGGCTGGGAAACGCTGGCCAGGATGTGCCCAGGAAGGAGAAATGAGTGGTGGGCCTCAAGGCTTGTCTGTGCCACATTCACCCAATTTTTCAAATCTCACGTCTGGACAAGAGTCCAACAAAGCTAGCCATCTCATGGAGACAGTAGGGCAGGAGTTTTGCAGTTGGTATTTCGGGACTTACTATTGCCAGAGTCTCGGGGCAATTCCTTTTCCACTGTTGAGACTTAATTTTCCCCTTGATAAATATGTGGTTGTTCCCCATCTGTGGCCTGTGGATCCCAGTAGGGGTGAGGGGACTGCATAATTATTCTGAGTCTTAGCATTCCCCTATAAACCAGCACTGTGGTAGATGGAGGGAGTGTAGATGCTATAGGTACCAAATAGAGGCACACTTATTTTAAAACCTCGCTGTTTTTGTCATACATGTTCTCAATATAAACATGGAAATAATTTATATCAGGTGAATAATTGTGAAATACTTTAGGTTAAAGGTCTTCATAATGAAAAATATCTAGGCTGGGAGCTGTGGCTGACGCCTGTAAGCCCAGCACTTTGGGAGGCCAAGGCAGGGGATCACTTGAGGTCAGGAGTTCGAGACCAGCCTGGCCAACATGGTGAAACCCTGTCTCTACTAAAAATACAAAAATGAGCTGAGTGTGATGGCAGATGCCTGTAGTCTCAGATACTCAGGCTGAGGCAGGAGAATTGCTAGATTGGGCAACATAGTAAAAACCCTGTCTCTACCAAAAAAAAAAAAAGGTGGGGCAAAAGACTTGAATAGACATTTCTCCAAAGAAGATATACAAATGGCAAAGTACATGAAAAGATGTTCAACATCACTGCTCATCAGGAAAATGCAAGTTAAAATTAGAATGAGATATTATGTCACACCCATTAGGATGGATATTATTAAAAAACAAAAAAACAGAAAGCAAGTGTTGGTGAGGATGTGGAGAAACTGGAACCCTGGTACATTGCTGTGGGAATGTAAAATTGTGCAGTCACTGTGGAAAACAGAATGGCAGGTACTTAAAAAATTAAACATAGAATTACCATATGTATTAGTTCATTTTCATGCTGCTCATAAAGACATACCCGAGACTGCACAATTTACAAAAGAAAGAGGTGTAATGGACTCACAGTTCCACATGGCTGGGGGTGCCTCACAATCATGGCAGAAGGCAAAAGGTATGTCTCACATGGCGGCAGACAAGAGAAGAGAATGACAGCCAAGTAAAAGGGGTTTCCCCTTATAAAACCATCAGATCTCAGGAGGCTTATTCACTACCACGAGAACAGTATGGGGGAAATCACTCCCATGATTCAATTCTCCCCCACTGGGTCCCTCCCACAAATGAGGGAATTATGGGAGGTACAATTCAAGATGAGATTTGGGTGGAGACACAGCAAAACCGTATCACCATAGGATCAGCAATTCCACTTCTGGGTGTATCCCCAAAAGAATTGAAAACAGGGACTCAAACAGATATTTGTACAACCCTGTTCATAGCAGCATTCTTCACACTAACATTAATTTCCACCAAAAGGTGGATGCAACCCAGTGTCCATGACAGCTGAGTGGATAAGCAAATGTGGTCTGTACCTACGATAGAAGAGTATTCAGCTTTGAAAAGGAATGAAATTCTAACACATCCTACAACCTGGTTAAACCTTGAGGACATTATGGTAAATAAAATAAGCCAGGACAAATACTGTATGAGGTAGTTAAAGTAGTCCATTCACAGCAACAGGAAGGAGAATGGTGGGTGCCAGGGGCTTGTGGGGTGAAGATGGGAATGTTAGTGTTTAATGGGAACAGAGTTTCAGTCTGGGAAGATGAAAAAGCCCTGGAGATGGATGGTGGTGACGGTTCCGAGACCATGTGAATGTGTTTAATGCCGCTGAGTGGCACATTTGAAAATGGGGAAAATCGGCCAAGCTTGTGGCTCATGCCTGTAATCTCAGCACTTTGGGAGGCTAAGCTGGGAGGATCATTTGAGCCTAGGAGTTTGAGACCAGCCTGGGCAAGATGGTACCCCATTTCTATAAATAAAAATAAAAATGGGCCGGGCGCAGTGGCTCACGCCTGTAATCCCAGCACTTTGGGAGGCCGAGGTGGGCGGATCACGAGGTCAGGAGATCGAGACCATCCTGGCTAACATGGTGAAACCCCGTCTCTACTAAAAATACACAAAATTAGCCGGGCGTGGTGGCGCGCACCTGTAATCCCAGCTACTCGGGAGGCTGAGGCAGGAGAATGGCGTGAACCCGGGAGGCGGAGCTTGCAGTGAGCCGAGATAGCGCCACTTCACTCCAGCCTGAGCGACAGAGCGAGACTCCGTCTCAAAAAAAAAAAAATAATAATAATAATAATAATAATAATAGGGTAAAATGGTAAGTTTTATGTTGTGTATATATTATAAAGTGTGGGGGAATAAGAATGATGAAGGGCTCCTGGGAAGGCCAAGTGCTTCCCTGTGAAGCAGGGAGCCTGTGGGGCTCGGAGGGTGGAGTCAGGCAAGCGGGGCACAGCAGCGGGGCCTCGGGGCTTTGAGGGCGCTGGGACTGACCTTTCTCCCATTTGCTCCTGCTGAGGGCCCCAGAGGCCAGCTCGGCCTGGCCTGAGGTCTCAAAGGCATTTCTGAAATGCCTCACTCCAGAGGGCACCGCTTCCTGCCACAGTGACATGGGGGATGGTCCGGGGAACTCATCCCAGCTAAGTGACCTCTCTGGCTGGCTGGCCTCTGTCCGATGCCAGGCATCATCTGGAACCTCTAAAAAGTTCATTTAGCACGAGGGCAGAGGCATGGCATTCAGGGTCTGCCCCTTAATGGGAAACCAACTGTCCTTTAGAAAAAGGAATTAATTCAAAATCAGTTCGTGGGATCATAAATCAACAGACACGTTCCAAAAATGTTCGAATCATTGCAACTTCAGGGGGATCTGAAAAGCTCTCCATTGTAAACAGACAAATTGTTTGGGATAAAAGGAGAGAAGAAACTCTGGTGATCCCAACTTCACAAGTGAACTGGCTCTTTTTTAAGCCAGAAGGGGTGTCTATTGTAGGAATTTTTGTTTCCTTTTCCCTTTTGTATCTTTGGGCTTCAAAGGGGATGGCGAGAGGTTAAAACACAGCGAGAGAGGCTGCCCTTGTGATTTTTCAGCCTGCTGGAAACAGAAAGATACCAGGAATCTACTGAGGTGATGCAGACATGGGGTGTTGGCTGGGATTCCTCGCGGAATCTGGGAATCATATCGGTGTGTGGGGCCATGGGGCCTGCGGCGCTTTACAGGTTTCCCGAGAGGAAAGCAAGGCCCAGGAAGCTTGAGCACCTTATCCAGTGCCACCTGGCTACTAAGGGCCAGTCCATAGTGGTGGCTGATTTGCCTCCAAATGAATTTTCTGATGTGCGCATTTTGCTGCAAGAAAGACACGAGTTAGAACGTGCTGAATTTCAATCCCGGAGCCTCCCAGGAGGAGGCGTTCATTTGCTCCCCAAACTTTCACTGTGGTGGCCAGAGTTCTCAGCCCAGGACACCTCCTGTTGAGGACCTGGGAGCTGTCTGGGATGTTTGCCTGTTTCTCACTCCTCCACCCCTTCCCTCCCCTCCAGAGTAGCCAGTTCACCTTTAACCAGTTTCTTTCAGGCGCGCAGATGGTATTTCAACTTCAGAGGGAGCGACAGAGTTGGGGGGCCTTTATGGATCTGTGACCCCCGGCTCTTTGAGTTGCACAAACTAGCTCTCCCCCACCCCGGTCCAGCGGCTGCCAGCCCCAGCCCCCTTCAAAGGCCGGCTGGGTGCCACGCAGCAATTTCCGCTGCCGAATCTGACAGTGACAGTTCACTGGGACCTTCTCTCGCTCTCTCTCTCTGTTCTCCGTGCTGGGGCCTTCTCAACTTTAAGTCTGATAGGGTCTTGTCACAAAGTCTGGCTGGAATGGGCTGAAGGGAGACAGAAACTGATAAATTTTCTTTTGATCTCAGATCTGCAAAGCCGCTCAGAAAAAATAAATCGCAACAGTGGGCCCACGGTGGTTGGTCAGAGCCAGAGAAGCCAGAAAAGGTTCCTTCTCCAGCTCAGGGTTCCCTGATTCCCCCTGGTACATTACATATCAAAAGGAGGCGGGTGCGCTGGGGAGGGATCCCTGGCTCAGAACAGGGCAAGGAACCTAATTAGGTGAAAATCATTTAAATGGTTTTCACAGCATCGTTTGATTTAAAGCATTTATCACCACCTAACGCATAATTAACAGCAGGACAAGCGATTGAACAAAGGCTCTCTTCTACTCAGAGGGATTATGTTAATTTTCATTAATCTTATATATTACCATCTCTTTCCAAATGAATGTTATCTTAAAGGCCCAAATGCCTTCTTTGATCTTGGGGAAAGGAAAAAAAGAGAGAGAGAGAAGAAAAGATTGTAACCTATGTTTGTTTGGAAATGACATTTTAACAACAGGCTCCAAGTACAGGATCAGAAGTTTTTGGTATTCAAGAGTTAATCCAGCCACAAAAAGAAGGAAATTCTGTGTGGAGGAATCAGGCGCTGCGCTTGCCTGGAAACACAGGATTGGGCCAGATGGGTTGTCTGAGGTCTCCTTTAGTTTGATTGTTTATTATGGTTCTAAGGGAATATACTCAGATTCTGCCATAACATTCTCACGTTGTTGGACGTGTCTGCCCCTTGCCATCCTAGCCCAGAGAGTCCCTTACAATAATTTTAATTTAAAAAAAAAATTAGTGAAGACAAGTAGTTATAGAAACTGGCTTAATATGAATAATAACCACACACTGTGCTCTTCATCTGATAATTAATTACTTGACCTGTATTATGTCATCAAATCCATACCACAGCTTGATTGTCATCCTCACATTGCAGATGAGGCAACTGAGCCATGGGGGAAACTGAGGTAGCTTGTCTCAGTTAATATTCGGGATACTCACCCAGGCAGGTGGCCTCTAGAGCCTGTTCTCTTGGCTGCTGGACTGCGCGGCCCGCCTGCGTGGTTGGTCAGGAATCTTGCTGTAACCCGTCTGTCTGGGCTCCCATCTCAGCTGTGTCCCCAGCTTCGTGTGCAAACTTGGGCCAGTGTCTGTGCCTCTGGGGCCTCAGTTTCTTCATTACCAACTTCCAGAATATCGGTCTCCACGCTGGGCTAACAGCTTGCATTTATGGAATGCTTTGTTGAATGCTGGTGCTGTTGTTTCCCCATTTCACAGATGAGGAAACTGAGATCTTAGAGGCCCTGCCAGGTTCGCACGCTGTGAGTTGTGTAGCTGGGATTTGAACCCAGATCAGCAGATGCTGAGCCTTTTCTTAATCTTTATGATCTGTTGACTCACAAAATCCAACTAGGGGCATTTCTAGCTTTAAATATTTTTTTTTTTTGTCTTTCTTTTTTTTTTTTGAGACAGAGTCTTACTGTTAGAAATGCTTGTTCCTAGGTGCCATAAAGAAATAGCACTTGAACATAAGTTTAATTTCCTCAGCAAGGCCTTTTTTTCCTTTTTTTACTTTCTGTAGAAAGGGTACACTCGTCAGCAGTTTTGCCACGAGAGTGCACCGAACAAAGGAGACAGGGTCATTTATAACCTGACGTGTCCACCTTACTGCTGTGTCCAGTTTCCATTGGCTGGAACCGGGCTTCACATTCTGTATTTGTCCTGATTGTTTTGTGCAATGTTGAGAAAGGTAAAAACCTTCAAATGAGGAAGAGGAACATGCTATGACCTAATGCTTGCTTGGACCAGTATAAGCATGCCAGGGCAAATATTTAGGCTAAATTGTGGGAGCCAAGAACATAAAGTACATTGATTTCTTTATTACGGCTAGCAGATATTTAAGAATGTTAGCACAGGTCTTTGAATAAATTTTGCTTCTGAGAGAAGTTACTATTTATTCTTAATTCGATGGGGAGGAAAGCCTTTGAAGAGGAAACTCTACTTTTTGCATTGCTCTATCACCCAGGCTTGAGTGCAGTGGCACAATCTCAGCCCACTGCAACCTCTGTCTCCCAGGTTCAAGCGATTCTCCTGCCCCAGCCTCCAGAGTTGCTGGGACTACAGGCGTGCACCACCACGCCTGGCTAATTTTTGTATTTTCAGTAGAGTTGGGGTTTCACCATGTTGGCCAGGCTGGTCTCGGACTCCTGACCTCAGGTGATCTGCCTGCCTCAGCCTCCCAAAGTGCTGGGATTACAGGCATGAGTCACCACGCCTGGTCTCTAGCTTTAAATAAATAGGATTTCTATGGGGTGGGGGATGGGGGGGATTGTGTTAGATCTATTCAGTATCTTGACTGTGGTGGTAAATACACAAATCTATCCTGATGAAATTGTGTAGAATTTAATACACAGACACTAATACAAGTAATATTGGGAAAGTATGAATAAGATTGGTAGATTAAATCAATGCCAATATCCTGATTGTGATATTATGCTATGGTTTTGAAAATGTTACATGGGTGAGCAAAGTGCATAAGGAGTCTTTCTGTATTATTTCTTACAACTTCACATGAATCCACAATAATCTCAATCAAAACATCAATTTAAAAAATAGAAATGGGTTGGGCATGGTGGCTCATGCCTATAATCCCAGTATTTTGGGAGGCCAAGGCAGGCAGATTGCTTGAGCCCAGGAGTTTGAGACCAGCCTGGGCAACATGGAAAAATGCTGCCTCTACAAAAAATACAAAAATATTAGCTAGGCATGGTGGTGTATGCCTGTGGTCCCAGCTACTTGGGAGGCTGAGGTAGGAGGATCACTTGAGCCCAGGAGGCAGAGGTTGCAGTGAGCTGAGATTATGCCACTTCACTCCAACCTGGGCGACAGAGCCAGACCCTGTCTCAAAAATAAATACATAAATAAATAAACTAAAAAATATAGAGGATTCTCTCTATAAACACACTGAGTAACTTTATTGTGTGTATGTGAAATGTTTGGAATAAACATAAGACCTGGTTCTTGCCCTAGAGGAATGTACTGAATTAATCATAATAGTAATAATTTTTAAATGACTACCATTTATTGAGTGACATGTGTCAGACACAGTCCTGAAGTGCTATATTAATTTCATCAGCAATCTTTTTTTTTTTTTTTTTGAGATGGGGTCTTGCTCTGTTGCCCACGCTGGAGTGCAATGCAACAATCAAGGCTCACTGCAGCCTCAACCTCCTGGGCTCAAGCGATCCTCCCACCTCAGCCTCTCAAATAGCTGGGACTACCGGCATGCACCACCATGTTCAGCTAATTTTTGTATTTTTTTTTTTTTTTTTTTTTTTGTAGAGACAGGGTCTCGCCATGTTGCTCAGGCTGGTCTTGAACTCTTGGGCTCAAGGAATCCGCCTCTTTCCACCTCCCCAAGTGCTGGGATTAAAGGTGTGAGCCACCACGCCCAGCCCATTATCACTTCTTTACAAGTGGAAGAAACTGAGCTTCAAAGAGGTTAAAACTTGCCCAAGATCACCCAGCACATAAGTAGTAATGTTGGTGGGCATGGGTCCAAGCCTCACTCTGGATCCCACTCCTCAGCTGAGCCAGAGTTCCCTGAGCACCTTCTATGCCAGCACATTCCAGTAAAATAGTATCATTCTGCCCTGGCACAGTTTGGCGAGGCAGGCAATATCATCCCCGTTTTGCAGAGGAGGAGACTGGGGCTCAGAGTTGGAGAAGACTTGAATCCAGCTGCCTCTTTTTCATCCTACAAGGAAGAGACAGAGCTGAACACAGGTCTCACAGCACTATGAGGTCATTCTGGGGTTCAGGGTACGCCTCAAAGAAGAAGGTGTCTGGGCAGGCCTGGGGTATGTGTAGGGGTGCTGGGGAGTAGGCAGGACCTAGATAAGTGAGTTTCAGGAGCTAAGAGCAGGGTGTGAGCTGAGCCTGGAGCTGTTTATTCAGCTTTAGGGGGAAAGATTTCATCCAGGGCCCTGGTTGGTGATAAAGCAGCTCTGTTTTCAAACCAAACATGGCCTTTCCTTCGAGGACTGGGAAATTTGGGAAGAAAGATATTGCATGGCTCTCCTGTGGATCTTTCCGGCCCTATCACCAACGAAATATCTCACTGGACTCTTAGGGGAAAGTTGAAATGCACTCCCAAAGAGATTCAGGCCACTGCGGGTAACTTCAAAGGACGGTCCTCCAGAAAGCTGAAATTTAAAAAGTCCACGACAGCCCTTTAAAGGTGGTCTGGACACACATTGTTGGTCTGGCGCCCATTGTCCCTGACCCTGACCAAAAGCCTCACAGAGCTGCAAAAATGTCCGTGGGCAGGACTGGCTCTAACTCGGGCCTGGGAGGCAGGACTGAGAAGAAAACCCACGTAGTGAGCCTGCACCAGGTCCTAGGAACTTTCTACACTTTCTTTCTCTTTAAGACTCATAATAGTTCTGGAAGAGAAGAAGTCTCACTCCCATGTTCTAAATTTACAGCCTAGGGGAAGAGACAAGAAGGGTCTCATTCACGACCACATGGCTGGGAAGTAAGAGATCTGAGATTTGTCTGACTCCAAAGAACTGAGTTGTAGTGGCCTGGGGGATCACAGATCATGACAGTGATGATGACAACTACTATCACTTATTATTATACAGATAATATTTTCTAAAGATGGCTGTGACAATATCTCCCATTCCACATGTTCTTCTTATAACGTGACTTTGACACTCCTCCCACTGAGTGGTGGGGGTGCCTGTATTCCCTCCCTTTGAACCTGGGCAGGCTTGCGACTATGGCAGAAGTGACACTATGGAACTTCCAAGAAAAGCTCATTAGATTATAAAATGCTATGCATATCTACCTTACTCTCTTGAGTCTCTCTTGGAACCCAGCTGCCATGCTGTCAGGAAGCCCAATCTAGCCCACATGGAGAGAGCTCGTGTTCTAACCAAGAGACCAGCTGAGGTCCCAGCTGAAAGGCAGCATCAATTGCCAGCATGGGAATGAAGACACCTCAGAATGGCTCCCACCCCTGAGTCATCCCCAACAAATTGAGTCTCCTGTGTGCCAGATGTTGGGGAACAAAGACAAACTGTCTCTGCCCAAATTCCTGACCCAGAGAATCATGAATGTTATAAAATGGCTGTGCAATGCCACTACATTTTAGGGTTCATTTGTTACTTAGCAACAGTATGTAGAGCAAATATAACAACCATTGAATAAGGGCTAACATTGACCAAGTACTTGTTGTGTGCTCAGCACTGTATTAAGAGCTTATACAGTCAGAGGAAGAAGGAGCTTTGAAACTCAGCTTCTTCCATTTGTAAAGAAGTGATAATGAGACTGGGCACAGTGGCTCAGGCCTGTAATCCTAACACTTTGGGAGGCTGTGTAATCCTAACACTTTGAGGCGGGTGGATCACTTGAGGTCAGGAATTCAAGATCAACCTGGCCAATGTAGTGAAACCTTATCTCTACGAAAAATACAAAAATTAGCCAGGTGTGGTGGTGTGTGCCTGTAATCCTAGCTACTCGGGAAGCTGAGGCAGGAGAATCTCTTGAACCCAAGAGGCAGAGATTGCAGTGAGCCGAGATCACGCCACTGCACTGGAGCCTGGGCAACACGGCGAGACTGTCTCAAAAAAAAAAAAAAAAAAAAAGTGATAATGGACTGGGCTTAGTGACTTATGCCTGTAATCCTAGCACCCAAAACAGGTGGATAACTTGAGCTCAAGTGTTCAAGACCAGCCTGAGCAATGTGGCAAGACCCTGTCTCTACAAAAAAAAAAAAAAAATTAGCTGGACATGGTGGTGCGTGCCTGTAGTTCCAGCTATTTGAGAGGCTGAAGTAGGAGGATTGCTTGAGCCCAGGAGGTTGAGGCTACAGTGATAGACAGAAGTTTTTTTGTTTGTTTGTTTGTTTGTTCTTGGTAGGCTGGAATGCAATGGCACGATCTCAGCTCACTGTAGCCTCCACCTCCCGGGTTCAAGCGATTCTCATGCCTCAGCCTCCCAAGTAGCTGGGACTACAGGCATGCCCCAACATGCCTGGCTAATTTTGTATTTTTAGTAAAGACAGGGTTTCACCATGTTGGCCAGGCTAGTCTCGAACTCCCGACCCCAAGTGATCCCCCTGCCTTGGCCTCCCAAAGTGCTGGGATTATAGGCATGAGCCACTGTGCCCGGCCTACACAGAAGTCTTGTGTAGTACTCCTGGGAAGCCTTCTGAAAGAGAGATTTACAATACTGGAGAGATGAAAAATGTAGGTTTCCAGGCCCCATCCCAAACCTGCTGAGACCACATTATGCACAGTATCCCAATGGCGAAGGCAGGGTAAGACCAAGCCCAGGAGAAGGGTCAGGACAATGTGATTCCATTTAATGCAGCAAATATTACTGACAGCCCTGACTACATGCCAGGTGCCTGGACTTCCCTCAGCTACTCAGGAGGCTAAGTCTTGAGGATCACTTGAGCCCAGAAGTTTGAGGCTGCACTGAACCATGATCACACCACTGCAATTCAGCCTGGGTGACAGAGCAAGATCTTGTCTTTAAAATAAAATAAAATAAAAATATTATTATAATGAAAGAATTTAAATAACACAGTGTTGTAGAATATAGAATACATGGATATAGATGACACAATGCTGATGGGGATGACAGTTCATGACCATCAGGCTTGTACTGGGCACCCTCCTGTGTTCTCTATACACAGATTCTAGTCGATTACCTTCTCACAACTGCTCCCCCCACCCCGCCTTTTCTATTTTTTAGATGCAGAGATTCAGAGAGTCTAAGCAACTTTTCTAAATCATCTAGCTGGAATTCAGTAACTGAGCCAGGATCTACCCCAGGTCTGTCTGACTCCAAAGCCTGTGTCTTCCAGCACACACTGCTGCTGCCTGGGGTAAGAGCTCAACATTATGCTTGGAAAAAGGAGCTTTTCTATCTCATTGTGGAGGGCTGGGATGTCTCCCGTGTCCACGCTCCCTTCTTTCTTAGTAATGGGCACGTTACTGCGTTCCCCAGCCTCTCTTGCAGCAAGGTGACCAAGTGAACACTTTCTGGCTAATGAGATGTACATAGAAGTCTTGTGTAATACTTCTGGGAAGCTTTCTGAAAGAGAGCGAATACACTCTTCTCCCATTTTCCTCAAAAACCTTCTAGCAGGAATGTGGATATGATGTCTGGAGCTCTAGCAACCATATCAGACCACAAGGATGAATGTACACCCCAGGAATGGAAGAGAGGAAAGCCAGAAAAAGACTCGGTCCCTGATGGCTGAAGAGCTACCATACCTGCCCCTAGATCTTCTATTTCTGATCATCTTCTATGCAAGGGTGAGTGAACTCGTATTGTGTTAACGTCACTGTGATACTGGGTCTTGTTTCTTGCCAGTTGAATGTGATCCTAAGTGGTACAATGGGTCAACTGAGAGGAAGAGAATGAACTTGGGTTGGGATTTGAAAGATGGGTAGGACTGAGACAGGAATGGGGGAAGAAGTTCCTTATAGGTGCTGGGAACAGCAAGAGTGAGAAGTGTCCTTGAGGTGGCATGTGGAGTATAACAAGGAAGATGTAGGAGCTAAGCAGGGTTAGAGCAGTGGTTTGTAAAGAGCTTTGGCTGCCAGGCAGTGAAGATACAATTTCAACTGTTAAGCACTGGGGAGCCATAGAAGGTGTTTGAGCGGATAAGTGATGTGTTTGGTACTGGATTTTGCCTTGATGGAGATCTGTAGGCGGAACTGAAGAGGAGGAAGCCTGGGCCAGAAATGGGGCCCTGGGGGGTGGGAATTGCTTGGAAAGGAGGTTTGGAGACCAGCTTTGGCAATGGTCCATGGAATCACTATTGCATTAAACAGTGGTGTGCTAATACTGTGGGTGATTTGGAAGCCACTGAAACGATGATGCACAAGATAGCATGATAACATGTCAAGTTGCTCACGGTATATTGTTATATGACAAAAATAGGTCTCCAAACAGTTTGCACAATATGATGAGTTCCTGAAAATTCACTTCATGCATTTTATTTAAAAGCCAAGAAGGTTATTCTCCAATTGTTAATAATAGTTACTGCTAGGGGGAAGTTTTCAGGGATGATTTTTCTTTCTTCTTTTGCTCACTATTTTCTAAGCTGTTAGTAGTAGTAGTAGTAATAATAATAATAATAATAATAATAATAATAGCTAAGCACTCCTGAGGGCCCACAAAGCTCGGTGCCAGCCTCATTCTCTGTGTTAATTCATGTATTTAAATCCTCATAGTCCTCCATGAGGGAGGGAGTTTAATTTTCTTCTTTTTATATTTGAGGAAACTGAGATTCAGAAAGCAGGAGCCTATGTCTAGGGGAGAGCACCAGTGGAAAGAGAGGTGACAATGAGGATCCGAGAGAGGGGACGTCCTAGCTGGATGGAGGAGTTAGGGAGTGAGGAGGGAAAGGCCTTCTCAGAAATCCCAGGGGATGCACGCATCGGCCTTTACAGTTTATAAAGTACACCCTGTACTTCCGCTCTTAAAATGCGCTTGTTAGGAATTATGATTGCTATTTTATGGGAAAGGAAACAGGCTCAGAGAAGTTAAGCAGCTTGCTCAAGATAACAAGGGGGAGAGTTGGGATTTGAACACAGCGCTCTGTGCCTGACTCAGGTTCTATCTCTGCCACACCCAGCCAAAAAAGGGGGCTAGTTTCAGTGTGTATTGGAAATCTGTCTGTTGGACCCCTTGGCTCCCTTAAGCCAACAGACTTTGTGTTAGCAGCTAAACCACTTAAAAAGAGCAACAAAGCAAGACCTGGAAATTTTTTAAAAAATTAGCCAGGTGTGGTGGCGCATGTCTGTAGTCCCAGCTACTCGGGAGGCTGAGGCGGGAGGATTGCTTGAGCCCAGGAGTCTGAGGCTGCAGTGAGCCATGATCACACCACTACACTCCAGCCTGTACCACAGAGTGAGACCCAGTCTCTAAAACAAAAAAAAATTTTAAATAAAGAAATAAAAAGAGGTTATTGACCCCTACCTTTTGGCCGAATCTTAGTCTTGAACGGCTTGCCTGAACTGTCCGGAATTTCGCAGCCCAACTTGACACTGATTTCAACCAATTCTGTTCATTCCTTGTGCCCCACCGTCCATCCTGCTTCCTTAGCTGCCTTTTTGACTGAGTCTGAGCTGCCTTTGACCTCCTGGGGTAGTGCTTCTGAGACAAGAGAATAGGGTCTGGAGGCAGGAAACCTAAGGTAATTTCAGGCCGACTTCCTAGAACTAAATTGAAAGAAAAACCCGGGCCAGGCGTGGTGGCTCACGCCTGTAATCCCAGCACTTTGGGAGGCCGAAGAGGGTGGGTCACCTGAGGTCAGGAGTTCCAGACTAGCCTGGCCAACATGGCGAAACCCCGTCTCTACTAAAAATACAAAAATTAGCTGGGCATGGTGGTGGGTGCCTGTAATCCCAGCTACTTGGGAGGCTGAGGCAGGAGAACAGCTTGAACCCAGGAGTCGGAGGTTTCTGTGAGCCGAGGTCCTGCCATTGCACTCCAGCCTGGGTGACAAGAGCAAAACTCCGTCTCAAAAGAAAACCCTAACTTTCCACGCCTAAGTAACAAAAGGACCAGAGGCTACTCCTTTTGCAAATCCCTTTTCCTCCAGGCAGATGGGAAATTGGCTGTCCGCAACCAATCAGACTGATTGAGAGCGGAGTCTTCCTTTGCATAGAAGTGGAACTTTGTAACTTCATCTTAACCTTTGATTGGTTGCTTTTTGCAGCCAATCAGGTGTTTGCAGAGGAGTGTGACTTTTGTAACTTCACTTCAGCCTCTGATTGGTTGTTTTCTGCAGTCAATCACACTGATTGCGGGCCACCACTTCATTTACATGAGGGGGCCAATAGGAAACCTGTAGGGGGTATTTGGATCTGAGAAGATTCTGTATCTGGGCTCTTGAGCCGCTGGTTGGGCCCCTCCCACACTGTGGAGGGTACTTTTGTTTTCAATAAATCCCTGCTTTGGTTCTTTCGTTGCTTCATTCTTTCTTTGCTTTGCTGGGCTTTTGTCCAATTCTTTGTTCAAAACGCCAAGAACCTGGGCAACTTACAGTCAAGACCCTCACCGGCAACACTTCTACCCCGCCTGGCCTGGGCCCTGAGCTCCATCCCACAGCCCAAGGCCTGGCAGGTGGCTTCCCACCGCCTCTTCCCTATCCAGTCCCAGCCAGCTGGGGATCTGGTTTTCCCATCCTCCACTCTCCCTGCCTTTCCCAGCCACATTCCACGCCCACCAAGGCCCCTCCAGGAAAAGGCCCCAGAGAGCTCTCTGTCCTCATGTCAGACGTTTCCCTAATTCCCAGTGGCTTGATCTTTTGCTGTTTCGGTTTATCACAAATGATTTTCCAAGCCAGTGGATTTAATTATATTATACACTTAGGGAAATTGGTGCCATTTTTTAATTACTTTTATAGTTGAAAAGCAATTACTTAGCAATCACATGAAGGGCTTCTCATGTTTCCTGGAGTTCTGTAGAGAACCAGACCTGGTTTGAAGAAGTTGGGTTTGCCCTGGAGGTAACCCAAGGAACTGGGGCAATTGGGTTTGGGGAGACAGGTAAGCTTTGTGGTATAGAATTGGATAAATAAAGATTTTTTAAAAAATCATGATCCACCCAGTTGCTTAAGCCAATGCCTGACAGACACCCTTAACATCTCCATCTTCCTCAATTCTGTGTATGTCAACACTGGTGAAGTGCTTGGATTCCACCTCCTGGTACCTCTCAAACCTGCCCATGACTCTGCTTCCTCCTGTCCAGTCCAGGCCACCACTGCCATGCATCTCTTAAGTGATCCTCCCCTGTCCACCCTGGCCCCCTGAGGGGGGTGGAATGGTGGTCTCCAAAAGATCCATTTACCCCCAACCTAGGAACGTAACCTTATGTGGAAAAAGGGCCTTTGCAGATGTAATTGAGTTAAGGATCTTGAGACAAGAACTTCCTGGATGACCTAGGTAGGCCCTCAATCCAATGAGAAGTGTCCTTCTCAGAGGACAAGAGGAGAAGACCCACAGAGGGGAAGCCATGAGAAGATGGATGCTGAGGTGAGTGATGTGCATACAGGCCAAGGAGCACCAGGAATGGCTGGGAACCACCAGAAGCCAGGAGAGAGGATGGGCAAATCCTCCCTCAGAGCCCCCTGGAGGAGTGAGCCTGCCCATCACTTTGATTTTATTTAATTTATTTAATTAATTAATTTATTTATTTTGAGATGGAGTCTCACTCTGTCGCCCAGGCTGGAGTGCAGGGGTGTGATCTCAGCTCAATGCAACCTCCGCCTTCCAGGTTCAAGTGATACTTGTGCCTCAGCCTCCTGAGTATTTGGAATTACAGGTGCTCGCCACCATGCCCAGCTAATTTTTGTATTTTTTGGTAGAGATGGGATTTCATCATGTTGGCAAGGCTGGTCTTGAACTCCTGACCTCAAGTGATCTGCCTGCCTCAGCCTCCCAAAGTGCTGGGATTACAGGCCTGAGCCACTGTGCCCAGCCAATCACCTTGATTTTAAACTGCTGGACTCTGGAACAGTGAGTAGTAAATTTCAGTTGTTTGAAGCCATGCAGATTGTGGTTATTTGTTATAGCAGCTCCGGGAAACTCACACAGCCCCATTTAGTCCATTTTTCAACACGTCTGTCCCGTGCTAAAGCCCAGTGGCTCTCACCTCCTTTAGAATAAAGAATTGCATTTTCCTGATGACTAATATAGAGTACCTTCATATGCCTATTGCTATTTGAATATTCTCTTTTTTTTTTGTATCTGCTCAAGTCTTTTGCCCATTTAAAAAATAGGATAGTTTCTTTTTCTTATTGGTTTATAGGCATTCTTTATATATTCTGGATACTACTCTTTTGTCAGGTGTATATATTGTGAATATATTCTCCTGTTCTGTGGGCTGCTGCTACACTCTTTTAATGGTGTTTTTGGATATAGTACTTAATTTTAATATATCCCACTTTATTAGTTTTTAATCTTGTAGTTAGCACCCTTTTTGTCCTATTTAAGAAATCTAAGGCCAGGCGCAGTGGCTCGCGCCTGTAATCCCAGCACTTTGGGAGGTCGAGGTGGGTGGATCACGAGGTCAGGAGATGGAGACCATTCTGGCTAACACGGTGAAACCACCGTCTCTATTAAAAATACAAAAAAATTAGCTGGGCCTGATGGCACATGCCTGTAGTCCCAGCTACTCAGGAGACTGAGGCAGGAGAATCGCTTGAGCCCGGAACGCGGAGGTTGCAGTGAGCCGAGATCGTGCCACCACACTCCAGCCTGGGCGACAGAGTGAGACTCCATCTCAAAAAAAAAAAAAAAAAAAAAAAAGAAATCTCAGTTTACTCTGAGATCATGAAGATGTTATTCTATGTTTCTTCTAAAACATTATTGTTTACCTTTCATTTTATTTAATTAATTAATTAATTTTTGAGACAGTTTTCCTCTTGTTGCCCAGGCTGCAGTGCAATGGCGCTCGGCTCACCGCAACCTCCACCTCCCAGGTTCAAGAGATTCTCCTGCCTCAGCCTACCGAGTAGCTGAGATTACAGGCATGCACCATCATGCCTGGCTAATTTTGTATTTTTAGTAGAGACAGGGTTTCTCCATATTGTTCAGGCTGGTCTCGAACTCCTGACCTCAGGTGATCTGCCCGCCTCGGCCTCCCGAAGTGCTGGGATTATAGGCGTGAGCCACCACGCCCAGCCTACCTTTCATTTCATATTTGGATCTATAAGCTATCTGGAATTGATTTTTGTGAATGGTGTGAGATGGAATTCAGCTTTGTTTTTTCCCCACATAGACATTCAATTGACTGATCACTGCAATGCTATCTTTGACATAAGCAGATGACCGTGTATGTTTGGGTATGGTAACTGGTTTTTAAGTTTATCCTGCCCCTGGAATCTCAGCTCCAAGGCAACAGTAAGCTTTTATTGACAGGAGGAGGCCAATCCATAGCCTTGGGCTGCAGGACTGATGAGGAGGAGGCAAGAAGGGTGGGGCTCTGGGTCCCTGGTTCTTGTCAAGCAGATCAACTCACAAGGTGTCTGGGTTCCTCTTTGGCTTAACTCGTGAGCCTGCTTGGGGAGGTGGTTGGTCCCAGGTTTGCAATGGCCTGTCACTTCTATAATCAGAAAAGCAGTTCTCAACCTATGGATAATTAGGAGTTGATAGTAACCACATTTTGATCTGTAAGTGCTTACATTTTAGGCCCTTTCCAGGCCCTCTAGGGTGGTGGTAGGAGCAATAATTCTTTTATCAGGAGTATAAGGAGGCATGAAGGAAAGCTACGAACAGGGGTGCCATTTGACCTAGGCATTGAAGGATGAATAGGAGTTTTAATATTTAAAAAAAAAAGAAAGAAAGAACCAACAGGAAGGGCACTGCAGGCAGCACAGGGAATAAGCATGGGCAAAGGCAGGGAGACATGCATGAGCTTAGTAGGGGAGCAGGGTAGGCCGGCCATGGTGGCTCACACCTGTAATCCCAGCACTTTGGGTGGCCAAGGTGCGTGGATCACCTGAGGTTGGGAGTTCGAGACCATCCTGACCAACATGTAGAAAACTTGTCTCTACTAAAAATACAAAATTAGCCGGGCATGGTGGCACATGCCTATAATCCTAGCTGCTCGGGAGGCTGAGGCAGGAGAATCGCTTGAACCTGGGAGGTGGAGGTTGTGGGGAGCCGAGATTGCACCATTGCACTGCAGCCTGGGCAAGAAGAGCGAAACTCCATCTCAAAAAAATAAAAGGGGGAGCAGGCTGAACCTTTTAGGGTAGATATAATAGCAGAGGATGTAGGGAAGGGAAGGAAAAATGCAAAGCAATGTGAGTTTTAATAAAAACCACATGGTTATCTGACCTTAGAAGACGCTGTGGTCTGAATGTGTTCCCCAGATTCATATGTTGAAACTTAATGGCCAATGTAATGGTATTAAGAGGTGGGGCCTTTAGGAGATGATTAGGTCTTGAGGGTTCCACTCTCATGCATGGGACTAATGCCTTATGTTTTAGTCCGTTCTCCCACTGCTATAAGGAAATACCTGAGACTGGATAATTTACAAAAAAGGTTGGACTGGCTCATGGTTCCACAGGCTGTACAGGAAGCATGATGGCTTCCGAGGAGGCCTCAGGAAAGTTTCAAACATGGTGGAAGGTGAAGGGGAAGCAGGGACATTACATGGCTGGAGCAGGAGGAGGAGAGAGACAGGGAAGGTGCCACACACTGTTAAACAACCAGATCTGAGAACTCTGTCATGAGACAGCTCTACGGGGATGGTGTTAAACTATTAGAAACTGCTCACATGATCCAATCACTTCCCAGCAGGCCCCACCTTCAGCATTGAGGGTTACAATTCGGCATTAGATTTGGGTGGGGACACAGATCCAAACCACATCACCTTATGAAAGAGGCTTCATTACATACGTCCCTTTGCCCTTCTCTTCCTCCCACCATGTGAGGACACAGCATTTATCCCCTCCAGAGGATGCAGCAAGAAGGCACCCTCTTGGAAACAGAGCAGCCCTCACCAGAACTGAACTTGCTAGTGCCTTGATTTTGGGTTCCCAGCCTCCAGAGCTTTGAAAAATACAATTTTGCTCTTTATAAATTCACCACTCTTAGGTATTTTGTGATAGCATCAGAAATGACTAACGCAGAAGGCTTAGAATGGATGCAACCCTCCCACTTGCCGTTCCTCCTGGCCATGGAAGCCATGTGCTGTCAGTAACAACAATAACTACAATCTGCACATTGACAGGGGGCCAGGCCTATCATTTCATGCATTTGTGTTTTTAAATCTCCATTTCGCAGAATTGTTCAATGACTATTAAGCTTGGGTGTTTGGCAAACTTGGGTCTCACTTCTATTCATGGGCTGTGTGGGGCACTTACTGAGCCTCAGTTTCTCCATCTGTGAAGTGGGCCACAGTGTTACCTACTTACTGAGCCTCAGTTTCTCCATCTGTGAAGTGGGGTCACAGTGTTACCTACTTACTGAGCCTCAGTTTCTCCATCTGTGAAGTGGGGTCACAGTGTTACCTACTTCATGGATGTCGTGAAGATTACACTGAGCGGGATCATTTAATCCTCATACGCAGGAGACCCTGATCCTAACTTATCCAAAAACTTTACAAGGAAACTGCTGAGAGCCCAACCACTTTAGGGCCTTTGCTTGGCCTCTCTAAGATTCTTCTGACCTTTCCCACACAGTCACAATGTGTCAGCCTAGCTCTGAGCATCATCTCCTCACCCAACAATAGCACAGTAGGAAGGGAGTGACAGGGAACGCTCCTCTCTCCTTCCTCAGTGACGAAGAACTGTCCCAGAAGCTTCCCTGCCCTGAAAGACATCACTGATGTCTCACTTAGCAGACCTAGGACAAGAGGCCACTCCTAGTTGTCAGGGAGGCTGGGAGTACGAGCATCTAGCTGGCGGTCTCGGCTTCTCTTGTGGTGCTGGTCTCCAATGAGAAAGCAGGGAGGGGATGGGTTGTGGGTGTATTTCAGTGTTGGCTGTTCTGAGGTAGGAACTGAGCAGTTGAGAAAGGTCTGTGCATGTGTCTCAGAGGTGGAGATGACAGTGGGGGTGAGAGAGACAGAGCAGAGAACTGCTGCTGTCAGACAGATATGGGGGCTTAGACACAACAATGCCTCTCCAGTCATTTTATAGAGGAGGACCCTGGGGTCCGGACAAGAAAAGGATGCCCACTCAGCGCATGGTAGCCAGGGGATTCAGGGGACAGGCCTGCCTGGAGTGGAGCTTGCAGGATGGGAACCAGTGGAAGATGAAGTTAGGGTGCTAGAACAGCCTCGGAGGAGATGCACAGAGTTGGGGCAGACTGCTGCCCACTCTACATCTCTTTTCCTTAGTAACAAAACCTAATGAATTCAGGGCTATAATATGCCCAACTAAAAGACTGTACTTCCTGGTTCTCTTGAAGGCAGGTGTGGTCATATGGCTAAGTTCTGGCCAATGAATGAAAGCAGAAGTGTCAGAGGGACTTCTAGGAAGATTCCTTAAGGGAGCTGACTCATCTCGATCGAGCATTCCTTCCTTCCTCCTTCCAGGTGTCTGGAATGCAGATGTGATGTCTGGAACTCTAGCAGCTCTCTTGTATCCTGAGAGGACTTTGGGTCTGGAAGCCACATGCTAAGCTGGGGGGACAGCATGATGGAAAGAGTCTGGGTCCTGAACTTTCACATGTGTCTTCCATGTGGTCTTCATGAGATAGTGGGTATCGTCGCCTGCACTTTACAGATGAAGAAACTGAAGGAGAGAGAGCCAAGATTCCTACCCCCAGAAAGGCCGAGATTCAAACCCATTCTGTCTTATGTCAGAACTCCTGCTTGTATCAGTTGGAATTCTGTTTGGAAAAGTAGGTTTATTTTTCTCATGTAACAGGAAACCCGAAGGCAGGTGATTGCTGGTGTTGATTTAGCAGTTCAAGGGAGTAGGACTGACATGTCTGTTTTTCTCTTCACTGTTTTCTCTTGGTTGCAAGATGGCTACTGCTGCTCTGACCATGACATTCCTGTTCAAGGAAGAAAGAAAGGGGAACAGGGGCAGTACCAGCAACATGTGAACCCTTTCACTGAAAAAGTCAAAGCTTTCCAGAATCTGCTAAAGGCTTCTGCTTAGCCCAGCATGGCAGATTGTATTTTCCAAAGATGGTGCCAGCGATATTTCCCATTACACACGCTCTTCTGCAAGGTGCCCTTGCCACTCCCTCATCGAGAGGTAGGGGCTGGGCTGAGAGCGGTGGCTCATGCCTGTAATCCCAGCACTTTGGGAGGCTGAGGCAGGTGGATCACCTGAGGTCAGGAGATGGAAACCAGCCTGGCCAACATGGTGAAAACCTGTATATACTAAAAATACAAAAATTAGCTGGGTGTGATGGTAGGCACTTGTAATCTCAGTTACTTGGGAGGCTGAGGCAGGAGAATCGCTTGAGCCCAGGAGGCAGAAGTTACAATGAGCAGAGATCATGCCACTGCACTTCAGCCTGGGCAACATAGTGAAACTCTGTCTCAAAAAAAAAAAAAAAGGTAGGGGTTGTTTCTCCACTGTCTTGAACTTGGGAAGATCCTATGACTACATAGAACACAACGGAATTGCCTGTGCACAGCTCCAGGTGTGGCCCATAACTGGCTAGGAGCTTCCACCTCCTCCCTCCGCTCTGCAAGAAGTCAGATAACTCAGAGGCTGCCATGTTAGGAGAAACTCTGGAGGAGGAAAAGGCACCTGGAGAGATGGGGGAGCTCAGGGGTTCTGAGGCTCCAGACATGAGGTGAGGCCATCCTGGAGGTGGGTCCTTCAGCCCCAGCCACCTTAACTGGGCCCATGTAGAGCAGAGACAGCCACCCAGCTGGCTCTTCCCGATTGCCTGACCCACAAAACCATCAGCAAAATACAGAAGTTGTCCTAGGCTCCTAAGTTAAGAGGTGTTTGGTTGGACAGGGATAGGTAACTAGAACCTCCATAGTGGCCGAAAGATAACTGGCAGCAGTAGATCACTGGAACCTCCACTTGGCCATGCCTGACCTAAAAGGAGGTTAAGAAAACAAATGTTTAGTTTTTCCAGCCCCAAGATACATGGAGGTAAAGGAGAGGCTCCTCCCACCAGGCGCCCCTGGTTCTCTTTACTTTTGTGATTGAACCAAATAAAAACATCCACCACGCATTGGGCCCTATGTGTCAGGCACACGCAGCTTCTTTCACAAGGCAGGCGGTATTTATGGCTCCCATTTTGCATATGGTAATTACCCAGATTGTCCAGCTAGGAAGAGTTTGAGCCTGGCTTTGGACCCATGAAGGTCAACGCCTTACCCACCTGCTTTGTGGCTATAGCTATAGTGGAGAGTGAGTAGGTTAACAGCTTGGAGAACAGCGTTTTTGGTAGAAGGAACAGCCAGCCAGAGCAAGGATACACAGAATGATGACACAGCGAGGCTGGGGAGGGAACAGGGGTTGTGCAGGATGTGAGTCAGAGACCAGGCTGTTTTGCGGCCTCAAAATCTTGGACTTGAACCTGGAGGCAGCAGGGAGCCACTTCAGGGTCCGTTTCTTTAATTAAAATATTTGAATCAACAATAGAGTCGCATGGCTCACAAACCAACAAATATACAAGGGAAATGGAAAAGTTTCCTTTTGACGTCCCCACTCCCATTTTCATTAGTCTCCCAGGTTAGTTTTCTGTGTCGCCTTTCAGAGTTTAAGTGAAACAATGGTCAGTGAAGATTCTTATTTTTCCTGTTAACACAAAATATTATGGTGTCATTCTGCACCTGGCTTTTTTTGCTTAGTGATGAAAAATTTACCCTTTAAAGTGTATATAATTCAGTGGTTTTTCAGTATGTTTACAGAGTTGTGTAACTGTGACCACTATCTCATTCTAAAATACTCTCATCACCCCAGAAAGAATCCTGACTTTCTATTTCCTTTGTTTTTTTTTTTTTTTTTTGAGATAGAGTCTCGCTCTGTTGCCCAGGCTGGAGTGCAGTGGCACAATCTTGGCTCACTGCAACCTCTGCCTCCTGGGTTCAAGGGATTCTCCTGACTCAGCCTCCCCAGTAGCCGGGATTATAGGCACCCACCACTACTCCCAACTAATTTTTGTATTTTTTTTTTTTTGAGAGAGTCTTGCTCTGTTGCCCAGGCTAGAGTAGAGTGGCACGATCTCGGCTCACTGCAACCTCCACCGCCGAAGTTCAAGCAATTCTCTGCCTCAGCCTCCCAGGTAGCTGGGATTACAGGCACCTGCCACCATGCCTGGCTAATTTTTGTATTTTTAGTAGAGACCATGTTTCACCATCTTGGCCAGGCTGGTCTTGAGCTCCTGAACTCATGATCCATGAGGATCATGGCCTCCCAAAGTGCTGGGATTACAGGCATGAACCATCGCACCCAGCCCAATTTTTGTATTTTTAGTAGAGACAGGGTTGCACCATGTTGGCTAGACTGGTCTAGAACTCCTGATCTCAAGTGATCTTCTGCCCCAGCCTCCCAAAGTGCTGGGATTACAGGTATGAGTCATCATGCCCAGCTCTTTCTATTTCCTATATTGCCCTGGCAACCATGAATCTCTTTTCTAATAGTTTATCTTGCAGATCTTTGCATATCAGAGCACAGAACACTTTTTTTTTTTTTTTTTTTTTTTTTTTTTTTTTTTTTTTTGGAGAGAGGGTCTTGCTCTCTCACCCAGACTGGAGTGCGATGGCACAATCACAGCTCCCTGCACTCTCCTTGACCTTCCTGGCTCAAGCGATCCTCCTGCTTCAGCTTTCCAAGAAGCTGAAACTACAGGTCCATGCCACCATGCCTGGCTAAGTTTTAAATTTTTGGTAGAGACAGGGATCTCCTTATATTGCTCAGGCTGGTCTTGAACTCCTAGGCTTAAGGGATTCTCCCACCTTGGCCTCCCAAAGTGCTGGAATTACAGGAGTGAGACACTACACCTACCTAGTCTTTCCTTTTTTTATTTGAGTAATAGGTAGGGTCTCAATGCACAGGTATATTGTGATTTATTCACAATCCCATAAGCATAGCTATTGGGTTATTTCTAGTTGTTCTCTGTTATACACAGCCCTGCACTGAATAGCACTGGACCACAATGGATAGCAGCATTGTGCCTGCACATAAGCAGCATAGTAGGACACGTTCCTAGATATATAATTGCTGGGTCAAGGGCTCCATGGGAATTTGCAATTTTGATATATATTTCCAAATTGCCCACCACAGGGTTGTACCACATGGACTCTCAGATATGGAGGATAGATTGGGGCCAGTGTGGCTGTGGTGGGGTGGCAGGGCTGGTGGGGAGGGGACTACTGTGGCATTCCAGCTGAGGGATGAGGACCCTTGGAAGGTTAAACCCAAGGGACAAGGACATGGTGACTGGTTAGAGACTGTCTGAGGAGAGGATGGTGAGAGTTACTCACGATGATCCCTGGAGGTGGCATTCCCCCACTGTCCCCCACTGTCCATTCTCTCCTGCTTCTACAGTAATTGAGTTCTTAGCTGGCATGTGGGTGCCTAGCTGATGCCTACTTTCCCAGACCCTCTTGCAGCCAGGTGTGGCCATGGGATCAGGTTCCAGCCAATGAGCTGTGAACCAAAGTGATATGTGCAACTTGCAGGGCATGTCCTTCCTCTGCCCCTTTTCTTCTCACTGGCTGGAGTGCAGATGTGAGGGCAGGAGCCAGAGGAACCATATTGGGCCATGAGTGGGAGTTTCCTGTTAGGCAGAGCAAGAAGACAGAGGAAGCTTGGGTCCCTGGTGAGAGAGAAACAAACCTCTCTCTCGAGTTTAAGCCACGATTATTCTGGGTCTCTCTTAGAGTCACTATACATGAATGACAGTTTCTGTCCTCCTGCCAGTGTGTGCCTTTCACTAAACCAGAGGCTGCAAAGAGACAGCCAAGCTGTTTTTACTTTCTGGATATTGAATCTCACTCTGTGCCAGGTGTGGTCTTGGGTGCTGGAGTGTGGTGTGGCCAGGGCAGATGCAGTCACCTTACCTGGGGACCATCACACAAGGGCCTGCAGGAGGGGCTGAGCTGGAATGGGGCTCAAAGGTCTCCTGAGGAGGTAACATTTAAGCTGAGACCTGCAGGAGGCAGGGCCAACGCAGGAAGGGAATGTAGTGTCAGGCAGAGGAAACAAGAGAATGGCAAATTTGCGGCTTGGCAAGAAGTTGTGGATGGAAGTGGAGAGTGCAGTGACACGATCAAGGCTACTGTGTCGCTGGCCACTTTGTCCAGGACAAAGTTTAGGATAAAAACTCTCACACCAAGAGAACACAGCCTGCCCTAACTTCCCCTTCTGGGTGGGTTGTGGTCATTGGGAAATATTTAGTGATTGGCCGTTTAACTTTTAGAAAGATTCTTCCTAGATTTGGGACCCCGTGAGAAATTAAACACCAACCTGCATCTGGAACTTTTCTTCCCAGCGTCAATGTTACGAAGTTATCCAGTGGGTCCCTCTTGGTCATCCCAAGCTAACCACCCTCAGGGAATTAATCATATCGCTGTTCCTGCCAACAACAATATTCATTCAGGAGAAAGCAAACAGTCAAAATTGCACACTGATAAGATGGGTTTGGAAGCTCATAAAGAAGAGAATTTTCTACAGCTAGACAAATTACAATTTTCTCGCCGGGCACGGTGGCTCACACCTGTAATCCCAGTACTTTGGGAGGCCGAGACGGGCAGGTCACCTGAGGTCAGGAGTTCGAGAGCAGTCTGACCAACATGGAGAAACCCTGTCTCTACTGAAAATACAAAATTAGCTGAGGCAGGAGAATCGCTTGAACTGGGGAATTGGGGAGGCGGAGATTGCGCCATTGTACTCCAGCCTGGGCAACAAGAGCGAAACTCCGTCTCAAAAAAAAAAAAAAAGGAAAAATATATATAATTTTCTTAATTTTCTTACATGCACACACCAAAAAGCAAGGGCTCATGAGGCATGTTTCATGTCCAGCTTAAAGGGAGCCCAACATAGAGAATTTACAGGGATTTTCACCTTTATTTATCTTTGCTCTTTTAGGGGACTGAAGGCCTTGCTGGTTTCCTTTTCTCCTATTTCTGTTCCTATGTGGGGATATGACCTTTGAGGTGAAGTTGGGATTCATATGGATGCACATTTGGGGAGACTGTTGAGATTTACTCAGTTATTTATGGAGCATTTATTCATTTTAAGCATTTATTCACTCAACACGCATCCCATGCGTCATTGGCTGGCAGAGGGCTGGGGGCCCAGGGGTGGGTGGTGCATGACCCCTGCCCTCAGGTGGTTGTGAGGGAGTCCTGTGAATGGACAATGACAGTACTGTGTGACAGGTGCTATGCGAGGGGCTGTGGGGACACAGAGGGAGGCCCTGAAGCAGGCTGGATGGGGCTTGGGGAAGGTCTGTTGGAGCCTTGAAGCAGGGTCCTTTCACTTGGGTCTTGCCAGTTGAGTGAGAGCTGGCCAGGTGTAGAAGCAGGATGGATTCGACAGGGAGGGAGAACAGACTAGCTGAGGGCTGGGGGCTGGCAGGGCATCCCAGTCCCAGTCCAGGAACATGCAAAGACCCAGGGTAGCTGAGGCTAAGCGGATGGGGCCTGGGGGCTGGTGATGAAATGCAAGAGGTAGCCGGACACTCGTGAGCAGGGCTCATATGTCCAGCTGAGCGAGTGCAGGCTTCACTGCTCATACTGAAGCCCTACTATGTGCCAGTAAAGAGAGCAGGCAAAGCTGTGGACAACCTGGTCCCTACTCCCCCTGTTGCTGACAGTGTGCAGGACATGTCACCCCAAGACATAGCACCTCGGAAATGGAGAAAACATCAGAAGCAGGAAGGCCACTGTCTGCCTTTCCCAGGCCTTGCTGTATGACCACTGGCATGAAAGGATTCTCTGACCCACTCCCCTGAAAGTAGAGACCCTCATGTGACAGGTGTCCTGACCTGTACCCAGAGGAAAGGAATGAAGACACAGAACTGCCAAGACGCATCTGAACAAACAGGGCCTTGCTGAGCACCTCCAGTTTAGGACCCTGAGATCACACCCCCTCTCTCCAATCACACGACTGTCCACTCTCCAGCAAACCTAGGCAGAAAAATGCATCGTTTTCCTGTGTCTTTGAGTCTTGATTTCTGAAGGTTCGCATGTCACATAAAACTTAGATGGAATCAATGCATCGCACTTTTCTCTTGTTAATATGTCTTTTCTTATAGGGGTGTCTGCTATGAAGCTTGCCATGGGGGAGGAAAGGGTATAGTTTTCTCCCCCTGCAATGCTCAGAGTGCACTTGGGAAACCATAAGCAGGTGATTATCATTGAGGCTTTAGGAGGTACGTTAGTTTCCTGTGGCTGCTGTACAAAGTGCCACAAACTGGGTGGCTTAAAACAACAGAAATGATTCCTCCCTAGTTCTGGAAGCTGGAAGTGAAATCCACATGTCCTGAGTCCATGTTCCCTCTGAAGCTCTTGGGGGTGGGGGATCCTTTCTCTCCTCTTCCAGCCTCCGTGATTGCTTGTAATCCTTGGCCTTCCTTGGCTTATGGCTGCCATCTCTGCCTCTTTCTTCACATGCCTCCTTCTTTGTCTGTTTCTGTGTCCAAATCTTCCTCTTCTTAACAGGACACCAGTCATGGGATTAGGACCCATCCTAATTGATGTGACCTCATTTTACCTTGATTGCATCTGCAAAGGGCCTATTTCCAAGTAAGGTGACATTCACAGGCACTACAGGCTAGGATTTGAACATATCTTTTGTGGAGACACAATTCAACCTGCAGTAAGATGCTAACCAAGCACACCCCTCTCCTCTGAATCTGCCTGAGCTCTAAATCCACTGAAGTCAGGTGGACAGCACCAAAGTATCCACTGTGCTCTGTCTAGAAGCTGGTGACTGTGTGGGATAAGTGCTGCACCAGTGCACCTCCTCTGGCCACCCCAGAATCAGGCAGGTTCACCCACGCAGTCCAAGCCACCCTGCAAGGCAGGAGGGATGAGAACGGCCATGAATGTCCCTTTCATGGAACCTGGATCTTGCAGCCAGGACAGGAGGTTGCCCTATCCTGAAAATTCCAGATGATGAGCATGGGCTGTGCAGTGCGCAATGGGAACAGAGGACAGACACAGACATCCCCAGACATGGTGCTTGGGTCTGTAGAGGGGTCCACAAAAAGAGACGATTGTAAATGGGACAGATAGGAAGGAGTCAGAAAGAGTGGAAGGTTGCAGCAGTCTTGGCAGAAACCCTGCAGTGAGAACTCCACTGGATGGGGGAACAGCATTCCCCCTGCCCCCCACAACACATTCCCCTCACATCCTTGCTTCTGGGACGTGTTCCTTTCAAATTGTCAAAATGTCAAAAGGAGGCAAGCATGCATGGTCGGTTACGCGTCCAAAATGAAATCGAACAACCCAAGGTCCTCCTGAGAACCAGCTAGGTCCCGACCACTTGCGCATTTGAATCATTTCTGATCTGGGTTTCTGGCCTGGGCTCTGCAGGCCCTAGCACCCAAGGAGGCCAACTCACTGAAGTAGCCTACGCTTCAATGTTTGGCTGTTTGCATTTCTTGACAAAGGAAATTTGTTGGGCTTAAGTTGCCAAGGGTTTGCATCTGGATCCTATGATGTTTGGCTTTGGGAGGGCTGTGCGCAGAACTGGCTCTGGGGCCTCCACCGGCCTCCATGTAATTAACTTAAGTGCTTCGAAGATGAAAGCTTATTTGCCTGATCCTGGATTATGGCATGTGCCGTGAAGGTAGGCAGAGCAGACCTCGCCAGTTATCTCTCGCTATTGAAGTTTCCAAAGAAACCAGTGGTGGACAGTGGAAGTCAGGAAGTTTGGGCATGTTGGAATTTATTAAATTTGCAGTTAAAAAAAAAAAAAAGTTCTGGTTGCCAGCACAAAGAGGTTAAGTGGAAACAACTTTACATAATGAAGTGGTTAATCATATTTTGCTTTAGAAACACTAATATCATAAATTGGCCTCATACTTTTGTGCTTCCAGTTTCAACAATAGAGCAAAGACATTAATTTCCTGGTTTGGTATAACTTCTGGGATTTTCCTTCTGGGCCTCCTCCTCCTTCTCCTCCCTTCTCTCCCCCCTCAGCTGGAGTGAGGAAGATAGCTTTGATCCTAGATGCTCTGGAGGCCTGGGGGAGGTGAAAGGGGGGATGGTGAGGATTCCTACAGGTGATTTTTAGGCCTGAATTCCATTGTGACAGCAATGATTTATTTTAACTACTAACCCAGGAAAGCAGGCGCCACCAGGATGAATACCTCCATCAGCTTCTAGCAGACTAATTTTACTGTTTATGAATCACTAATATGTTTAAGAAAAAAAAAGGGAGTACTATTTTAGATAACTAAAAGTAAGACTTCGAGAAAAGACCTCATGGTGCTCAAACAGTTCCACATGGGAAAGATGACTTTGGATTACAAGATAGAGAACACATGGGGTCCAGAGAGCTGCCCCCAACCTCCGCAGCAGGCAGAGGCTACTGGCAGATGAAACACTTTCATCTCTCCCAGGGAGATAAACAGGCCGGTCTGGATGGGCCTCTTTATTTACAAAAGAAAATTAAATCCGTTTTAACACTTGCACCATTCATAGGAAACACATGTTGGCTGGTAATTGTTTTGAACTCATTTTGAGCTGGGCTGCACCACGTTGGGCTGCCCTTGCGTTTTCGCACTGGTTTGAGATGGCCGTGGAATTTGCAAGGAATTTTCTTCCCAATTCCAGAGGCTCCACGAGGGGGCCGTTCCTTGGCCAAGCTGGCAGAAGAGCACTGTTTGGCTTCCTGCCTCCTGGAGGGAAGCACTTTCCCCTTATTGGGAGAGGGCTGCCCCCAGCGCCCCTTGGCCCCGCATTCTTATCGGGAGATTGGAAAGAATCAAAGGGTCTCACGGCCCTAATTGAGCCTGAAGGGCTTCCTTCCCTCCCACCTGGGAGTTTTCTCAGAAGAAGAAATAAAAGGTTGGGTGATTTTCCCAAGAGTTTCTGTTGGAGTTTTACAGCTGCAAGGAGGCGTCATTCCGAATTTGGGTGTCACCCAGCTTTTCGAATGCTAATATGCATACGATTTCCTGGGGATCTCGTGAAATGCAGATTCTGATTCAGTGGGTCGGGGGTGGGGCCTGAGATTCTAACATTCTCGCTGATTGGGCTGATCAGAGTCCCATACATGACGTTCTCAGACCTTCCCTTCCAGCGCATCAGAATCAGGGCTCGTTAAAATGCAGATCGCGGGGCCCCTCCTGCAGAGGCTCTCATTCCACAAGTCTCGGGTGGAACCTGAGGATTTGTGTCTCTAGTAAGCTCCCAGGTCATGCTGATGTTGCTGGTTTGGGGAGAACACTTTCAAACCACTGTCCAAAACCAATGCCCTGAGAAGAAGCGAGCGCGTTTTTCCATGGGGTTCCCTACTGTCCAGGCACCAGGAATGGCTCTGCTTGAGGGCAGAAGATGGGGTTTGACTGAGAAGGTCTAGGCTGCCGTTCTCCATTGGACGTATTTTCTGGAGCTGTTCGCTTACCCTGGAAGGCCCCTTTTCTTCCTCTCTCTCCAAATTGCCTCCCACTCATTTCCAAAGCTCAGTGCCGGCGTCACCTCCTCCAGGGAGCCTTCTTTTCCTCCAGGCCTGAGTTTGTTTCTGCAGTACATTTTGCATGTCTGTATCATCACTTCATTTCACCACAGTGACCTATTTGCAGGTAATAGATAGTGCGGGAGGTCCTCTCTGAAACCTCAGAGAACAGGACAGAGAAAGTAGCAAGCAGATATTTCTTAAATGAATGAACAAATATCTTTCCAGTGGCATCTTTGCCTGCTGTGTGTCCTTGGACAGGTTATTTAACCTCTCTGATGCTTGGGTTTCCCATCTATAAAGTGAAAATGGTAATGTCTACCCCACAGAGTTGCTGTGACTAGTTCTAATGTATGTAAATGGGCCAGTCACAGACAAGTCATAGATGAAGCTTTTGTTGTTTTTGATATTTTTAGTGTGAATTTTTATTATTGTCCTCAAGGTCAATATTTTTATCCTTAAAGTCACTAATTTGACTAAGGTTTTGCCCTAGTTGACATAAAACATATTTTGAGGATGTTAAGCCGTTGGGGGGAGATACGAATATGACTCATATGTCTTCAGCACTTTACAGTTTGCCTGACAATTTTGCCACAAGTTAAGTCATTTAATCCTCACAAAAGTCCAGCCTAGGAAGTACTATCAAGTTGAGGCTCAGAGAGGTGCCGGCGCTAACCCACGTTCACACGCGGCCCTTTTTCAACCTCGTTGCCTCAAAGGCGGGGAGCTGTGCTCATTGAGGACTTGGTCTGCTTCCCCAGGCCCACAGCTCGAGGACGTGAGACCTCACTGTCTTTTCTAGCTTAGAAAACAGCTCCTGCCGAAAATCGCAGAAAACCCTCCTTTCTGAGGTTCCAATGTGTTTTCTGAGGAGTGTGTTTATCCCGGATATGTGTTCCCTCTCCCAGAATTCTGGGGTCGGCTAGGCTTAGGAGCTTGGTATCCTCCGCCTCGTTCCCGAGGCCCTAGACACCCCTCAGTGAGGAAGCCATTGCGGGAGGGCTCAGCGTTTTCTGGACTTCACAGCTGTGGCATTCCCGTTCCTCGACGCCAGTGGGCGCTCTGCTCGTCCTTCTCCCTTCCTCCGAAGCAGCCTTGGCTCCGTCTTCAGGATGTTCTTCCCACCGCCTTTGGGATTTTGGAAGGCCGTTCTCCCTTCCCCACTATTTCTAGCTTCCTCTAAGTCTCTGAGCAGAAAGGCCTTTCCTGACCAGCTTATGGGCAACGGTGACCCCGCCCCTTACCTGTCACCCTCCCCCATTTTACTTTCCTTCATAGAACTCATGACCAGCCAGCTGACATGGTTCCTGTTGTATTTTTGTGGTCTGGCTCTGCCCAGTAGGATACAAGCTTCATGAGGGCTGCGACAATTGTACTTTTTCTCCACTGTTTTCCCGGTGCCCACAACAGCACCTGGCTCATTGCAGGCACTCAATGAACATTTGTTGATGAATGAATGAATGAGGCTGGATTTGGTCAGAGGTGTTGGAACCAGAGCAACTCCATCTTGAATAGAGGCTGGGTAAAATAAGGCTGAGACCTGCTGGGCCGCATTCCCAGGAGGTTAGGCATTTTTTTTTTTTTTTTTTTTTTTTTTGAGACAGAGTCTCGCTGGGTCACCCAGGCTGGAGTGCAGTGGCGCAGTCTCGGCTCACTGCAAGCTCCGCCTCCCAGGTTCACACCATTCTCCTGCCTCAGCCTCCCGAGTAGCTGGGATTACAGGCATGTGCCACCACGCCTGGCTAATTTTTTGTATTTTTAGTAGAGATGGGGTTTCATCATGTTAGGCAGGATGGTCTCGATCTCCTGACCTTGTGATCCGCCCGCCTCGGCCTCCCAAAGTGCTGGGATTACAGGCGTGAGCCACCACACCCCGGTGACGAGGTTAGGCATTCTAAGTCACGGGATGAGACAGGAAGTCAGCACAACAAACCGATCATAAAGACCTTGCTGATAAAACAGGTGGCAGTAAAGAAGCCAGCCAAATCCCTCCAAAACCAAGATGGTGATGAAAGTGACCTTTGGTCATCCTTATGGCTCATTATATGCTAGTTATAATGCATTAGCATGCTAAAAGACACTCCCCCCCCCAGCACCAGGACAGTTTACAAATGCCTTGGCAACGTCAGGAAGTTACCCTATATGGTCTAAAAAGGGAAGGAATCCTCAGCTCTGGGAACTGCCCACCCCCTGGAAAACTCATGAATAATCCATCCCTTGTTTAGCATATAATCAGGAAATGACCATAAAAGTGGACAGCCATCAGCCCTCAGGGCTGCTGTGCCTATGGAGTACCCATTCTTTATTCCTTTGCTTTCTTAATAAACTTGCTTTCACTTTATGGATTCAACTAAAATTCTTCTCGAGCAAGACCAAGAACCCTCTCTTGGCTTCTGGATCAGGACCTGTTTCCAGTAACAGACTGGCTGCATGAGTGTCACTCAGCATCTTCCCAGTTGGCTCTGGCTATGGGCATCTGGCACCCAGATCCTAGTGCTGGCTCCTTCCAGGCCCAGGCCTGAGCCCTGCCACAGAGGCAGCCCTGGAGAGGCAGAATTGCACCTCAGTGTGATCGGTTGTGTTCAAGAGGCAGGCGGCATAGAACAATGAAAAACCAAGAGCGTAACAGTCAGGCAGATCTGAGTTCAAATCCTGGTTCTTCCTCTGCTTAGCATTGTGGTCTTGGTCAACTTACTTTGGTGTCCTGAGCCTCAGGCTGCCATTGTTAAATAATGATTCCCACCTGGCACGGTGACTCATGCCTGTAATCCCAACACTTTGGGAGGCCAAGGCCGATGGATTGCTTGAGCCCAGGAGTTCAACAACAGCCTGAGCAACATGGGGAAACCCTGTCTCTACAAAAGAGGAAATGTGTTCTGTATCCTCCTGCTGGCTCCCAAACCTACCTCTAGCTTACAAAACCCAAGCACTTTGTGCTACCCTGGACATGGTTAAAGCTAATTCTTGAAGCAGAAGTTGGCGGAATGTAAAAAAGCCTTTGCTAAGGACTTGACCAAGGGAAAACTCCAAGCTTGGAGGCCTCCTAACTGCTGCATTCTCAGAGCAGTCTCCCACCCAGGGCGAGAGCTCCTGCCATTCAGGAGGGACCTTTCTCTCTGGTGAGCTTTGAGGATGGGCCTGTGACCTTTTCCCAGCACCTTGGCTCCAGAAAAAATGTGCAGAAGCCTTTTTTCCTAGAAGCCTTGTGATTACTCTGAAACCAGTGCTCATGGGAGTGGCTGCAGGAATAAATCTTGAAGATGTTTATCCTGAAAATTCCAGGTCTAATTTATGTCCTCCTCCAAACAGCATCTTGGCTTGCCAGCCATTAGGGTCATCATACACGGAACAACATCTCTGGGTCTCAGAGCATAAATACCTACTGTCAACTGGGCTGGGAGAGGGCAGGCTCTTTATGGATGGGGGATTGGGATTGAGGGGTCTGCTGGGCTTCCAGTTACCTTCCAGCCCCCTCCAGAGGAGGTGATACTGCTTTTATCAACTCCTTGTAAGATGAGATTTAAACCTAGTCAGTCCCTAGGATTCTATTGACAGCAATTTGTAGGGCTGGGTGGAACACCCACAAACAAACCCAATTAGAAGAAACTTCTGACATGTTAGATAAAGATGACAAAGGGCCCGTCTCAGGCAGCAAAGTTAGTCATCGTTGCTGCAAACATGTCTGGATTCCTGGGAAGTTCTTTAGGGTTTAGTTACTTGGGGCAAAGAGAAAACTTAGCAGCTGAGTTTATTTTACAGAGACACCCAGGGAAGGGAGTGGAAGGAGCAGACAGACCTGGATATAAACCCTGGCTCCCTGAGTACGGGTGTGGGCCAGTGTGCAGGGCACAGAGCCTTTCTGTGTCAATGTGTGCTCAGCCTTGCACAAGCATGCATGTGTGTGTGTGTATGTGGGTGTCTGTGTGTCTTACGTGGACAGGGAGTGCCTGATACACAGTAGGTCCTCATGCTGGCAAACCCCTTTTTGCTGGTACACTTTTCTTTCTAGAACCCTCATTTTTCTGCCCTTCAAGTGAACGATGTGATTGATTGAGTCACAGATTGACGCATTCATTCGTTTACTGTTCAGTACATTCAGTACAAGTTTACTGTGTGCTTGCCTTGTGGTGGACACTGAATTCAGCAATGGGCAACATTCCAAGTATTAGGGTCTTTCTCCATTATTCAAGTGCTGTTGACTCCAGTGAGGACACTGTGGGCAGGCGTGGAGATGTGATGTACCCTGAGCAGACAGACACTTGAGTTTCCATTCCCAGCACCAGGGTGGTGCCAAGTACACAGTGACGTGCCACTCCCTTTGGACACGTTTATTACATTTACTGTCCTTTGTTCCCCCTGGAATGCAAGCTCCACGAAGGCGGGGATCTTCGTCTGTTTTGTTCACTGATATCCCCAGAGCCTAGTGCCCTGCTGATATAGTAGGCACTTGATAATGTATTTGTCGGATGAACGGGTAATATAGTCACTCACAGGCAGCTTTCAGGATGAGAATGTTTGTCTGATCCTCTCATTTATAAAAATCCTCACAACAACTACTCTCCACCCTGTCCCCAGTGTTGAAAGAATCTATAGAGTAGAAATAATCAGCCCATTGGCTATTTCAATAATATATTTAGTTCTGAAAAGCTCTTAATTGACTCTGACTCCTCTCTGAGTCCTTTCCTTAGACCTCCCTTAAAACTCTAGCCTGGTTTGTTCACTGTAGGACGAAGGAGTTTGGGAGACTCTGGCTCTGAAGGCTGCCTAGGAGCTTGGCAAAAGCGTCTGTCCGGAGTCCTGCAATAACCACGCCCCTCACCCCTTTACGACCACACCCACTTATTCCCGACCACGCCCACGCATCCCTCCTTTAGTCCCAGCCCCTGTCCCCTTCAGGACCACGCCTACCCCCTCCCTGACCACTCCCATCCCTATAGGACTAGCCTCTCCTCCCCTCAGGACCACGCCCCTCTCCCATTCCAGGCCACGCCCACCCCATTCAGGACCTCGCCCACCTCCTCCTCGGACCACGCCCGTTCTCCTCACGCCCACGCCCAGCTCATCTTCCATTCAGGTCTTCTACTGCGAGTGGACTTTTGGAAGCCTCTTTGATGGTTGCAGCATTAGTAGTATTTCTCTGCACACATTATCCTGACGCCGATTCAGACCACGTTCCCTTACCCCCTGACTTTGCTCAAAGAGACAGATCTCCATACTTCTTCCCTCCATTTGCTATCTTAACTCCACCCACCATCATCACACGCATATTGTAGGAAATTTAGAACATAAAGGTGTAAAAAGCTGAAAAACTTCTATCCATTTATTCTACTACTCTGAGGACTGGAGATAATCTTTTGGCCCGTTTCTAATAGTCTATTTCTTTTTCTTTATGAGTTTATTAGTAGGTTATGCAGACAATTTTGTGTTCTGTTTTTATCATTTAAAACGATCTCACATATTACCCATTTCTTTAAAATAGTTTGTAAATCTCTCTCTCTCTCTCTCTTTTTTCTTTTGAGACGGAGTTTTGCTCTTGTTGCCCAGGCTGGAGTGCAATGGCGCGATCTCGGCTCACCGCAACCTCCGCCTCACGGGTTCAAGCGATTCTCCTGCCTCAGCCTACGGAGTAGCTGGAATTACAGGCGCCCGCCACCACGCCCGGCTAATTTTTTGTACTTTTAGTAGAGACGGGGTTTCTCCGTGTTGATCAGGCTTGTCTGGAACTCCCGACCTCAGGTGGATCCACCCGCCTTGGCCTCTCAAAGTGCTGGGATTACAGGCGATAGCCTCCGCGTCCGGCCAAATCTCATTTTTAAATGGCTGCTTAATAATTCATGGTGTGAATGAGGCATCATTTCTTAGTCCCTAATTTTTTGGACATTTATATTAATTCCAGTTAACAATTAGGTGACACATGTAATTGTGCACACTTCTTTGTCTGCATTTTGACATATTTCCTAAGGATTGATTGCTCTAAGTAGCTTTACAAGGGGTCAGAGAGCACTGATGTTTTTCTTTTTCTTTTTCTTTTTTTTTTCTATTGTGGTAAAATATATATAACATAAAAGTGACCTTTTAATTGTTTTTAAATATTGTTCAGTGGCACTGAGTACATTCATATTATTATACCACAATCAACCCCATCCATCTGCAGAATTTTTCCATCTTGCAAAACTGAAACTCTGTCTCCATTAAATATGAACCCTACCCCTGCTCCTCCAGGCCCTGGCAGTCATCATTCTGCTTCTGTCTCTATGATTTTGACTACTCTAGGAACTTCAGACAAGTACAGTATTTGTCTTTTTGTAACTGATTATTTCATTTGGCATAATGTCCTCGAGCTCTACCCATGTTGTGGCATGTATCAGTATTCCCTTCCTTTTTGAGGCTGAATAATATTCCATTGCATGTGTATGTATTACTTTTTTTTTAATTTTTTTTTTGAGACCGAGTCTCTGTCGCCCAGGCTGGAGTGCAGTGGCGCGATCTCATATGTATTATGTTTTATTTATCCATTCATCTGTCGTGGACATTTGGGCTGTTCCCACCTTTTGGCTATCGTGAATAATGCAGTTATGAACATGTGGGTGCACCAGCCTTTTAAAGATTCTTAATAAGCTTTATCATCTGGAAAAGTTGTACCAATTTCCATATCCACTAGCAGTGGCTGCATGAGTGCCTATTTTACTATATTCAGCACTTGACAGCAATTTTCAAAATGGAAGACCTGTGAATATTGAGGGGGACATGCTGTAATGAAATTACATGTAATAATAGGAAAAGGCTTATTCTCTTTACCCACTCACCTACCCTTCTTCCTTCCAAACACCTACCCATCCACCTATCTGTCCACCTGCTCACTTACCCACCCTTTCTTCCACCCACCTATCCATCTACCTATCCATTACCCACCCACTTGCTCACCCATCTACCCACCCACTCACCTGTACAGGTATCCACCCACCTGTCTACTGGTCTTACATATTTAATCCGCCTGCCCATCCATCAGTCCATCCATCCATCCATCCATCCATCATCTATCCACCCATCCATCCACCTATCCAGCCATCCATCCACCCACCTATCCATCTACCCATCCATCCATTCACCCATCCGGTTATCCACCCATCATCCATCTATCCACCCATCCATTCATCCACCCATCCACCCATCTTTTCTGTCTTTTCCAGCTCCATCTTCTTGAAGCTACTCTCTTATTTGTTTACAACACAACAGAATAAGAAGATGAGAATATCTAAGAATCGTTCTCTCTCTGTCCTTTATTCCTGCAGGGGCATCTGAAAGGTCACACTTTATTACCTTTCTAAGTCATTCCCCTGCTCCCTGCCTTGGGCCCCCAGTCTCTTTGAAATTCCTCTATTGAATCTTTGAATCTTTTAAATAAAGATCAAATTTCTCTGCCTCCTCCCACCTCCTAGTTTGCACCATGTTATACTTTCAATTGTTACTGTGGAGTTACAGTTTCACCAAGGAGCCTCCCCTGCTTTTGTTCTTTCCTAAGCAGGTGGGTTGGTGAGGTGGCTGCCTGTGATTCTAGTGGCTTTTATGGGGGCCTTTGGCAGAGGAGGAGTTTCTGAGCTCTGAAATATCTCCTTTTGTAGATAGCATCTTGGGCCTGGAGCTAAGAGAATTAAGAGGTATTTACAATGATTTACAGCAAATGTTATACTATGTTACAGTCTCACTTTGTCCTGAAATTTGTAAGGCAAGATCTGGTGTGCGTGTGTGTGTTTTAATGTAAGCATAATGATAGGCATATTATATGGGGGTATTTCTATAAAAAGTAGAAAACAACTATAATATTTATCTCTCTATTAATTCCCTGGAAATCACTCTAGGATGGATTTAAGAAGAGAGGTTATCTCAAATAAATGGAATAAATAATAAGCAAAAAAGCATTTTAGAATGAGGCCGAATTGGCATCCAAAATAAAGTGAGGGATAAGAAGAAGATCCTAAAGTTGGCTTAACAAATGCTTTGATCTTTTACAAATGGGTTTCTCAGCTAAAAAGAAAATAGAGAGAAAGGTGTACTGTCATAGAGTTCACATTTTACAAAGCAGGTCATTTCAGACTCTGCTGGAGGGTGTGCTGCTCCCCCAGCTGGAGTCTGCACTGACTTCAGACAGGAGTTCTAACGGAGGGCACGTGGCTCATGCACACTGCGTGTTTCTCCATCATCTTTTATAGCGGCAACCCCACTTCCCCAGTTGTTTACTTTGAGGGCAATTTCCGTATCAGTCCAATAGGTACTTGAGAGAGAGAAGCCCTTTTATAAAATTTAGCTTAGGATTAAGCCAAAAATACCACCATGTGGGGGAAGATTCCTGTTCCAAACACTACCTGTGTGTGTATCCATGCACAAGGCTCTCGGCTTCCAACTGCCACGGGGAGTTCACGGCAAATACCGTCCATTCCCAAGAAGCCAGCATTGATCACTGTCGAGCACTGAGGAGACTGGAAACAGGGCGCAGTTGTTATTTTAGAAGCAAACTACTCCCTTTCCTACTGCCTTTCCTAAGGACTCTCTTGTAGTTGGGCTTTCCTGGGGCTATTTCAGTTCTTTTGGGCCCTCTGACCAAAAAAAAGTTCATTTAAATTTTCTTTTTTCAAATTTTCAAATGACATTTGGAGAAAAGAGGAGGGGAGCTGAGGTAGGACAGTGTTTGCCTCAAAGTAAACCACTGAGAGAGTGGGGGTGCCACTATAAAAGATGATGGAGAAATACACCCAAGTGTGCACTAATGAGAATCCACATCTTCCCCCAAATCCATATAGAAGAGTTGGCTTCAGGAGGACATTTCCAGAACTTTCCAGAAAGGTCTTCACTTACCCCTTCAGAGAATCTTCGCAACCATTTCTTCTCCAGGGGAGCAAACTTATTTCCCACAGCTTCCCATGAGTACCAGTGTCACAGCCATCCTCATGTAAGTGGCACTCTGCATGGCGGCCTCATGCAGAAGAAAGGCTACTCTTTGAATAACTCGTGTATTGTCATAGTTTTTACATCCTTCCCCCTCCTCCTTACCTTCTCAATTTCACTCTTCTATGTCCTATTCTTTAGTAATGTTTTTTAAAAAATTCCCTCTTTTCTTGTCTGTCTTTTCCTGTTCTTAAATATGTCGTGTTACTGGCAATTATGGATTTCTTTACGACTAGGGTCATATCTGTTGTGAGTCTTTCCCAGTGCCTTGCCTTCCTCCCCACCAAAAAAAAAAAAAAAAAAAAAAAAAGGCTCTGACTTGATAAGAAATTCTTTGACATTTTGAGCTGGGAAACTTCATTCAGCGGGATATTGCCGGCAGGAGGTCTGCCGCCCAGCTTAGGGTGCAAGCAGGGCTGGGGTGTGGGCGTTTTCCTGGGAGCTCCTGATTTACATCGACCTCAAGTATGAAGCCAGTAAAAGTGCCAGCGATGCTGTGTCTTTGAGGTTAAAAAATCTCTTGTGTTGATATGGCTAATTCTGGGCCACAAGTAGCAAAGTCCGCAGAAATGTATTTTCAGACTCAGGAAATCTCCAGGCTAAATTTAAATGCTCTACCTGAGTGCGCTTCTCAGTGAGGCTTTTGAAAACCGAGATGTGAAATGAATCGCAGATCACTTTAAAATGCGTTTATTCATCTTGGAAAAAGTCTCTCCGCTGAATTCTTTAGCTTCTCGGAGCCAAAATGTCTGTGCTGCATTAACACTCCCTGCCCCCACCTTTAGCTCCAGCAGCTTTCCAAGTGTGTCTTCTCTTTTCCTTAAAAACAAAACATTCTTCCCTTTTTCCCATTATGCAATTCAAGCTGGCAGTTAGCAAAGGCTGTAATTACCGAAAATATCTGTATAGCTTCATTACCGTGGACAAGTTATTGTCAGTACCGTGTATCAGTTTACAGCCATCTTTTCTCACTTTTCCCACACCGCTAACAATCCAGCAGTTAATACACATCTTTTAGCCATCCGATGTTGTTTGAGATAGTTGTGGTTGACAACAAAGAAGAAGTATTAGGAAACATACTTTGCAAAACATGTATTCCCCTTTGCAAGATGTAAAGGATGCGTTTGAGCAGCGGTGACCGCAGTGGGCTTGTAGTTCTCAGGTTCTACACAAGAGGGCACTTTGGTATCCCCTTGCACAAGACCCTGAGAATGACAGGGTGCTGTGTGGTAGTAACTTTCGTAAAAGTATTTCATATCCACGGCCTGCTTACTTTTGGCAAAATTACTTCCAGCCACAATTAAGAAAAGGGAAAGTTATATTTCTACAGAGTCCTTGTTTTACTTGTGTGCTCAACTTGCTTAGATGACTTAGTTTCCTAATGACAGCGCCTTCTAAGGAAGTGATGTGGATTATCCAACTAAGGTCGTGTCACTTTTGCGATCAGAGTCCACTGTGGGCAAAACCAGGGAATGTTCAAACGTTGTCCTTCAAAAGTCATCTCATCTCAAACTGTTACGCAGGTGATAAAGGTTCTAAATGAGCACTATCCGCTTCCTGTTTTTCATCCTTATCTCATTAATTAAACCCATGATCCATACCAGCACCTGCACCCCAGATATAGCTTCTCAGGTAGAGCTAAGCCAGATTTTGAGAAAAAATGTATGGCTGAATTATTAATAATTTCCACTGAGACATGAACTAATCCTTCCATTCCTACCTAAACTCTTTTCAGAGTTAAAAACAAACAAACAAAAAAACAAAACAGTTCAGGGCCAGGCACAGTGGCTCATGCCTGAAATCCCAGTGCTTTGGGAGGCTAAGGCAGGAGGATCGCTTGAAGCCAGGATTTCCATTCTGGACAACATATCGAGACCCTCTCTCTATAAAAAACTAAAAAATTAGCTCAATGTGGTGCTATGTGCCTGTAGCTACTCTGGAGGCTGAGGCTGGAGGATCACTTGAGCCCAAGAGTTTGAGGCTACAGTGAGCTATAATTGCACCTCTGCACTCCAGCCTGGAAAACAGAGTGATAGCCTATCTCTAAACACACACACACACACACACACACACACACACACACACACACACAAAATTAACAGTTCAAAAGAGGGTACCATGTTTAATCATTGTTAATAAAATTCAGACTAATGAAGTAAACACTGGTATAGCAATGTGGATAAAAGTTTTTATATTATATAGATGTGGGTTGAAGTTCAGATCTTCCCACAAGGTGACTTTGGAATAGTCACTTTTCAATAATGTACTCAACAAATTTTATTGAGTGCCTACTGTGTGCAAAGCACAAGGGATGCAAAGATGAGCTAAACCAGATGGGCCCTATTCCTAGGAGCCATAGTCTAGCGGAGAGGTAGATATTCATCAGAGTCACACAAATATGTGGACATTCAAAACTATCATGGCAGTTACCAGGGATGTCCCCTCATTTCCGTTTTTTTTTTTTTTTTTTTTTTTTTGGTGGTGGAGTCTCACTCTCTCACCCAGGCTGGAGTGCAGTGGCATGATCTTGGCTCACTGCAACCTCCGCCTCCCGGGTTCAAGTGATTCTCCTGCCTCAGCCTCCTGAGTAGCTGGAACTACAGGTGTGTCCCACCATGCCTGGCTAATTTTTTTTTTTTTTTTTTTGTATTTTTGGTAGAGACGGGTTTTTTCATTTTTTTTTTTTTTTTTTTGTATTTTTAGTTTAGTAGAGACAGGGTTTCACCATGTTGGCCAGGCTGTCTCAAACTTCTGACCTCAAGTGAGCCACCTGCCTCAGCCTCCCAAAGTGCTGAGATTACAGGCGTGAGCCACTGCACCCAGCTTGTCCCCTCATTTCTTGTTGGACACATGGTATGATTGTACTTACCCACCCCATTTGAGGTTAGGCATGTCCATGACTTGTTTGGCCCATGAAATGCAAGCATAAGGGCCATGTGTCTCAGTGATGGGTAGAAGCTTTACAAGCCAGTGCTCCGTTTGCCACATTCCCTTTCCACTGTGGCAGTGAGTGTGGAAGCGGGTGTTAAATTAAGCCTCTTCTAGGCTTGGGTCCCAGAGTGGCTCTGATGAATTACACTCCCACCCCCTGGCATCCCACAATGAACACATACCATGAGGAGAAATAAACCTTTGTTAAACCACTGAGATTCAGAGCTTGTTTGTTACTGCAGCAGAGCCTGGCCTATCCTGAGTGCTGCAGCTGCGAGACACGCAGGTACCTGGTGTTGTGAAAGGCTATCAGAGGGCGGATGGGCTGCTGGCAGGGTAGAAAAATATCTCTGAAGATGTGAAAACAAAGCTGAGGTCTCAAGAAGATAGGTAGGGGCCCCAAAGGAAGAGCATTCCAGAGTTTGGACTAGGGGTAGAAATGAAGGTGGAGAGATTTGTATGGATCAGCCTCGCTGAGCTCATTGGTACATGGGGCTCATAGATTTGTTGAGAAGATGAGCAATAACAAGGCAGGGTGCCCAGCCTGGGGCCTAGAATGAAGTAAGTGCTCAATGCATAGCAGTAACTAGCAATATGTGCCAGATACTGTGTTAAATGCTGCACATATAGGAACTCATTCAATTCCCACACAGTCCTATTCTTTAGGAACGATTATTATCCAGCTTATTTACTAACTGAAAGACAGGGAGGTTAAGTAACTTGGCCAAGGTCACTTAGTTACTGAGTGATGACACTTGGTTTTGGACTCCAAATCTATGCCACCTGACTTTCACTGTTGGTTTTGTCATTACTAGGATTTTAGTCATAAAGGCAAAAGGCCTATCTTCCTCTCTCAAGCTATAACAGGAGCAACTGATTACCAATTTAAAGCTGTGTGTGATGATGTACAACTACTTTTAAATCCCATTGATAGCCTGTATTAGTCAACTCTTGCCTGGTAATGCGGTGTAACAAACAACCACAATATTCGGAAGCATTCAACAATCAATATTTACTTCTTATGGGGGTAGAAGTCGTCTGGGGCAGTGCATTTGGGCTGGCCTCAGCTGGGCGGTTCTCCTTCAAGCTGGGAGTCTGGTGGCTGAGCTTGGCTGGGATGGCTTTGCTCTCTGTATACTCATTTTTCGTTATCTCTGAAGGAACATCAACTACTTGGGGACTCTCTTCTCAGGGTGATGGCAGAAATGCATAGAGAAGAAGTGCAAACCCATGATACATCTTCAGGCCTTGCCTGGAACTTGCAAGTGATTTGCTCAAGGAGGCAGAGCTAGGAACTACCAGGGCCAGATTCATACCCACGTCTGTTGGACTCCAACGCTGTAGAAAGCTCCACATCGTGCTGCCTTGCTTAGGTGGAGTATGATCCTTAGACGGCATCCAGGACAGAGGTGGTCACATTACATACATTTATATATTATTACATTAATAAATATATAATTTATACATATACTTATTACATACATACACTTATGAATGTCTATGTTTCCATAAAATTGCTGGATGTGAAAGTACCCAGGATTATCTGAGCAGGGGGCGGCCATGGGAGGTACTGTGGACGGAGCATGGCCTTTGGCATCTAAAGCTCTTTGCACTTAATGTTTCATCTGGGAGACTGTATGGCTGTTCCTGGCTGAGAAATTTGACTTTGACACCACGGCTGCAAAAAGTCCTGCAGACTTCAGCATCCTATGTTAATTTTTATCTAAGTGATGTGTTAGCTGATGGGGTTACTCTAACAGCAGAACAAAGTACAGTGCTTATTTCTTTAAAGTTTTACACTTTTCATTTCCGTTTCATTCTCTTTCTTTGTCTTTTGTTTTGTTTTTGTTTTTGTTTTTGTTTTTGTTTTTTTCTCTTTGTGGAGAACAGGATCTCGCTATGTTGCCCAGGGTGGTCTCAAACCCCTGGGCTCAAGCTATCCTTCTGCTTCTGCCTCCCTAAATGCTAGGATCATAGGTGTGAGCCCCTGTGTCCAGCCTTTCCTTCGATTTCTGTTGATTGTCTCTCTTAATAGTTTCATTGGCTAAGTTAACTCAAGAGTGATTTCACTCAGTTGGCTTACTCATAGAATGGGAATAGCATATCTACCCCACGGGCTTCTTGTGAAGATAAAATAAGACAATGTTTGCCCAGGGCAGGATGGGGATAGTAGTCTGCTGGGCCTCCCATGACAAAGTACTACAGACTTGGGGGCTTAAACCATAGAAGTGTATTTTCTTACAATTCTGGAAGCTAAAAGTCTGAGATCAAGGTGTCCACAGGGTTGGTTTCTAATGAAGCCTGTCTCCTTGACTTGCAAACAGCCCCCTTCTCCCTGTGTCCTCACATGGTCTTCCCTCTGTGTGTCTGTGTCCCAAAATCCTCTCCTTATAAGGACACCAATCAGATTAGATTAGGGCCCACCCTAATGATATAATTTAACTTTAGTTACCTCTGTAAAGGCTCTATTTCCAAATACACCCACATTCTGAAGCCCTGGGGGTTAGGACTTCAACATATAGATTTTTTGGGGAACACAAGTCATCCCCTCACAGCAGGTGATGTGAAGTCATGAGCTCCACCCTGGCCCCTTAGTAGCCACATCCTTGATCAAGTCCCTTCCACTACTGGGTCTCAGTTTCCTCATCTGGGAGGTGGGATTGATCCTAGGGGCCGTCAGTGGAGGAGGCTCAAGGAAGTCCTGTAGCTTCCAGCAGAACAAGGGTGTCCTTCAGGCAGCTCCTCGTGAGCAGAGGGGCAGCTGTCCTTTTTCTGCCATGTTTCAGTTGGGGCTGTCTCTTCTGCATTCTCTGGCTGGAAGGGACCTCTGAGGTCAGGTCAGGTGGTCTAGGTGACAAGTGAGGGTGGTGATCAGTTGACCTCTGTGACAGCTGCCACTCTCCTTCCCAGCCAGACTCTCCCAGCTATGCCTGTTTCAGGAGCAGGAATGGAGTGCAATGGATGGGAAGGCAGGAGAGCTAGAGGCCGAGGACCCAGCTGCAGACTTAACTCCCAGCCATTCATTTCCAGAGACAGGGCAAAGACCTTTATATTTTTTATTTCCTTCTTTTAACTTAAATGTCATTATTATTATTATTATTTGTTTTGTTTTGCTAAGAGATGAGTTTTCACTATGTTTGCCTAGGCTGGTCTCAAACTCCTGGCCTCAAGCGATCCTCCCGCCTCAGCCTCCCAAGTAGCTGGGATTAAAGGTGTGAGTTACTGAGCCTGGCTAAACTTAAACATTTTTGTGAAAATAGCTAATATAGTCACATAAAGCAAAATCAAAAAAGTCTAAGCAAATGTACAGTGAAAACTTTCTCTGTAACTCTCTCCCCAGCCTCCGCATTCCTTTCCCAGAAGGCTTCCAGTGTTCCAAGTTTCTCATGTATCCTTTGAGAGATGGGTTCTGTGCACACAAGCCAATATACGGCTATAGTCTTTTCTTCCCCTTCTCCCCTTCTGCTGTGCACTTTGATTTTCCTGCCTAACTCTCCATCCTGGAGGTGGCGGGAGACCAGCTCATGAACTTCCTTTATTCTGGTTGTCACTGCGCCTTTATCAGATGCCAGTGTGGGCTATACTGCAATTTAGTATCGATGCCTTATTGACAGACATGGTTGTTTCTAATATTTGGGGCATTACCTTAAAACTCTCCTGCCTCAATTTCCTCATCTATGAAGAATGCAGAACAGAGCCTGGCACAAGACATTCAATAAATATTGAAGAGTAATATATAAAGAGTAGCTCTTTTGGTCATTATTCTCCCTCTTTTTTCCATTTTATTAATTCATTCACGCATACTCTGAGCCTACGTGCATGCTGTTCTCTCTTTCCTTCCATGCTGTTCCCCTTTCCCCTCCCTTCTATACCCTCTTCCTTGGGTTGCCCAGCCATATGGTGTTTTAGTGCCTTGTCCTTCCCCTAATCGAAAGCACAAGAAGCAAAAGCACACTGAGCAGATAGCAATGAACTAATTGACAAAAATAAATAAGCAAGCCAACCAGACATTCATGTTATCAGGTTATTAATTCATTCATTCAAAAAATATTTTTGGGCACCTGCTGTGTGCCAGGCCCTGTGGTAGGCACTGGGGGTGAAATGTGACCCAGTGGTCACATGTCCTAGCTGAGGTGCCAAGACAGAGTTTATTAGACAGTGATAGAATTTGCAAGATAGGCCAGGCGTGGTGGCTCATGCCTGCATTCCCAGCACTTTGGGAGGCCAAGGTGGGTGGGTCACCTGAGGTCAGGAGTTTGAGACCAGCCTGGTCAACATGGCAAAACCCCGTCTCTACTAAAACTACAAAAATTAGCCGGGCGTGGTGGCAGGCACCTGTAATCCCAGCTACTTGGGAGCCTGAGGTAGGAGAATCACTTGAACCTAAGAGGCGGAGGTTGCAGTGAGCCAAGATCGCGCTACTGCACTCCAGCCTGGGCGACAGAGCAAGGCTCCATCTCAAAAAAAAAAAAAAAAAAATTGGCAGGATCGCCCACCACAATGCACATCTTGACAGGAAATATCCAAGAATGGCTACTGGACCCTTAGTCTAAGGCAAGGACATTAAGCAGATCAAGAGAGTGGAAATGGGAAGATATTTTTGAAGAAAGTTGTTGGTGTACAGGGCTGGGGATTGGGAAATGCTCTGTACAAATCCCAAACCTGGTTAAAAAAAAGGCACCCAAAGGATCATCGGAGGGCTTGCTGTGTGCCCTGTAGCTGGGCACAGGGCAGTGGTGCCTGCCTCTTGGTGAAGGCAGCTGAAGGGGCCTGTGGCAGCAGCATACGGGGGGTCACCTGTAAATATGCATCAGGTGCAGAGAGCAAGAAGCCATCTGACAGCAGCACCCATCACAGGAATATTTTTCTGGTTTTCTTCCCTCTCCTCCCTCTTTTTTTTTTGAGATGGAGTCTCACTCTGTTGCCCAGGCTGGAGTACAGTGGCGGCTCAATCTTGGCTCATTGCAACCTCTACCTCCTGAGTTCAAGTGATTCTCCTGCCTCAGCCTCCTGAGTAGCTGGGATTACAGGCACTCACCACCATGCCCAGCTAATTTTTGTATTTTTAGTAGAGATGAGATTTCGCCATGTTGGTCAGCCTGGTTTCGAACTCCTGACCGCAAGTGATCTACCCGCCTTGGCCTCCCAAAGTGCTGAGATTACAAGCGTGAACCACTGTGTCTGGCCCCTCCCCCTACTTTAACCCTGGTGGGGTCAGGAAGAACAGCCAGCATGGGAGAAAGGGAGAGGGCAAAGGAGGATGGATTCCTCTTCCTGGGCAGGTGCCCCATCTGGAGCCAGCCTGGGCTAGGGAGAAGAAAATTCCAAGTTTAAATTGAGCTCTGAGTTTTGGTTATTACCAAATTGGGACTGGCTATTTCATGCCGAATTGAAACCAGGATTATGGCTTAGAGTGATGGCAGAACTTTCTATTGCCTAAGAAGGAGCAGGAGAGTTGTGGAACTACGGAGTTTTCACCGGGACAGGGGATCAAGGGCAGGCAGGCAGGGACTTCAAGAAACAAAACTGCAGCTGCTTTTCTGATTACACCACAGGAATCCTCTGTGTTCAAAACTCTGGTTACATAATTTACATGAACGTGCTCAGGTCTTTCATTAAAATGCGTGTCCTTCTTCAGGCTCCCTGCTCCATGGGGGCAGGGGTTAAGTCTGCATCGCTCCCCATTTCATCCCCAGGGCCTGGAGCATAGCAGATGCTCGGCAGCGTTTACCGAGTGAATGGATGAAACCAGGGGCAGCCTAGATGTCCAGCCACGGGAGAGTTCATTTCTCATTGTAAATTAACACTTGGTATCTCAACCACATGCTTCGGTCCCTTGGGACTGTAAGGAATGTGCAGGCTGCTGGGAGGCCAGTCAGTTGTGGGGTCTACTGACTGGCTCATGGGTCTGGATGCCTCTAAGGTGGAGGCCTGGGTGAGTGGCAGGTGCCTTCTGGCAGGACCTGCCTCAGTGCTCAGGTGTGCTGCTTGCCTTGGGCAAAAATGAACCAAAACTTTCTTCCATGAGGAAGAAAGCGGAGCCTCGAGAGGAAAGTCCAGGCAGATCTCGGCTCCACCACTGACCCTCTGTCTGACTCAGCTTCCATAGTTGTAAAACAAAAGGGTTTTATGACATCCACCTAAGGGGAGCAATGGGAAGCAGGGGTTGTCCCAGGTTCAGGTCTGAGCTTCTGTTCCATGCACTGGCTAGAGTGTGATGACCCTGGGCAGGTCACTAAAATAGTAAATAACCCTTATTTATTACTACCTACTGTATGCCAGGGGTGTTTAGTGCTTTTTATATAGAGATATTAACTCATATACTCTTTACAACAGCAGTATGAAGTCGGCCACTTCATTTTACAGTTGAGGAAATGGAGGCACAGAGAGGTTAAGCAACTTGTTCAAGGTCACACAGCTAATAGTGATAAAGCTGATATAGGAACCTGTATCAATGTACTTGGGCTGCCATAACAAAATGTCACAGACTGGGTGGCTTAAACATCAGAAATTTATTTTCTCACTGTTCTGGAGGCTGGAAAGTCCAAGATCAAGGTGTCAGCACAGTTGGTGTCTCCTGAGGTCTCTTTCCTTGGCTTGCAGATGGCTGCCTTCTTGCTGCATTCTCACATGGTCCTTCTCCTGTGCATCACACTCCTGGCATCTTCCTATTCTCACAAGGACACCAGTTCTATTGCATCAGGGCCTTGCCCTTATGGCTTCATTTGCTTCCTTCCAGGCTCCCAAGTTTCAATTTTATCATGTATAAAAAGATAATTGTGATGATATCTACATCAGAGAGCTGTCAGAGGATAAAATGAGACAACATACAAAGGCCTTTTAAAACAATAGGACACTATTGTTACATGAAGATATTAAACAAATAAACCTCATAACCCCCAGAGTTTGAAGACATGAGGGTTGACGCTGGGGACCACATATTGGCTGGCTCAGTTGGAAAGACACTCTTTTTAATTGTCTCCTGACAGAATTCACAAGTTAACCCTCCTTGAGATGTCTATCACCCCTTGTCCATCCCTCCCCATCATCCTTGCTGTATTAGGCCATCTCCCACTGCTTGTTTGAGACTCAGTTCAAGTGTTGCCTCCTACAGGAAGGCCTCCTGGGTTTTCCTGGACTGAGTGGTTACCTTCGTTTTCACACAGCCTCCTGTTAGCCTTAGCACACACCACAGGTACTAGACAGCCTGCTACTTTTCAGCCTTTCCCAGACTGAAGCTCCTGGGTGGGCATGATTTTATCTTATTCTGCTTGTGCCGCACTGGGCACACAGCGTGTGGTCAAGTGAAATGTTTGGGGAAATGGATTGAATTTCTTATTTTCCAAAATACTTTTTCCTTTCACTTTTCCAGCTTTCATCCTTTATCTCGCACCCCCGCCCCGCCATTTTTTCTTTCTACATTTCTAAACATTTTTCTGATTTCAAAGCATAGCATGCCCTTCCTAAAAAAATTGGCAAATTTGAAAAAAAAAATCACATGTAAAATAAAAATCTGTGATTCCACTACCTGGATGTTTTTCCTTTACACAAAGTTCCATCCAATCATTTTCCCCTGTATGTATGTGTGTTTATATAGCTATATCTACATCTATATAATACATATATGTATGTGTGTACATAAGTGCATGTATGTAAGTGTATATATTGGTGATAATAATCACATAACTACATGCGCAATTTTGCCGCTTTTTCCTTTTCTTCACTTCTTATCAAACACATTCTCATGTCATTAAAATACCTTTGTAAACACCAACTTCCATGACAGCTGCACATTCTGTTGTTTGTGATATCGTTGATTTTCCCCTCTCTGTTTCTGAGGGCTCCTTCATAAACCACCTGTGGGTTCCCATCGTGTTCCTGCGTTCCCTCCTCCCTGGCTCCACGCTCCTTCAACATCTCTCCCTTCAAGCAGATGAGTCACTTCTTCCATAGCTTACAAATTGGTCTGGGCACTTTGTTCCTGGAGAATCACAGAATTTCACGTCCACAGATTCTTTCATCTTGAGGAACTCAAAGGCCTTTTTAAAGATGGAGACAGCTCCCCGGAGACTTACCTTGCCTGGGACCCTCGTCTTTATTCATCCCTAGTGCTTCCATCAAGTGAGCAGGTGTATAACATAGACAGCCCCATTTATGGATGGAAACACCAAGGCCCAGAGTGACTGTTTGCTTTTCCCGAGAAGTGGACTGTTGCTTTCCAGTTGGCTGATGCCCGCGTCTGCTAGGCTTTCATTAAGGATCACACCACCGTCTTTGCTTTTCCTTTCAGTCTAAACAAAGCCTAAAATAAAGTGCCTCCGAACACTGCATTCTTTCTAACGATTTCAAGAGGGCAGCCCAAACAACCTCTAGAGAGGCAGCTCCCTGGTTCGTTGCAATGTGAGCTCTCCCACTGCCTCCGATGTCTGCTTCCCTGTCTCCCCATTTCTCATCCCCACTCCTGCTGTCGTCCAGCTGTCTCCTCTCCCTGGAGTCGTTTCTCCTTTTTCCCTGACTAAATTCTTAACCTCTGAGACTCCTCTCCCAGGTCGCTTCCTCTGGAGGCCTTTTATCCTCTCCGAGTTGGAGTTCAGGGCCTCTCCCTTGGTTGGCTCTGCCCGTACTCAATCCTCCTGTCTGTGCTCACATCTCCACCAGGGTCGGCAAAGACTGTGAAAACAGGAGGAGAAATGTCCTGCTCGTGTCTATACTCCCGTTGCCTAGCACGGTGCCTGGGGGATGCTAAGCACACGAGTGTGTCCGAATGAAGCCCCTCAGTCACAGCTATCTACCATGTGGATTTTTGTGACATAAAATGAAAAAAGAGACGAGGGGAGATAGGAACTTTAGGAGAGGAGAAGGCAAGATTAAATCAAATTGCGACAATTATCCATACACAAGACATCGGGCTGACTCCACCTTCTGGACCCCCGTGCCAGTTACCGTCCTCATTTTAAAAGGGTACTTGGAGCCAGACGCAGTGGCTCACACCTGCAGTCCCAGCACTTTGGAAGGCTGAGGAGGTCAGATCAATTGAGCCCAGAGTTCAAGACCAGTCTGGGCAACATAGCAAGACCTCAGCTCTACAAAAAATAAAAATAAAATAATTAGCCAAGCATGGTGGTGTGCACCTGTAGTCTCAACTACTTGTGAGGCTGAGGTGGGAGGATCACTTGAGCCTTGGAGTTTGAGGCTGCAGTGAGCCAAGATCACACCACTGCACTCCAGCCTTGGCAAGAGAGTGAGACCCTGTCTCAAAACAAACAAACAAAACAGAAGAGAATTTGACATGCAGTTTATCTATCCATGTCATATGCATTGATCCCAGTGAAGCAGTCCTCCTCCATTCTCCAGCCTGGCCGCCTCTGGGCACCCTTTTCCAGGTGGTGCCACTGGGACACCATGACCATGTGAAGCTGTGCGCAGACAGCCAGAGGCCTCCCCCTGGAGCACCAGACTCCATTGCCTCTTGCTCTCGGGCTTTCCTCACTCAGGTGTTCACCAAGTATTGCAGAGAGCTTCCGAAGATGACCTCAATGATTTCCTCCTCCTGGTAGTCACACCGTTGTGTAAGCCCCTGCCCTTGACTGTGGGCTGGACCTAGTGAATCATTTCTAACCATAGAATATGGCAAAAATGATGGGATGTCACTTCTGTGGTTAGGTTCGAAAAAGGCCATGGTTTCTGTCTTGCTAGCAGATTCTTTCTATTGACTTCTTGGCTTGCATCCTTTGATGAAACCAGCAGGAGGCCCATGTGGCAAGAAACTGAAGGTGACTTTCAGCCAAAAATCAGTGAGGAACCGGAGCCCCCATTCAGCAGCCACATGAAACTGAACGCTGCCAACAGCCACTGAGTGAGTGGACCCTTCCCCCTTAGAGTCTTCCCATGACATCACAGCCCCTGGACTGACACAGCTTGATGGCATCAGCCAGAGACCGTGAAGCAGAGCACCCAGATAAGCTGTGCTTGGACTTCTGACCCACAGAAACCACGAGATAATAACTGTTGTTTCAAGCCACTAAGTTTTGGGGTAATCTCCTACACCATGATCAATAACTCACACAGCACCCACTCTCCCACTCTGTGCCATTGTCCTAAATGTCTTCTTTGGACAATTTGCATCTATTTGTACCCCTTCCTATGAACTTCCCAATCCTGCTATTTCATAGGGGATGAAATGTATTTCCTATGTTCCTTTGCTGCTAGGGTTCTGGATAAAATTTAGGCTCTGCCAGCCAGGCGCAGTGGCTCACACCTGTAATCCCAGCACTTTGGGAGGCCGAGGTGGTCACATCACGAGGTCAGGAGATTGAGACCATCCTGGTCAACATGGTGAAACCTTGTATCTACTAAAAATGCAAAAATTAGCTGGGCATGGTGGTGCACACCTGTAGTCCCAGCTACTCGGGAGGCTGAGGCAGGAGAATTGCTTGAACCCAGGAGGCGGAGGTTGCAGTGAGCCGAGATCAAGCCATTACCCTCCAGCCTGGGTGACAGGGTGAGACTCTGTCTCAAAAAAAAAAAAAAAAATTAGGCTCTGCCAATGAGAAGCACATGTGCAACATTTGGAAAGCAGAATTTGCTCTGGCAGTGGCAGCTGGTGGGCAGGCTTTGGCAGGAGTGAGCTTTGCAGTGGTCATACTCTCTATTTATCAGTTCATGGGTAAGGGACTGGTGGGGCATCAGCTGGAATTGCCTACAGTATCCTGAGTTCAGAATCAAGCAGAGTGACCTTGAAGCCTAAAGCCCAGTAACAGCCTTATCACTTTCACTCCTCCAGCTCATCCAACAGTTTTCTAGCACCTATTTATTTCCTCATATTGAATACCTCGCTGCCAAAAATACCTAGACACATTTCTGGTTCCTTGACTGAACTCTGCTGATAGAGCCATTCACTATGCAAAGCCCTGGGGCTACAGGTGAACCTGACATAATTAATTCCATAACACGACACTCACACTCTAGTGATGGAGACAGAAAGTTAGAAAGTAATGTCACTACAATGTACCTGTCTGTTAGACCCCACTCAGAGGTGAGTATACAGTGAAGCATGAAGCTTAAGCTTCAGTGTCCCTCACTTGCCTGGGTCTCTACCCAGGTCTGAGAAAGGCCTTGCGATTTTGTTTTCACAATTTTCTGGGTTTTGTTTCTCTTTCTTTTTCTTTTCTTTTCTTTCTTTCTTTCTTTTTTTTTTTTTTTTTTTGAGAGAGTCTCTATCTGTCACCCAGGCTGAAGTACAGAGACGCAATCTAGGCTCACTGCAACCTCCGCCTCCTGGGTTCAAGCGATTCTCCTGCCTCAGCCTCCTGAGTAGCTGGGATTACAGGCACCTGCCACCAAGCCTGGCTAATTTTTTTGTATTTTTAGTAGAGACAGGGTTTTACCATGTTGGCCAGGTTGGTCTTGAAAACTCCTGACCTCAGGTGATCTGCCCACCTTGGCCTCCCAAAGTGCTGGGATTACAGGTGTGAGCCACCACACCCAGTCTTGTTTCTTAATAAGCTCTTCCCCATTCCCCAAATTGTATAAACTCTGGGCCCCTCAAAATCTGGCTCAGGTTTGGCCTCTGGGGACCCTCACCCACTCTGATGGCTTTGCCCACCAGCTGCTTGGGCAAAAACCTCTCAGATCCATTCAGTCAGCTAAGCCTGAGCTTTATAGCTCAAGCCACCCTGAGGCATTCTCCCAGCAGTGCCTCAGGACCTCCCGCTCAACACTTTTTCCTTCCCTAAACCAGCTCTTCACCCTGGGTGTTCCCTTTGTTAAATGATATCACTGTCCACCCAGTGGCCCAAGGCAGACATGTGCTGCTCTGTGGAGTAAAATGCCCCTGAGTGTTGAAGAAAATAAGTGAGAATGAGGCACATTTGGTAATCCTGTCGCCAGAAGGCTGGCCCAGGGGAAGGCATGTCTGGGCTCAGGGTCTGAGGGATAGCACCTACCTAAGTGACTCCAGGCAGTAAATGTGATGTAGGGACCTTGGAACTGGCCCCAAAGTCTGATCTCGATGGCAAGGTGTATTAGTCAGGGCTCTCCAGAGAAACAGAATTCACAGGATGTGCGCACACAGACATACATACACGCAGACACACACACAAAATTTATTATGAGGAATTGGCTCACATGATTATGGAGGCTGCGAAATCCCCCACACTGGAGACCCAAGAAAGCTGGCGGTAGAGTTCAGGGCAGTCCAGAGGCCCAAGAACCAGGAGGGCTGATGGTGCATGTCTCAGCCTGAGGGCAGGAAAAGCCCAAGTCCCAGCTCAACCCGTCAGGCAAAGAAAAGGGACACATTCTCCCTTCTTCCACCTTTTGTTCTATTTGAGCCTGCAACAGATTGGACGAGGCCCACCCGCACTGAGGAGGCCCGCCTGCCTTTCTCAGTTCACCCATTTAAATGCTCATCTCATCCAGAAACACCCTGGCAGGCACACAAAAAACAATGTTTAGCAGAATATCTGGACACCCCTTGATCTAGTTAAGCTGCCACATAAAATTAACCATCACGGCCAGGCGCAGTGGCTCATGTCTGTAATCCTAGCACTTTGGGAGGCCGAGGCGGGTGGATTATTTGAGGTCAGGAGTTCAAGACCAGCCTGGCCAACATAGTGAACCTTGTCTCTACAAAAAATACAAAAATTAGCCGGGCATGGTGACACGCGCCTGTCCATGTGTCACCCACATGGACAATCCCAGCTACTCGAGAGGCTGAGAAGCATGAGAATCAATTGAATCCAGGAGGTGGAGGTTGCAGTGAGCCGAGATTCTACTACTGCACTCCTTGGGTGACAGAGTGGACTTGGTCTTAAAAAATAATAATAATAATTAACCATCACACAAAGTGGGAAGGAAAGTGGAAACATGTCACCAGGTGAGTACCCAGATAATTGAAAGAGGTGCAGGCCAGGCGCAGTGGCTCATGCCTGTAATCCCAGCATTTCGGAAGGTCGAGGCAGGTGGACCACTTGAGGTCAGGAGTTCAAGACCAGTCTGACCAACAAGGGGAAATCCTATCTCTACTGAAAATACAAAATTAGCCTCGCATGGTGGCACATGCCTGTAATCCCAGCTACTTGGAAGGCTGAGGCAGGAGAATTGCTTGAATCCGGGAAGCAGAGGTCGCAGTGAGCTGAGATTGCGCCATTGAACTCCAACCTGGGCAACAAGAGCAAAACTCTGTGTCAAAAAAAAAAAAAAAAAAGTGCAGTCCAGTGGCAGGAAGAAGTTGAGAATGAGTCAGAGGTGAGGCTTTGAGTGCACATGTGGCCTGGAGCTCCCTCTGCCTCTTTCTTTTGGGGGTTCCCCTTTTGCATGGCACCTGTTGCTCACAGGATGGTATCTAAATTTAAATTCCCTCCAAACAGATCCTGAGACAAGGATTGGTTCAAGCAGTTTATTTGGTGATGATCCAGAAAGCACAGGGAAGGAAAGGAAAGTGAGGCAAGAAGGGAGGGAAAGTCAATCAAGGGGGGAGATGGTCAGGTCTTCAGTCTTCGCTGAGGGCAACCAGGGCTCAGCCCCCTGGGAGCCTCTGCAGGAGGATGTGGAGGTGCAGCTCAGAACTGTCCCATGCAGAGTGAGGAGCATAGCGTGTTTATCCCCCAACTCTTTTCCCTCATTGGTTGAGGGTCACTCCTAGGATGTTCACTTCCTGGCACTTCCGACTTGCTCTGTGTGCCAAGCCAAACAAGCCCCTGCAGCCAGAGAGAGGGGAGCTCATGGCTTGTTTGAGAGTGATCTGCAGTGAGCTCTGGGCCGTGGAATGCTGCGGGCCAGGCATTGATTGCTCCTAAAGGCTGGCCGCCTTCCCTTTGGTGCAACCAGTCTGTGGGAATGCCTACCTACTCAACCTTGATGGTGGGAAGTGAGGGGGGCACACCTCTTCTCCTCGGGTCACTAAATGGCTTCTGGGGTCGTGCCATGGCCAGGAGCAGGAATAGTGCAGGCTGAGAGGAGACTCACCAGCTTTGAGTTGACAGACCTAGATTTAAATTCTGGAATCACCTCTGGAAAGCCTGTTGCAATTTCCTTATTTTTGGAGCCTCGGTTTTCTCCTGTGTGAGGTGGGGCTAGGCCCAGCATCTGCTCTGCAGGCCTGTTGTGAGAATCACAATGGATCCCCATCAGCCCCTGTCCCCTAGTGGTTGTTGATGAATAGCAACAGGGATTGGAGGATTCTGCTGACTCAGTGGCTTCCCCCTGCCAGCCCTGACCTTGGCCTGAGGGCTTCCCCCAGTTCCCAGCTCCTGCTGCCGCTCAGCTCTAACTCTCCTTCCTTCGCGTCTGTTTAAAGTGGGCCTTCCAGGGTAAAAAGTCCATTCTGTGCAGGCTGCAGGAATCACCACGTCTGCTGGACAAGGACATCAATGTCTTTGAAGTGTCCTGGCTGGCAGAATTCCCTGCCGTTTTGCAGCAGCATGGTTCTCTCTTCTCAGCTCATGGAATGACAAGCTTGCAGGAGGCCTCAGTGGCCTTGGCAGCTGGCCAGTGTTTAGACAGTTTCTTGTACTGTTTTAATAAGAGGCATGGTGGAACTGGGCCTTTGCCTCATTACCTCTCCTGTGACTGGGCAGCCTGGCAGCATGGAAGCCCGTCATCTGGAGCTGCGTGCAAAGCTCCCCTCAGCTCCTGAAGAAGCTTTATAGGTGAGGAACCTTCCAGAAAGCACCAGGGCTCTCTGTGCCCTCCCTTTTTTTGTAGGCAGTTTTCTTTTGAATTGCCTTTTTGGGCTTCTGAGCCTCCAGGATGGCTTTGGAAAACATTTGCCCTGGAATGTTATCTCTCACCAACATCCATAAACCATAAACCATAAAAGAGACAGAATGGCCCTCACATGTTATTTTGGAGACTTAGAGAGATTAAGTGACTTTTGCCCAGTTGCACAACCAGTTAGTGACAGAATCAGAGCTAGACCTTAAGTTTGCTGACTTCAAGTCTTCCAGTATCTGGGTTGTGTTAGAGTCCAGGTGAGGGTGAGACTCACCTGAACCCACCTTCCTATCTTTTGAGGATTCATGAGATGAAGACTGACTGAGGCAGCACCACATGTAGCTCAAGCCAGAAACAAAGGTGTTACCTCCCTTCCCTACCCCAGACCCCCAAGCACAGGGCAGGGTCTGTGGGTGGTATAATCTAGTTTCTGTGCTACAAGTTTAGGAAGCAATAAATGACACCAGGGAACTTAAAAAGAGGGAGGAGCATAGTGAAAAGGGCCAGAATCTCTCAGTCTTGGGCCTAATTAACTGTGTGATCTTGAACAAGTCACTTCCCTACTTCAGGCTTCTGGTCACTTGAAGAGGAATGGGTGGATTGAGCTGGCCACCTCCTTGTAGTTCTGGAATTCTGTCCATCCATTCCCTCATCCATCCTTCCATCCATGCATGTATCCATCCATCCATCCATCCATCCATCCATCCATCCACCCTTCCATGTAGGTATCAAGCCATCCATCCATATTTCCATCCATCTACCCATCCATCCATCCATCCATCCATTCATCCATCCACCCACCCACCCATCCATCCATCCATCCATCCACCCACCCATCCATGCATGTATACATGCATCCATCCATCTGCTCATCCATCTCTCCATTCACTCATCTATCCTTCCATCCATCTATCTTTCTATCCATTCACCTACCCATCCGTTAACCCACCTATCCATCCCCTGTGCCATCCCCCAGTGTTTGCATCAGAAAACAGATTAAGAAGCCTATAGCTAGGTCTCCATAGTTGAGGAGCTTACAGTTTTGTCCGAGGTCAGTGGGCCAGGATTCCATCCCAAAGCTGCCTGAACCCTGAAGCCACTAGGCTTCAAGGTACCTTGACCTTTGGACCCTTCCTGCTTCCATGAGCTGTCAGATCATAAACCATTCTTCTGCCCTACTCTGTGTCCCATGCAGGGATCCCACTCCACATGCATTTCCACTTCGCATGCTCATGCCAATCTTGTGACATGGGGCTTTCTCTACCCACTTAAAAGAGGAGAAGACTGAAGCTCTGAGAGACAGAGAGCTTAGTCCAGGGCCTCATTTGTGACATCTGTCCTGTGCTCCCACTGTAATTCTGATGCCTGGTTCAGATCTTGGCTCTGCATCTTGGGAAAGTTACTTCCTTCCCTAAGTCTCTGTTTCCTCAACTGTGAAATGGGATAATAACAGTCCCCATCTCATCAGATTGTTGTGGGCATTATATGGTATAAGGCATGTGAATGGCATATTGTAAACACCCAAATGTTGGTCATCACAATCATTATACATAGTATATGCTTCCAATCAAGGTCAGAGAGGTAGTAGGCAAATTTCAAAGGGAGGACTGACTGCTTCATAATATTTGATGGATGGAGGGTGGAAGGAATGAGGAAGACTTTCTCTCAAGGCCACAGTTAAGGCCAGTGTGTTAGGAGCAGGTCCACAAATGTGCAGCCAGAGGCTCCATCTTGTGCTGTGGGAGGCAGGCACGGGAGCCACAATTAATTTCTTTTACCACCAAGCAGCAGGCATCAAGCCTCATTACCCTGATGAGTCCATGAGCCGGGGGATTTGTGTAATCTTGTTTTCCCTCCAGCCGGCCTCCCGGAACGCCATTGTGCTGGCACTGAAGCCTCAGTGACCCCACCGAATTGCCCGTGCCCGACGGAAGCCTTGCCTCACTAAGCACTGTCTGCTTTCATGAGAGCCCCACAGATCACCCCTCTGTGCTCTGTCTGGTCAGGCATTTCCAACCCCTCTCAGCCTCCTCCATCCTCTACTCCTGGGTCAGGCAAAGTGGGATGAAGCCTTTCCACACCCTGAAATTGCCAAGATATATTCAAGCAAATTGTGAAACTCTCAAAGTTGCACAGGACTGAGAAGAAAAGGGAGACTTGTGTTCCATGAATGTTTCCTTATGCCAGTGACTTGATACCCACTTAATATCCAGAATGTGGAGGCCCCTATCAGAGTGACTTCACAGACTACAGGGGATCACTTGGAATCCCAGAGGATGGAACTGCAAAGGTCATGGAGAGGTTTTGTGTCATGTTGGAGTTGACTCCTGACTCCCTCTCTTCTTGGCTGGGAGACCTTAGACTATTTTCTTGTCTCTGTGAGTCTGTTTTCTCATCTGAAAGCTCTACCTCCCTGAAGGTAAGGAGGAAGAAATGAGACCATAGCTTGTAGGAGGAACTCAAAAAATATTGGTTCTCCTCCTTCTCATTTGTTCATGTGACAACTTGGAACTTACTAAATGCCAGGCCCGGTGACAGCAGTAAACTGGACAGTCACAGATGGCTCTTCCTTTCCCTGTTATCTCATGGGAGTGGTGGACACCAAACAGTGAATTATACAAATCATTTACGAGCCACCAGTGTGAAAAGTGCTACAAGGCAGCATCCACAGGCGGATAAGAGAGCCAACCCAGAGGGCACCAATCTGATGGGGCCTGTCCTGTGGGAGGTCAGATCTATCTATCTATCTATCTATCTATCTATCTATCTATCTATCTATCTATCTATCTATCTAAATATCTATCTATCTGTCTATCTGTCTGTCTGTCTGTCTGTCTGTCTATCTGTCTGTCTGTCTGTCATCTATCTATCTAATCTATCTATCATCTACCTATCTGTCTATCTTATCTATCTATCTATCTATCTATCTATCTATCTATCTATCTATCTATCTCCCTGTCTATCTATTGACTCACTCTGTTGCCCAGGCAGGAGTGCAATGGCAGGACTGCAGCTCATGACCTCCTCAGGTCAAGTGATCCTCCCACCTCAGCCTCCTGATTAGCAGGGACTACAGGCAGGTGCCACCACACTCAGCTAATTAAAAAAGAATTTTGTAGAGGCAGGGTCTTGCTCTGTTGCCTAGGCTGGTCTTGGACTCCTTGCCTTAAGTTACCATCCCACCTCAGCCTCTCAAAGTGCTAGGATTACAGGCATGATCCACTGCACCCGGCCAGAGGTCAGTTTTAAACAGAGACTGATCTACTGATTTTGGAGAATTTGCCCCAGTGGGGTAGGGGAGCAGTCCACCAAAGAGAATGACCTGTGTGGTGCTGGAAGTGACAGAGCGTAGGTGTGATGCAGTGCAGTGGGGCAGAGGAGAGAAGGGTGTGAGAAAGAGCTGGGGAAGTGGGCAGGGATTCTGCAGCGCTTTCCCCACATGGCCTGCCTCCAAGCCTCAGGAAGCATTCTCAGGATAAAGCTCTGCTAACAAATCACATCTTCCCAATAAAATCCATCACTGTTTATTTTTGATGGATTGTGTGGCTGGCAATATCTCCTTGGGCCTTTGGATGTTGATGTTTGCAAACTGTTCTTTCATTTCTCTGCAAGTCTGTGTTGTTAAAGCCAGATATTTCATGCCAAAAGCATAAATGTAATGTGTTCCTGGTGGACTCTGGCTCAGAGCAGGGGGATGAACTGATGAAGGTCTTCCCATCACAACACTGTGAGTCCTGGAATCACGTTCCCTCCCAAGCCAAAGGTCTGATGATGCTCAATGATGGAAAGCAATTTCTTCTAATGGGTGGGTCCCCAGTACTTTATGGAACTAATTCCATTGAGTTCCCCTCCACACAGGTGGAGCTGGGATGATCTCACCTTTCCAGATAAGGGAAGGTTAACTCACTCACTGAGGGACGTCTAGCTTGAGAGCTGGAGTAAGGATTCAAGCCCAGGTCTCCAACCCTGAGCTTTAAGCATGGCGCTCTGGACCAGGTCAGTCAAACAATGTGGGTGGTTAAGAGTTATGAGGGTCACTGGAGAGGCTGAGAAGTGTGTTTGGGTTTATTTCACACACAGGGAAATTGTCAATGAAGTGTTTAATAGAGAAAGTGAATCAGCACTTTGGTCTCCCAAGCTCAGCCATCAACTCCTTAAGCACAGCCTTTAGGGCTGGGAAAGACATAATATTACTTTAGTTTGAGCTTCTGTCTATTTGTTGATGAGGAAACAGACCCAGGGCAGTCAGGGAAACTGCCAGCTGCTATACAGCTAGTTGAGGGTGGAGCTGGGCTGGAGGGTAGGATTTCTATGTCCCATTGGGTGAGCTTCCCATCTCACCTCAACCACATCAAAATTGACCTTCCAGAGGCAGCCACTTCCCGCCTCCCACCCTTCCTTAGTGAAATATCTTCACAGATAATCCTGCCATTAGACACCTCATTAAATGACATTTCATCCCTGGGATTGGTGTTTAAGTAACATTTGATTTGAGGTTTCGAGCTCTAAATCCTTCATATGTCAAGAGGTATTTCACACTGAAACTTGAAACTAGGGGAAGGGTGGTAAATACAAAAGTAAGAGTCAGAATGAGGAATCTTAAAGCATAGGTCCAATTCAGACCCACCAGTTGTATGAAGTTGGGTGAGCCATTAAATCATGGAAGCATTTTGTACTCATCTACAAATTAGGGATAAAAATAGTTTCCTTCCTCTTGACCTCACATGGTAGCCATGGCAATTAAATCCATACATGTATACAGTAGGTGAGCAATAATTGCAGTCCTAATGTGAAGAGCGATTTTTCTAAAGCATTAGTATGAGCAAGTTCTATCTTTTATTCAAATTCTGCGGTGGTTTTCTTGTGTCTTCATTCATTCATTCACTTATTCAACATTTACTGAGCATCTAGTATGTGCCAGGCACTGTTTTAGATACCAGGGACAAAGGAACAAAACAAAGTATCTGTTTTGAACTTACAATATAACAGAGAAAACAGACAACAAGCAAGATGAATAAACAAAAATGGAATAAGTAAAACAAATAGTAGAGTCCTGGAGTGATTGGGGAACACAGGATGCCCTTGAGTCTAGAGTGAGAGAAAGAGTGGGACTATAAAAAATGAGGACTGAAAGACAGTGAGGGGTTGGGGGATGCAAAGTCTCATGGCTTTTACTCTGCATTAGATGGAAAAGTCTTCGGAAGATTTTGAGCAGAGGAGAGACATGATCAGATTATATTTTAACAGAATCACTCTGATTGCCAAAGTGAACACACTGCAGTGACAACAAGGGCAAAAGCAGTCATCCCAGGTAGAGGAGATGGTGGCTGGGACCAGGTGTTGTTAGGAAAGTGGCGAGAAACAGTAGGATATGATAGTTCTGTTATTTGCACTTGGTTGCGTCTGTTAGCTTGCTGCCACTGTTTTGTGACTGTGGTGTGTGAGCTTATCTTCAGCGGACATACCTTGCAGCTAAGGTTGAGGGATACATCTCCAAGGAAATTTTGCATATGCTTCTTCTGGGCATCTCAGACACTCATCCTCATCAACACTGGGCTACTACCTTAATTTCGAAAACAGTCAACAAATATTGATTCATGAGATGAGCCTGGCCTTTTAGGTAAATTTCTCTGCTTCAAGTTTCATCAGCTACATGGGGAGTATCAATGCTAATAGTAAATATGAATGCAGACAAGCTATGGGTGTGAAATCTTTTTTCTAAATTTTTTTTTTTATTTTCATAGGTTATTGGAGAACAAGTGGCATTTGGTTACATGAGTAAGTTCTTTAGTGGTGATTTGTGGGATTTGTTGCACCCATCACCCAAGCAGTATACACTGCACTCAATTTGTAGCCTTTTATCCCTCACCCCATTTCCCCCTGAGTTCTCAAAGTCCATTATGTCATGCTTATGCCTTTGCATTCTCATAGCCTAGCTCCCACTTACGAGTGAGAACATATGATGTTTGGTTTTCCATTCCTGAGTTACTTCACTTAGAGTAACAGTCACCAATCTCATCCAGTTTGCTGCAAATGCCATTAATTCATTTCTTTTTATGACTGAGTAGTACTCTGTCATATATGTGTGTGTGTGTGTGTGTGTGTGTGTATATATATATACACACACACACACACACACACACACACACACACATATGACATTTTCTTTGTCCACTTGTTCGTCGATGGGCACTTAGGTTGGTTCCATATTTTTGCAATTGCGAATTGTGCTGCTACAAACATGCATGTGCAAGTATCTTTTTCATATAATGACTTCTTTTCCTCAGGGTAGATACCCAGTAATGGGATTGCTGGATTGAGTGGTAGTTGTACTTTTAGTTCTTTAAGGAATCTCCACACCGTTTTCCATGAGTGGTTGTGCTAGTTTACATTCAGTGAGTGTGAATTCTTTTTTTTTTTTTTTTTGAAACTTGCTCAAATGCTGGAGTGCAGTGGCATGATCTCAGCTCACTGCAAGCTCTGCCTCCCAGGTTCACACCATTCTCCTGCCTCAGCCTCCCGAGTGGCTGGGACTACAGCTGCCTGCCACCACGCCCAGCTAATTTTTTGTATTTTTAGTAGAGACAGGGTTTCACCATGTTAGCCAGGATGGTCTTGATCTCCTGACCTTGTGATCTGCCCGCCTCAGCCTCCCAAAGTGCTGGGATTACAGGTGTGAGCCACTGCGCCCAGCAAATTCTTAAAGGATGACACAGTTGAGAGAGACCAGCTTGTTGGGCAGCTGCTGGGGCCAGTGGGAGGGTTTTTCTAACCCACTCTTCTCCAGGGTTATAATCTGTTGAGGGTCCCTGCTTTATGGTGATGTCCTCAATTCTAACTCCCCATCATGCATGGGCCTCAGGTCTTGTCTCCTGACCTCAGCTGGCCCATGAACACCCCAGCCTTTAAGTTACCAAAGCCTACCCTCTAATCCCTGCCCCAGAGAAACCACAGGTAAGCTCACGTGGATTGCTCTGGTGGTCAGTTCCTGCCACTCCTTTGTGCCCTGCAAGTTTCCTTTATTTGACTTGATGAACTTAACTCTGCATTTAACTAAGTTTTGCAGTTTTTCTTAAGCAAGTAGCAGGAGGGTTTTCAGGTTATCTGGTCCATCCACTATGCTGCTAGAAAGCCACTTGATTCCCTGTGTCATCATCAGTGTCTCTTGACAGGATTAATTTAAGGTCTATCAGCATCAGACTCACCTTGGGAATGTGTAGTTAATAAAATACATATTCTCTGGTTTCACCCCAGGACTCTCAAATCACACTTTTGGGAATCTGGAACTTGCATTTTAACAAATGCCCACAGTGATTCTGATGCACACATAAGTGTGTGAGCCACTGTGCGTCTGGAGATTCAAGCTCCTGAATTAACCCAACACACATTTACGAAACACCTTCTATGCCCGCGGCACCACTCAGTCTTCATGGGATGCAGACATGAGTAAGATTATTTGTTTCTTTGAAGGGCTTTATAGCATAGGTCAGGGGCCGGCAAAGTTTTTCCGTAAAGGGACAGATAACAAATATTGGAGGCTTTGCAGGTCACGTAGCTTTCTTCACAAAAGCTGCAACAGGCACTATGTAAACAAATAGGTGTGGCTGCGTACCCAAAATTTTATTTAAGAAACAGGTGGTAGGTTGGGCATGGTGGTTCACACCTATAATCCCAGCACTTTGGGAGGCCAAAGTGGGCAGATCACTTGAGGTCAGGAGTTTGAGACCAGGCTGGCCAATGTGGCAAAACCCCGTCTCTACTAAAAATACAAAAATTAGCCAGGTGTGGTGTCAAGCACCTGTAGTCCCAGCTTCTCGGGAGGCTGCGGCAGGAGAATCACTTGAACCCAGGAGGCAGAGGTTGCAGTGAGTCAAGATTGTGCCACTGCACTCCAGCCTGGTGACAGAGCCAGACCCTGTCAAGGAAGGAAGGAAGGAAGGAAGGAAGGAAGGAAGGAAGGAAGGAAGGAAGGAGGGAGGGAGGGAGGGAGGGAGGGAGGGAGGGAGGGAAGGAAGGAAGGAAGGAAGGAAGGAAGGAAGGAAGGAGTGATGGCCTGGCTCACCTGTGGTTTGCCCACCCCTGTGAAGCTAAAAGAAACATGCCAGAGAAAGGATTCTAACGCAAGCAGTTGCTAGGGTGGAGGTGTGCGAGGGATTTCAGAACCAGAGAAGAAGGAGTCTGAACCTGCTGGGGCTGTCAGCAAGCCTTCCCACGTGAGCTCCCACTGGAGATGAGCCCCGAGGGGACATCCATCACTGGACGTTTAGGTGTTTCCATTCCTTGCTCTTATAAACAGTCAGAACAAACCACCTTCCACTTTGTAGGCTGGTCTGATTCTTCCCTTAGCCTGAAGGCACAAAAGGCTTTGGTAGCGCATTTGCAGGGTGCCTTCTAGAAAGCTCATACCACCTTCACACCCTCCAGGAGCATACACTTTGGCCCTCCGCCATCATCAACACTAGGCTACTAATTTAATTTCTAAAACTAATAACAAATATCAATTCATGGAAAGAATCAGTGATATGTTTTGACCATGTCCCTACACAAATCTCATCCTGAATTGTAACTCCCACAATTCCCACATGTTGTGGGAGGGACCTGGTGGGAGGCAATTGAATCACGGCAGCTGGTCTTTCCCGTGCTATTCTCATGATAGTGAATAAGTCTCATGAGATCTGATGGTTTTATAAAGGGGAGTTCCCCTGCACAAGCTCTCTTCTCTCGTCTGCCACCATGTGAGACGTGACTTTCACCTTCTGCCATGATTGTGAGGCCTCCTCAGCCATGTGGAACTGTGAGTTTATTAAACCTCTTTCTTTTGTAAATTGCCCAATCTCAGGTATGTCTTTATCAAGAGGGTTAAAACAACTAATACAATTAGTCTGATCTTTAATCACAAAACTAAGAACGTAGACTGGACAACTTTGCTTGCCTTATTTCCCTGAGATATTCCAGTTTTTATTTCTTCATATTGGGCAATGAAGACTGTACATTTTTGGTAGCTTGAAGGGTTTTCCTGGGTTTGGGTGTGACTCCTCGGAGTGTGACCTAGCAGGAAGGTCAACATCCAATCTCTCCTTTGCTGTGTGAGCGGTGCAGTCCGCCAAGGCCACTCCACTCAGCAATCAGCCTTTTCCACTGTGGCTAAACGCGCATCCACATCAGTAGAGAGGAGGCCCTGAGGAGCATGTTTGATCTTAGTGGAAAGCTGGCCCAGGCTGGCATTTTGACATTTGGAAACAGTGAATACAATTACCCATCTGCAGACCAAAAGGGATTTTTTTTCCCCTTGAAGGGAATTGAAGGTATTTTGCCCTGTGGTAGTTTCTCTCTTAAGAGGTCCCTTCTGACTTGAGTAGTGTGGAGAATCTTCTTCCAGATTTAATTCAGAAGAGTGTGCTCCAGGAAGAGAGGACAGGCTAGTGCCCGAAGCTCCATCTTCCTCTGGAGTTGACCTTTTAATGAGAGAAGGGTGGAAGGCAGACCAGCGAGAGGCACACACCCTTTACTGCTGGCTCTCTGCTGTTGCAGACATCGTTTCCTCTGTCTCTAACCTCAGCCCTTGAAGAACGTGTGGTTATTTCATCATCAGCAAATGGGGCGAATGAGGTCAGACTTCATGTGATTGTCCGAGGTTCCACAGCCAGCCATGCAGGGCTTGGACAGGAAGTCGAGTTTCTTGCCTTCAAATTCAATTCTTTTCCCACTTGTTGTGTTTCTCAAAATTTATATGCTGTAGTCCTAACTTCCAGTACCTCAGAATGTGATCTTATTTGGAAATAGGTTCATAGCAGATGTAATTATTAATAATTAAGATCAGGTCATACCAGAGTAGTGTGGGCTCTAAATACAATGACTGGTGTTCTTCTTCTTATTATTTTTTAGAGATAGAGTCTTGCTTTGTTGCCCAGGCTGGAGTGTGGTGGCATAATTACAGTTCACTGCAGCCTCAAACTTCTGGGCTCGAGCAATACTCCTGCCTCAGCCTCCTGAGATTGGTGTCCTTATTTTTTCAAAAAGCCAAGCTGGGCACAATGATGGGTACCTGTGGTCTCAGCTACTTAGGAGGCTGAGGTGGGAGGATCACTTCACTGAAACCCAGGAGTTTGAGACCAGCTTGGGTAACACAGCAAGACTCTACCTAATAAAAGCCACATGGAGAGACAGAGACACATACAGAAAGAAGACAATGTAAAGACACAGGGAGAAGATGGATGGTCATTTAGAAGCCAAGGAACTCCTGAAGCTACCAGGAGCTGAAGAGAGGCGTGGAGTGGATCCTCCCTCACAGCCTCCAGAAGGAACCAACCCTCCCAACACCTTGCTTTTCAACTCTTAGCCTCCAGAGCTATGAGACAATAAATTGCCACTGTTTAAGCCACCTGGTCTATGGTTCTTTGTTACAGCAGCCCAAGAAATCAATCTACCACTCGTCATGGTAAACACATTGTAGTTTTTAAGACAATACAATTTATTGAGTGTGTGGCAATAGAATTTATGGAGACTTGTGTTGTCTCTCTGTCCCAAACATTGTAGAGCAGAGATGGCTAACTGCTCTCCAGTACACATGCTCCTTCCTTTTATTAAGAGAAACAGCCTCCCTGATTTTAATAGCCAGAAAACATGTTTCCTGGCTTGCCTTGCAGGAAGATATGGCCATGAGACTATGTTCTCACCAGTGGAATATGAGTGGAAATGTCGTGTGCCAATTTCAGCGACATTTTCCTAAATGAAAATTGTTTGCCTTCCAATTTATCTCTCTTTCCCCTGGTTGCAGCCTGGAATGTAATCATGGATAGCCATGGATGATCAGCTTTCATCATGTGGGCATGGAACAAGATGGAAGGAAGCTGGGGCCCTGAGTGACCTGTGGAGCAGAGGCCTTTGCCCACCCTGGGCTGCCTGATTTCCCCTGGACTATCATGAGACAGAAGAAAAAGCTTCTATCTTATTTGAACCACTGTGTTTTGGGAACCTTGGACTAGAGCAGCCTAGCCTTCATACACTAACAAGGTGTATGTGTCTGCTCTTTGTTGCTTTTGTAGATGGTTGTGTTATAAGCCTGAATGCAGAAGTTGTTCCCCAGACTACTGGATTTGCTGCCTTTTAAAACAGGTTTATTGAACTATAATTGACATACAATGAACTGCATATAGGTAAAGTGTACAATTTGATAAGTACACTTTTTGAGCAAATCCACCCTTTGTTCTGGAAGAAGACACTCTATAGTCTCAGGCTGTTTCTTTACCAACATCAACAAGCTAGTCTTAAACAGAGGAACCTCAGTGCCTCACTTTCAAGACAATCAAGATTATTTCCCAACATTCCACTAGTAGAGGGTCAGAAACAGAGTTAAAAGTTCTCAGACTAGAGGTAGAATTGAAACCCCAGCTGAGAAGTATCAAGGTGCCCTCCTTCCCCAAAGCTACATATTCTTGTGTCAGGATCTTACCAGGAAATGGAAGGCACATTTACACAGGGCAGCCCAAGAGACTGTTTCAAAGGAAACCAGCAAGATGTGACAAAGCACCCCAAGACTAGCGACACTGGGAGACCTTCTCACTTGACTTAAAAGGCTGGGGCAGGAGAGTTACAGGACCCAGTATTAGCTGTAGCCAAAGCCTGGGCAGGGCCACCTAACATGAGCTGCACCCTTCTGTAGAGCAGCACAGACCTTGTGCATCTGAGGCCCAGCAGGATGGGGCCTTGCTCATCCTTCCCTTGCAGTTCTTGCTAATGCTTCCTGTTGCCTGAACCCAGCTGGAAGCCAGAGGGCAAGGGAAATCAATTGAGACAGATAATGGAGGTAATCCCCTGGGCACAGGGCAGCATGGCAGAGGTAAGGAGTCTGTCTAGAGCCACAAAGGAAGAGGACTGAGTCCAGAGGTGAAAGCAGTCACGTATCCCCAAAGACACCTGCTACACATTTGGGCTTTGATTTATCAATGAGAAGGCTTGAGGGACAGTGGGAAAAATGATGAGGAGTCATTAGGTCCTTGTGGAAATGGTGCCCTTGAAGGATGAGCCTGTAATCACTAGGTACACGTGGGTGGATGAATGCTGGTGAAACAGGTGGAGGGAATGAAAGGACAGAGGCAGCACGAGAACACTGTAAGCAGAGCAGAAGTCCATGCAAAAGCCAGAGATGTGAGACAGCACGGGTACATATAGGGACCCGCAGGTGGTCTGGAGTGGCTTTGCTGTGGGTTGTGATGAGATATCCACTGTGTTGGAGCTCTGGAACAAAAAGGAGGTCATCTAAGCTGGTTGCTTCTGTTTTTTTCTTTTCTTTTTTTTCCGGATGCATTTCAATTAGGTGAGGGGTACCAGGCAGAAACCCCTCCTGAATATAAACCCTCTGTCTTATTGTACCAGTTAAAGATGAACGATGGCTCACTTCCTATTGGGTACTAAGTTCATTATTTGGGTGACAGGATCAATAGAAGCCCAAACCTCAGCATCATGCAATATACCCATGTGACAAACCTGTATCCCCTAAATCTAAAATAATAATAAAAAAAGATGTACCATAGCTCTTAATTGCTCTTCAAATCACCCACACCATTAGAGAAAGCTATTTCCACCCCAATCTGAATTAAAGAATTCTACAATCTCCTACAGTCCGAAAGAGAGACTTCAGCTAAAGAGAAAGCTGGTGCTCCTCTTGCTAGCTGAGTGAATTCTGATCCTCTTTTTCATTTTTATTTTCTTGCTTGAACTCTGCTTTGTTAAATCAAACACCAGCCCAAAACTGAGCCCATGGATCACCATATTGGCAGCCTTATCCTAGAATCTCAGGGCTGGAAAGAACTCCGAGTACAGCATTCTCCAGTGTTGGGTGTCAACAGGAGCAGAGTTGGTCTCTTTCGAGAGCTTCCTGGAGAGTCTATAAAAGCCTGGCTTTTGAACTCTTATATTTGGAGGCTGAGATTCAGAAGGCCTGGGGTGGGGCTTGAGAATATAAATTCTTTAAAAAAATTTTTTTCTTTTCCTTAGATAAATCTTAGAAACCAAAGGGAATTGAATTCTTAAGAGGACTTGAAAATGATTCTAATATAGTCGGGTTAGGGGAAATCTGGTCTTGAGCTTTTTCTTGGGAGATGTGGTGAGTCCAAGGCAAGCCAGGCTTCAATTCTGAATCTACACTCTTCCCACACATCTATGTGGCCTCTGTGCCGAGTCTGAGTTTTATGTTTTACAAAGAAAACTAGGAGAAAAACTGTTATTCTTCTGATTAACAGAAAAGTTGTCCAACTGGCTACACTTGAATTATATCCCCTGATTATTAAACTCAGGCTTCTTTAGTTTTCATTTATTTTATTTCATTGCATGGAGATGTTTTAAAAGAGGAAGGCAAGGGGTGTGGGGGAAGGATTCTGGGATAGCGACCATTCTCACCACATGCAGAAGGCCAATACTGCTTCCAGAAGGAGACACAAGGAATCCTTCACTGAGTGAAAGTTTTTTTTCTTCCAGAGAATATCAGTATTCCTACTTTATAACAAGCCAGGAGCTTTTTCTGCTTCCTGATTTAAAAATTGATTCCTGACTGCATAGTTCTCACACAATAGCTTCCTTCTTGCAGGGGCAGTGTGATTGCCTGGAATATAAATTCTTAGTGGGTTGACCAGGGATCACGAGCAGTTATTATGTTCTCTGCTGCTCTTAACATGTTGTGATTCTCAATAAATAATCCAGAGCCAAAGCATGGTGTTTTGTTTTGCTTTGTCTCAGTGAGTTTTCCAAACTGTATTTACTATCTCAAAGTGAGAGCATCGCAGTTTTCTGAGCCAACTGCAGCAATTTTCCAGATCTGGAGAGTATTTTTGAAGATTATTTCTTTGGAGATTTTCTCTCTTATTTGGTTTGTTTCCTCTTTGATAATTTTTATTATTCATATGTTGAATTTTTTGAGCAGAGCTTTAATTTTCTTATCTTTTCTCCTCCTTTTTTCCATTTTTTTCTTTGCCACTTTTCTCCCCCTTCTGGGATATTTTCTCAAATTTTTTCTTCTAAACTTTTATCTTTTCTGTGATTATAATTTTAAATTCCAAAATACCTTTTTTTGGAGAGGGGAGTGGAGGGAAGTGTTCTCTGACTGTTCCTTTTATATAGTAGCCTGTTCTTATTTCATGGATGTAATATCTTTCCTCTTTCTTTTATAGTCTGTTTTCCCCAAGTTACTTTTTTCCCTTGTTTGTTTATTTGTGTCTCTGTATTTCATCTCGGAGCATTCCTTAGGTGTTTGGTGATTTCCTCCTTCTCCCTCTCTCTGCTCCCTGCATTGTTATAATTATCTCTGAGCTGACCTCCCAACTTAGGTCTTTCTCATTTTCTAGTAAACTTGGCATAATCCTGTGAAACCCATCTTTTTTAAGCCCCCAATTCAACATGTGATTCTGTTGGTGAAAAGCCTTCCATGGCTCCATATTTCCCACTTCATCAGAACTTAACTTTGCCATTTTTGACATTTTCAGTCTCTGACCCCACTCAGGCTAGGCACCATACCTCTTGCCTCAGAATGTGGATACTCTTGTGTGTTCAGAGTTGGAGATTAGGAAATAATACTATTAAAAGTAATAGCAATCGATGATAAAGCCTTCATATGCTTTATTCACAGACATTACTGACTTCTCCTGTTAGCTCTGTCGTGCTTACATCATGATGCCCATTTTTCAGGTAAAGAAATAGTGGCTCAAACAAGGTGAGTGGCCAAAGATAACATAGCTCATATGTAGCAAAGCAGGGACTTTGATCTGGGTCTCAGCACTTTGTCCACCATGGTGTCCACTGGTTGACTCAGGTGATTCACCTGGGTAACAAGGCTTCCTGAAGGCCACCTGCTGGTAAATGTCATTGCCAGTTCATTGACCGGGAGCCCCCATGTGTTTCTACCAAGACCCCGCTCCTCTCTTCGCATACAGTAATCTGTTGTATACACTTTGTACCTCACCCACAAGCGTGTGAAAAGCCTTAGCTGTTCTGGTGCCAGGACTAATGGGAGCTGCTTACAGTCTATGAGGACAATCAGACTTGGCCGCCTGCCTTCTTTCCATATAATTTTTAATAAGCCAGTAATATCTCTCCAAGCACTACAGACCTCTGGCTTGGACCAGGAAACCTGGAACTGTTTAAGAGAACATTAATTTCCTTTGAGCTAGGATTACAGGCCATCTAAAACTTCTTAATGAATGGCCACACTGCCTTTTTGAAGCATTTGTGTATTTGCCAACACAGACTCGAAGGTTGCATTAGATATTGGGAGTTGTCTTTTCTGGAAGTTAGGGTCTTCTAGAAGCTGACGGGCGATGGAGGCCTGATGCTCTGCCATTTCTTTGGTGAGACCTCTGGACTGCTTCGTTCATAGTCCTCTTTCCCACATATGCTCCCCTGATGTCTTACTCTTTTATTTTATGGGTTTTTGGTAACTGAAACATTTTAAGACTCAATTCCGCCACTTTGTTGAAGATAAAATCAAGTTCAAACCCTGCTTTATTTTATTTTTCTTTTTTTTGGACGGAACTAGTGAGGAAACTGTGTGTGCAAACCCCAGAAAACCCACTTGAGACCTGATGCTAATTGGCTGGATGATGTTCAATAGGACACGGCTCCACTGAGCCTCAATTTCCTGATGAGGGTTAAACTGATGATTCTTAACCAGGTCTGACATTCTGTAAATTAAGCATACTTGCTTCTGATTTCACAGTTTCCATGGGATCAGAGGATTGAAATGTCAAGGAACCTCCCTTGATGTCCCCCTAAGACTCTGAATTGAACTGTGATGAGGACCCTTTTGAGAATCTTTCAGTGATCCCCTTCTCTAGGAAGGAAGGGTGAAGTATGCTTTGTAAGAGAGATTGTCTATTTGTCTTTTATCTCCTGATTTCAAACACAGTGGTTCCGCTAAGCTGCATCTTTTTTGTTCTTTCTGCTGTGAAAATAATTTTGTCGGAAAATGTAACCAGTGCAATTATACTGAAATTTCATATGAAATGTTAATAAAATGGATGTGTGACCAATAAAATACTTGATGCCAAATTAAATGGACCAAAAGGGAATTCTGCTTTGTAGCAAACTTCATGGGAAACAGGATAAAAAAGAAAATAATATCTTTGAGCTACTATATGAATTTCCCCAGAAATAAAAATATTGTTTATAATAAGTTGCTAATCTTTGGCTTGCTCAGAGGGAATAAAACATAGTGGCCAAAGATGTGGATTCTAAGGGCAGATTTCTTAGGTTCAAATCCCAACATTGCTAGTTCTTATCTGCTAGCCGTGGGCAAGTTACTTAACCTGTTTGTGCTTCAGATCGCAGTCTGTAAATTGGGGCTAATAACAGTATTTTCTGCAAAGTGTTGTTGTGAGGATTGGGTTTATACATATAAAGCAGTTGGTAATGCCTGGCACATAGGAAGTATTCAGTTTGCATTAGTGATTATTATTAGAAAGTCACAAACTTGAAATGAAAATGGTTCTCGAGTGTGAATATGAATATGTATGTATATTCATGAATTCATATTTCTTCTCTAGGGAATAAGATTTGCTTCCATATTTTACCAAGAGGGCATCTGGGACCTTAACCTATTGAAAGATTTTCCCAAGGCCACATGGCTGATCTGCAGTGGGAAGAAAGAAATATTAGCGTTTAGCTTGAATGACCTACAGATACCATAATTAGCACTCCTTTGTGGAGCAACAAATTGACAATTACCCAGAATGCTTAGAAAAAAACATTCTGGTTAATTTAATCTTCTGGCTAGCCAGTGAAATTTTTCTAGCGTATCTGGGTGAGTAAATTACAATAATGGCTGCAAAAGCCTCTGAAAGCAAGATAACTAGAAAGTTCACAAATTTTAGGAAGCTCAGCAATTATACTTTAGAATATCAAATTAATAAAATTTAGAAAATCCAAATAAAAATGCCAATGAATATAAAAAACTGTGGGATGCAGCTAAGGGTATGCTTCGAGAGAGATTCTTAGTCTTAAATATTAGAAAGAAAGAAAGGTTGGAAATGGAAACATCTGTAACAGACACTGTATTGCCCAGGTTATCCCATTCAGGACTGAAGCCCTCATTGCCTCAGTTGTTGGGAATGCCTGCAGCCAACAGCTTTCAGTTGAGTCTTTTTTGGGAAACTGCCCTTGACTAATGAAAGCCACCTTGTCCGGGCCACATTCTCTTCTCAGGGATGGTCTACATCCAATAGCTAGTTGATGAGAGAATAAAGGTCTGGCCGCATTCCTCAGTCATACCTGTGGAATTTTAATTTATGGAGGTGACTGGGGGCCAGCACAGAGAGGCCAATGCCCTGAAAGATTTTTGGTTTCTCTATATTTCTTTATTGTTTCATTAGCAGCAGAAGAACGTATTGTTATATTTTTAAGATTTTAAGTTTTGTTTTCAATTCAAATGCAATACACAATTACTGTTAAAAATCAAGTACTACAAAAGAAAATTAAAAAATTTTGAATATCATGCCTTCATTTCATTTCCTAGAGGAAATGACTATTAACAGTTTGGTATATGGTCCCCTTGACAGATTTTCATTGCTTACGTTTCCCAAGAGGAGGGGGCATGCCATGTCACACAGGGCCGTGTGGGGAAGCACCTGGATTAGTCAGGACATACAGCAGGAGCAAGGACCAAGTCTAGGCAAGAGATTGTATTAGAATTTCTGCAGGAAAGGGAAGGCAGAGGCAATGGCTTAGGATTGTCTAGCTTGAATAATTCTGGCAGTCCTTGGGCCACAGGGGCTGTCCTAGTTGTCTGGTACCTGGCCCTGGGTTGATTTAGGGCAGGGAAATATTGACTGGTGTGTGAGTTAGATAGAGAAGTGGTTCAGAATGAGCTCTGAATCTCAGGGCAGCAGGAAACAACTCGGCCATAAGTTTGGTCTGTGACTAATGGATGCCACATGGACAAATAAAGAATATCAGAAGACACAGAACACCCCTTGAACCAGATGGCATATCCCAGTACCAGTGCTTGACCCTTTGGGCTTGGCAGAGGCCCTTGCTGGGTCTGCATTGCAGTTCAACTTCTCCCTCTGCCCCATCCTGGTTGTTTCCCTCCCTTACAGGGACTGATCCTACAGGCACGTCCTGTACCCAGATCTTAGAGGGAGCCTATCGTGCAATAGTATTTGCCTAAGTAAGTTAGTGCCTTCATCCATTTGGGCTGCTATCACAATATACCATAGACTAGATGGCTTATAAACAACAGGAACTTATTTCTCATAGTTCTGGAGGCTGGGAGGTCCAAGGTCAAGGTGTTGGCAGATTCAGTGCCTGGTGAAGGCCAGCTTCCTGGTTTGTAGACATGCTTCTTGTGTTTGCATGACAGAAGCAACCAATGAGCTCTTTGTGGCTTCTTTTATGAGGACACTAATCCCATTCAGGAGGGGTTCTACTCTCATGACCTAATCACCTTCCAAAGGCCCCACCTCCAAATACCATTGCCTTGGGACTTAGGATTTCAACACATGAACTTTGGGGAGGACACAAACATCAGACCACAGCAGTTACACAACAGACAAAATAAACACAAATAATGCAAAAGGGAGGGAATAATAGAGGTGGGAGTCGTAATTACTACAATAGAAAAGAAACATTCAATAGAATCAATAAAGCCAAGGGTTTGAGATTTGAATAGGCCAATAAAATTGATAGCGTTCTTATAAGACTGATTAAGAAAAAGAGGATTACAGTGTAATAGCAGTGCTTTGAAAGTCTGAGATGGGAGGATTGCTTGAGGCCAGGAGTTCTGAGACCAGCCTGGGCAATGTTGCCAGACCCTAACACTAAAAAAACAAGAGAGAGAGACAGAGAAAGACAAGGCACAAATTATCACTCAGAAATATCTACAAATCCTATAAACAAGAAAAACACAACACAGGAACATTATGAAAAATCAGCAGCAAATATACCAGAGTACTAATATTTGTTAAATTTAGGTAGTGCGAACATAGGTGGTTATTACATTAACCTGTATATCTGATTATATATTTGAAGAGTCTAGTGTTATAAAGTAAATAAACACTTTTTTTTAGAAAAACAAACTCAGTTTTCCAGTACTTACCCAGATTTTCTTCTACTATTAATAATATAATCATTTTCCTTCTTTTTATAATTATTATAGATGAATAATTCTATTCTAATTCAATTAGAAGTATTTTCTTCTACTAATAATAAAGCCATTTCCTTCTTTTATAATTATATTATAATTATTGATGAAAAGAGCAAAGTCGTTTTTTTTTTTTGAGATGGAGTCTATTTTTGTCATCCAGGCTGGAGTACAGTGGCATGATCTCGGCTCACCGTAACCTCCGCCTCCCAGGTTCAAGTGACTCTCGTGCCTCAGCCTCCCGAGTAGCTGGAATTACAAGCATGTGCCAATGCACCCAGCTAATTTTTGTATTTCTCATAAAGATGGGGTTTCGCCATGTTGGCCAGGCTGGTCTTGAACTCCTGGCCTCCAGTAATCTGCCCACCTCAGCCTCCCAAAATTTATAGGCTTAAGTCACAACCCCTGGCTGGAGCAAAGAGATTTTGAGCTTCTGTTAAGCAGTGGGCCACTTCTTGAGGAACTTTCCCTGAACTTCACTGAAGCCTCATGACAATGCTATGAGGTCATAACTATCCCCTTGGAAACAGAGGAGTCAGCGGAGACTAGTCAGAGACTAGTGGGCCATGGTTACCAAGCTGTAGTGAGTGTAGGAGCTGAGATCTGAATCCATGAATTAGATACCTGAACCCCAAGTGATTAGTGATAAAGGTGTATAATGCAATTCAATAAGTACTCACCACACTCTGGGGATATGGGATGCACAAGGCTGTTGTAGTCCTTGTGCCATGGACAGATGATTAAGTGGTTCCAATGGGGGAAGCATGCTGAACCCTCAAATCTGAGAAGAGCAGAATCCTCTGTTCTGCTTAGTGGGGATAAAGTGGGTTCAAATTTTCATGTGTTGGGGTCAGTATCAATTTTCTGTGGCTGCCTTAACAAATTATCACAAACTGGTAGTTTGAAAACAGCAGAAATTTGTTCTCTTGGTTCTGGAGTCTAGAAGTTCAAATCAAGGGGTTGGCAGGGCTGCACTCTCATGAAGGCTACAGGGAGAGCTGGTTCCTTGTCTCTCCCAGTTTCTGATGGCGGCTGGCAGTCCTGGGGTCCCTTGTTTTGTAGCTCAATCACTCTAATCTCTCCCTTCATCTTCACAAGTCCTTCTCCATTGTTTGTGTGTGTGTGTGTTGTGTGTACATTGTGTGTGCATGTGTTGTGTGTGTATTTTATCTATAGCAACCTGTTGAAGTGTTCAAATTCAGAGATGGTTGAGTATGTATCATTTTCCCCCAATACAATACAATTATTACAAAATGAAGGGCAGTTCCAATTTTCTAAATGGAGTCACATACTTTTTTCACATACTTTAATATAAAAAACATACACAGTGTCAAGTCCTTTCGTTCCCATGATATAAGGGATGAGAGTGTATGGACTTTGAGTCAGACCTGAAACTGAGCCCTGGCTTCACTCCTTTCACTTGTGTGGCCTTAGGCAAGTCTCCCGGCATTTCTGAGTCTTAAGTTTTCTCATCTGCTAAATAGGCCACTTGCCTGGCAGGGCTATGATAAGTCCTCTGGCCTAATGCCTGGCCACAGGAAGACTTCACTCATGCTAGGCTCTTCCCCTGGCTTCTTAGGCACTCGTGGAACAACACAGAAAGAAACCATCCTGATGCTCACGAGGTGGAAGGAGGATGCAAGCTGATGTTTGACAACTGCCAATGCCCTTGCGAGGGTAGAAATATAGACAGAGATTTAAACCAGTTTCTTCTGATTGCAAGTAACAGAGATCCGCAGGCTCCCTCAAGCATCAAAGGGGGATTTATTGGGATAATGGGGAAGGGAAAGATATCTCATGCAAACAACAGGCAGAAGCACCTGCTCTCAGAATAGGATGAGCAAGGGTTTTCGGCCTAGGAGCTACGGATGCTCAAGGGTTGTATGTGGAATTCTGGGGAGCTCTTACACTTGAATGAAAAGCATTGCATCTTTAGTTTTATTAATCTTGAATTGAAATTTAGCATTTCCTCCACTTATGAATATAGACAAAAACCAGAGCAATATTAGCAATACCTGTGAATTTGTCACAAATAGAAATCACAGATATTTCACATCACATGGTTATGACCATTTGTGCCCATCACTGCCTCAAAATGAGCACCTTAGCTCTGATGCTGGATGGTGTCTTCTAGTGGGATGAAAAAAGCAGCACATATGTTACTGTTTCACAAATGTATTTTTAAATATTTTGATAACGGTATCTTACTATAATTGCTTTCCTTGATAATCCTCTTTATTTTATTTTAATTAATTAATTTTTTTTGAGACAGAATCTCACTCTGTCGCCCAGGCTGGAGTGCAGTGGCATGATCTCAGCTCACTGCAACCTCCACCTCCCTGGTTCAAGCCATTCTTCCACCTCAGCCTCCCGAGTAGCTGGGATTGCAGATGCCCGCCACCGCGCCCGGCTAGTTTTTTGTATTTTTGGTAAAGACAGGATTTCACCATGTTGGCCAGACTTGTCTCAAACTCCTGACCTCAGGTGATCTGCCTGCCTTGGCCTCCCAAAGTTTTGGGATTACAGGCGTGAGCCACCATGCCCAGCCCATTTTATTTTATATGTTACCTTTCCCCACCCCCAGAAGAATCCCTAGGCTTACACAGGCTGCTAAAGAACTCATGACATCCAGGAAATTAAGAACCCCTGGGTCATACTCTCTGTCCATGGCTCCACTTGGTAGGTCGAATTCATAGTCTGTTTCTCCTTTTCTTTCTCTGGACTGGCTTATTTTGCTTGTCAGTTTGCACAGTAAACATAATCTCTTGAGAGCTGTGCTAAGCATTTTCTCACATGCCATTCCTGCATCACCGCTGCAAGGTTTTACTCTAAGTAGGTTCCACTCTATTCCTTGGAGGGTCTCCATCAGGACTAAGCCCAGGTGCCACAGTGGTGACCTTGTATTAGCACACCCTCTGTTGGCTTCTCCATCATCCCTATTTCAGATGAGGAACAGTGACCCGGAATAATACATCCACCCCGGGGAGGTGGGTGGGCAGCTGGTGGGATTCACTCCACAGTTGAGACCAGATTGCGTGCATGAACTGTTAAGGCATTTGATGAGTATTCTCTGTCCACAGCCTGAAAAAGGTACTGGCCTCTTGCATTTCTCTTCTAGATAAATCTCCAGGATTCTATCCAAGAGTGGAGAATCCAACATGCACAAAGGAGTTTTTACTGTGTACCTGGCCTTGGATTCAGTGCTAGGACACAGCTGTGCACCAGCCCGGGCTCTTGCCACATGGAACTCCTGACTAGGAAACAGCAACACATATCACATGTATAAGTCATGCAGCACAGCAGACAGAGTGTGGCCAGATCATTTGACTTATGGGTCTGCACACCTTTGCTCCAGCTATTTCCTCCACAGAAAACAGCTGAGGGAGGAGAAGATGAGATAGGGAAGGAGAAGCCAACATGGGGTACGCTAATGCTGGGTCACCACTGTGGCCCCTGGTCTCCACCTGCTCCCCCTCCACAGGAAACAGCAGGTGCATCCTTTCTCCAGCTTCTCCTCTTGGTGAACTTCCACTCCTCCTTCAGGATCCAGCTGGACTTCTTTCTTTTTGGAAATCTTCCCTAACTCTTCACCCCTGTCCCCATGTCCCCATGTCCCCATGCAACATTAGTGGCAGGGACTTCTCCTCCGTTCTGCTGGCATCCGGGCTCTTCTCTGCCATAACGTTTCGCTCACAGCATTATCTCTTAATTTATCTCTCTCACCTGGAAGAAAGAACCTCTTTATATTTCTCTGTTCAGAACCAGGTCTGCCACAGATAAGGCATTCAGGAAGTATCAGTTGGTTGAATCAAATGACTAATTAATGTTTTGGCCCTGTGGAATGGATTCCCAGTGTGTGCACAGTCACCGGAATGCAGCAGGTCTAGCTGACGGAATGTGCTGACTGCACAGTTCTTCCTCCGTGCCCCAGCATCTCCTCCACCCTAGCTGTGTACCAGGCAGGGATGGCTTGCATGTGAAGGATAACTCAAGGGATGGCTCTCCTTTTGTCCTCACTCAGCTCATGTTCCACAAACCCAAGGCAGGCAATCATTGATGCCCGGGTGTCATCCCTGGGCTCCTCTGAACTCTCCTGTGGCCATGGTGGACAATTCCAGAAGAGTCCACTTCTCTGCCTGGGGCCTTTTGGGGTGCCCTGAGACCTGGCCTGTTTATTTGCAGGACAGCTGGGAAGTCCAGGGATTTAACATCCCCCAGTGAAAGACAGGAGTTGGTGGATGAATATCCCAACTTCCTCATGGCTTGTTGGAACAACTCTAGGTGGATTCCTCTCTATTCCTTGGCGGGTCCCCAGCAGGACTGAGCCCAAGTGCCACAGTGGTGGCCCAGCACTAGTGTACCCTCTGTTGGGCTTCTCCTTCCCTATCTCATGCTCTCCTCCCTCAGCCAGCTTCCCTGGACCACCTCCCAAACACAGCATCTGCTGGCCCTATCTCACTCCTGCTTCCAGGGGAACCCAACCAAGCCACCCTCCTGAACTGTTCTGTGTCAATGAATGAGTGTCTCTCAATGAGTGTAAGCTGGAGGGAAACAGGACTCTCTGGCCCCTGCACACAGGGCCTCCCATCCACAGGCTGCCCCTTGATTGCTTTTGCACACCTTTAAAGATGGGGTTTGTTTCTCTCCCATCATGTACTCCTCAGCAGAGTGGAGTATGCTGTGGTCTGTCTCCTTCTGAAATGCCTAGAAGTCCAGCAGGTCTGAAGGCCTCTCACAGGTCCATGAGGACAAGAGGCAAAAGCCTGGGTGGAGGTTCCAATTTGGGGTGAGTCCCTTCTCCTCCCTGGGTCCCTTCTCCTCCCTGGGTCTTAGTGCCCCATTTGTGAATGAACGAACAGACCAGAGGGTCTCTCTCTCTCCCCCTCAGGTCCCTCGGGGTGTACCACAGAGTGTATCTGTTACTTAATTGACTGGTTTGAACCCCAGTTTCCTAATCAATAAAATAGGAATAATAACTGTTGCTTTGCAGGGGGATTATGCGGAAAACGCCTGGTTCTGGCTTCCTCCACTTGTGCCCTCCCCTCACTCACTCTGCCTTGGGCTCTGCGCTTCTGCAAGCATGGTCACCTGTGGCTGCACACGCAGGGCCTCTGTGCTGCTGGTTCCCTCTGCTGAGAGCACCTTCCCTGATAGCCATGGGGCTCACCTCCTGATGGGGGCTGCATTGTGTCCCTTCGCAAATGATACATTGACGTCCTAATCCCTGGTGTCTATGAATGCAACCTCATCTGGAAATAGGGTCTTTGCAGACATAACCAAGTTAAAAGGTGGTCATACTGGAGTAGGGTGGTGTCTTAGTCCATGTTGCGTTGGCATAAAGGAATACCTGAGGCTGGGTAATTTATTAAGAGGTTTATTTGGCTGAGGATTCTGCAGACTGTACAAGAAGGATGGCATTGGCACTTGCTTCTGGTGAGGACCTCAGGAAGCATCCAATCTTGGCAGAAGGTGAAGTAGGAGTGGGCGTGCCACATGGCAAGAGACGGGGCAAGAGAGAGATGCTGGGTTCCTTTAAATAACCAGCTTTCACATGAGCTAATAGAATGCAAATTCACTCATCACCAAGGGAATGGCACTGAGCCATAGGTGAGGGATCCACCCCCATGAGCCAGTCACCTCCCACCAGGCCCCACCTCCAATACTGGGGATCACATTTCAGCATAAGGCTTGGAGGGGACACACATGAAACCGTATCGGGTGGTGCCCTTATAAGAAGGCTATGTGGAGACTCAGGGACACAGAGACACACCATGGGAAGGAGGAGGCTGAGATTGACAGCAACCACCAGAACTGAGGGAGAGCCTGGAGCAGGTTCCCCCGCAGTCTGCAGAAGAAATCCGCTCTGCTGCCACCCGGCCTCCAGAATGGGGAGGAAGAGAATCTGTGATGTCTGAAGGTGTCCGGTGTGGCCCTGTGATGCAGCAGCCCCGGGAACCGAGCACAGCCCCCCATTGCCTCCTGAAGCAGGCCCGCTGGACCATCTCTTCCCACTGCAGGCCACCCCCACTCTTCTCCCAGGCCTCCCAATCCCCCTATGCCACTGTCATTTCTCTCCCCTCCTGGAGCCAGGATAGATTCCATAATTGGCAGGGCCCCAGGCAAAATGAAAATACAGAGTCCCCTGTTCAAACATGATTTAGAATTTCAAGATAGAGACAGCAGAGCATTAAGCCAACCTGGGGTCCCTTCTATGCATGGGGCCTGGTGCAACTGCTCAGGTTACATGCCAGGAACACTCGATACATCATATGCAGCTTCTTATTTTTTGATGTTGTGTGTTGGGTCTTGTCTGTTTCATTCCACAAGAATATAAACTCCTCACAGACAGACACCCCCTAATCCTTCAGATCAGCTCCAGGTATAGGGTAGGTGCTCAACAAAAGTGGGTTAACGGTTGGCATATTGGGAAGCAGGTTATAGTTGGGCATTGCTCTCATCCTTGGCCAGGGTCCGGATTAGAGCCCAGGTCTGCCTGTCTCCAAGCCTGAGCCCTCTCCCTTCTATCAGCACAGTGCAGAGCTTCAAGCAGGCACGTCATAAACACTTGCTGATCGTGATTAAAGCATAGCACAACTTAGCATCTCCAGCTTCAGCATCCTCATCTAGAAAAATGGGGTAATCATGACACACACCTCTTGAAACTGTTTGATAAGTAAACAATACAATACATGGAAGCACTCAGGACAGTACCTGGAGACCAGCTGCCTCTTCTCACTGGCATCTGGACAGATCTGTGCCTGTGAGTGTCCCCAGGGACAGAACAGGGTAGGGAAGGGTAGCGGTTGTGGGAGGGGCGTGGTAGTGAATCTCTTCCCAGTGTTTGGAGGGTGATTAAAAGAGGAAAAAAAGGGAGAGGACAGCATGTCACACAAGTGAATACAATGTCTAGGCATGTGTCCCCGGGCAGATGCGCCAGCCGTGAGCCTGTGAGTCGCATCTGATGACAACCAAGAGGTGGCTCCACTCCCTGGCCCTGCAGGAGCCTCTGTTATGACTTAGAGGACATGTTTTGAAGACTCCACCAAAAAGCCGAATAATTGATTTTGAAATATTTGAATTCTGGAACATGAAACCTATGAAGCTTTCATGTACCTTCCTCTCCTCCATAACCACATGGAGCTTATTTCAAACTCCAGAAATAACAAAAAGAACCCGGGGGGACCACCCTCTTAGAATAACTCCCCATGGGTGATGAAAGGAAGGCATATCAAATTCACTTTAGGAGAGAAGGGATTCTGAGAAATGGATTTTCACGATGTCCAAATGGAGCTGGCCTATAGATTTTCCTCTGGATTATACTGGCCTGCTTTGCCTTCAGATGAGCACAGATGGTCACATTCATGAACTGGGGTTGCTGAAAACACATTTTTAAGGGGGCTCGACATGTGTTAAAACAACCAGAAGTTCTTGAACAAAATTACTGGTCAGCCAAACTGGTTTTTTGTTTTTGTTTGTTTGTTTGTTTGTTTTTGAAGTAACAGGCTATATGTTTTAGAGCAGTTTTAGGTTTTTAGGAAAATTGAATGGAAAATACAGAGCTCCCGTGGCCCCTCCCCTCCATTCCCAAAAGTTCTTATTATCAGTGTCCTGCATTCACTTGATGCATTTGTTACAACTGACGAGAGCCAATATGCCTACTTTATTATAACTTAAAGTCCACAGTTTACATTGGGGTTTATTCTTTGTGTTGTGCATTCTATAGGTGTGGACAGATGTATAATGATACTGATCCCCCGTGAGAGTGTCATACAGAATCATTTCACTGTCTTAAGACTCTCCAGGGCACCATCTGCTCATCCCTCCCTCTCCTCATCCCCAACTGCCGGGAACCACTGATCTTTCTACTGCTTCCGTAGTTTTGCTTGAAGTTTTGCCCTGCATGGCTTATTGTACCTTGGGATATAAGCCAATAATAGTAGGACATGTAATGAATTTATAAAGAAAATAATCAATATATATTAATGGCGCAAATTTGTTTTACTAAATGAGGACCAGATCCAAAAAAACATGGAGACTACTGTCCTAGAGATGAACTGATAACTAAACTACTTTCTATAAGGGTCTACAAGCTATTTTACAATTTGAAATAAAAAGTTCATATTTTAAAGATATTATGTTCTAAATAAGAAGTTAGAATATTTTACCACAGAGGGATGAATTTTTGAATTTGCAAAGTGTCTTTGCCTCCGTTTTCTCATTTTACTCCTTTGTGGAATGAGAAAGCAAGGTGTTTTTTATCTCTTTAGTGGCAATATTTAAGTGACTTTCTTGGCCTGTCTCCCTTTCTTCCTCTCCCTCTCTTTCTCTTTCTCTTGTAGTGATATGTGCAATAACAGAAGTTTTTTTTCCATTGACCTCAGCTTATCTTATGACTCTCCCAGTTTTTTCATTGGGGATAAACGTGTTTTTGCCAATTCCAGATAACTCAGTCACTCCTAGTTTAAAACACAGCCTCTGTGGGGCCCAGTGCATGTGGCCCAAATTCTGGATTCTCATCTTCCTGCCAAATCCTTTTCCCACCGCTTGGGGGTAATATAAGTTCCAAGGCTGCTATATTATCCATATGAGTATTGCATTGTCAATGAATCTTCCACGTCCAGAACCGTATCTTGTACTCAGTAAACACTGAACAATGAACTCAGTAAACATTGAACACCTTTCTCTTAGGAATTGGCCTGGATAGTTAGAGTTTAGAAGTCCCAAACTGAACTCACGTCTTCCTCCCATGATCCCTGGGCCAGTGCTCCTTCTCCAGGGCTCCGCATCTGAGATGTGACACCATCTACCCAGTTGTTCAAGCCAGAAACTGGATCATACTGGAGTTAGCCCCTGGGTCCCTGATATATCTTGGCTTTCATTGCCTATGTGCAAAATCTATGGGCTATACAATAACAACTCTCATTGGTAATCAGTCCATAGAACAGTAGGGACAATTGGTGCAGACTAATGTTTTTCAGTTTTGCAAATCTGCCTTTGTAAACATCCATGTTTAGTATAGACTTCCTTGTGGGCCACTGGAGCCCTACTGGCTAGTGCTTACCTTGGCCATGCCTGAGTAGACAGGGAGGAAAGAAGAGGAAACTTTAGATGAGTGTCCCAACTCTTTTCCCCAATTTTAAAGATGACTATCCTATCCTTCAAACAAGTTCTGTCCCCTAGGGCAGTGATCCCCAACTTTTTTGGCATCAGGGACTGGTTTCATGAGAGAGAATTTTTCTACAGACCAAGGAAGACTGGTTTCGGGATAAAACTGTTCCACCTCAGATCATCAGGCATTAGATTCTCAAAAGGAGCTTGGACCCTAGGTCCCTCACGTGCACAGTTCACAATGGGGTTTGTGCACCTATGAGAATCTAATACTGCTACTGATCTGACAGGGGGCATAGCTCAGGCAGTAATGCTCACTGGCCCGCTGATCACTGCCTGCTCTGCAGCCCAGCTCCTGACAGGCCAGGGACTGGCATCAGTCTGCAGTTCAGAGGATGGGGACCCCTACTCTAGGGCTCAGAGAAGAAGCTGCTATAGAGGTGGGAGCACATGTTGTGCTGGTTTTCTTGCTTCTCTGCTACAGGGACTGTTGTTTGGAAGACTGGGGCTATGCTGTCCTGGACACAGCTGCCCCGGTACTACTGGCCATAAGGTTCTCCCTTTCCACTCCATTTCCCTCTCTCTGGGAGCTTGTAAGATGTGTGGGGCATGGCATTTTGAAGATATACATTTATATGGAAAATGGATCTTAGAAATCTTCCAGTTTTAGTCCTTCCTGAGTCTGTGAGAAAAGAACTCCCCAAGCTCCTAGAAAATAAACATTCTGGGTTTCAAGAAATGTGCGTCAGACACAGGTGAGGGGAGCCGTGGTAGCCAGGGTAGAGGCTCAAGACCTCACACAAATGTCCCTCTGTGACTCTTCCTTTCTCAGGCTAATCCCATGAACCCCCTTTTGGATCTGGGATGCAGAAACTGGTGCAGCTCCTCGGGGGGCTGAGGACCCTTGACAGAGGAGTCACACTTAGCAGCCTGGAGTCAGTGTGTGTTGGGAGGGCAGTGTTTGCATAGAAACCCTGCAATGGTTGAGGACTTGGTGGCCAGGCAAACTTGTTTCCAAGTGCTTCTTTTGGTGAAGCGTTCTGCCTTGTAGCTTTATGGCCTTTTAAAAGAATCTGTTTCATATTTTTTAATGGTAGGCTTCGGGCCAGCATTATCATCTCTACCTTACCAATGTGGAAAATGCAGATAAGGAAATGCCAAGATGTTAAATGAGTTGTCCAAGATTTTGTAGCCAATGGCGGTAGAGCCAGGATCAGCATCTGGGCCTTGTAAACGCTCTGATTGTGAAGGTGTTACCCATATTGGACCGTGTCAGGGCCTCCATCTCTCCAGAGCAGCTGTTTGCCCCTGGCTGAACCCTGAGGAGGTATCTGCAGAACCAGAGGCAGATGGACCATCAGACTTGGAAGGGACTTTAGAGCAGCCTCTTGTTTTTAATGAGACTTAGAAAGATGAGTGACCTTCCTCATGTCCTATATCTAGTTCATGGCAGACTGATCCCAAAGATTTGGAACACAGTCAGAACACCATCCAACTGCTTTCCCATAAGAACCAGATGGAGTCAACTCGAGTTCCTCATAAACTTCATTCAAATACAAAAAAGGCAGAACAGAGAAAATTATTACTTTTCCCATCTGGAAAAAGCATGGCAATTAGGATTTCTGGGCCTCTATCCATTTATCATAAAGAGATGAGGAGGGAACAATATGATAAATAATAGATATTATCAAACTTTCATTTTAGTATCATGGTTGACTTCTGCTGGAAGTTAATAGCTTGGCATTGCTAAGCACACTCCCTAGAAGCCGTTTTTTTTCTTGGCTGATCAATCCAAAAATGGTTTTAAAAGTTTGGAGTGTAGTCTGGTCCTAAGTTAGCTAAGATGGGCTGAGGATTAAGGCACAAATCCAATTTTTCTTTTCTATTAAGAAATAACACTTGTATTAAAACATTATTACAGATTATAAGGGGCATATTAACTTTGCCACTAACCGGTTATGTGACCTTGGAGAAGCAACTCACCTTGGTGTTCTCATTGTGCATGTAAAACACCCACCTCCCAGGGTGAGCGGAGAATTCAATCAGGTGAGAAAATTTATGCAAAGTGCTTTTAGCAGGCCCAAAGCTGATCTGTCTGTGATGGCTTCTGGTTACTAGAAGCTAATCTGGGATTCTTGGCTCCTAAGAGGTGGGCAATTCATCTCAGAGCAGATCATCTTTGTCCAGGAAAGAATCCTTTGGCAGCCTCTCTTGGTTTGTCAGTGCAGTATAAGGCAAATAGACCTTCATTTTTAGACAATGGTGTGGAAGTTACCATCTTGCATACAAAGCCCAGGGACCCAGTCTACTGTCAGGAAAGATGGAGGTCACCTGGTTATGATCTGCAGGTAGAGAAAGCATCAAAGACTGAAGGAGAACTTGTGTGACAGTCAGGAGAGTCAGACTGAAGTCTCAATATAGGGATAGAGGGTTCTTCAGAGACACAGCACCAATAGGATGTGTGCGTGTGTGTGTGTGTGTGTGTGTGCGTGTGTGCATGCAGAGAGAGAGAGAGAGAGATTTATTTTGAAGAACTAACTGACACAATCACAATTATGGAGGCTGGCAAATCCAAAATCTGCTGGGTGGGCCTGCAGGCTGGAGACCCAGGGAAGAGCCAATGTTGCAGTTTGAATCTGAAGACCATCTGCTGTCACTACTCCCTCTTGCTTAGTGGGGAGGTTAATTTTGTGTTCTATTCAGGCCTTCAACTGATTGGACGAGGCTCACTCTCATTATAGATGGCAACATGCTTTACTCAAAGTCCACCAACTTAGATGTCAACATCATCCCCAAACACCCTCATAGGAACATCCAGAAAAACGTTTGACCAAATATCTGGGTACTATGGCCCAGCCAAGCTGTTGTGTAAAATGAACCATCACAGAGTGTTCACAGGGAAGGAGCTGGTTTGGGCAGAAGTTGAGATCTATTCAGAAAATTATTTTGGACCCAGTCACCCTTGCAAATGGTGTGTTTGAGGGAACAACAGCTAAGCAAAAGATATGGGAATGTGAACTGCAAGATTTGTATTGTTGATGCCTAGAGTGAGACAGCATGGTAGCCTCCATAAGTAGGTGCAGCCCAGCAGCAGGAGCAAGTGTGTTAGGCAAGCTGCACAGAGTTTGTCTTCAACAGTGACACCTGTGGCCATGCAAGGCAATGACAGCAGTAAATAGATCAGACTCCGCTTCTCCAAGTGAACCTCAGAAGCAGGAATGACCCCTTCTAGACTGAGCAAGCCTCTAAGTATTTCAAACGATTATGATACAGGTGCAGGGTGGGTTCAGGTGTGTGGAAAGGTGACCTCAGAGGGAAAAGAGCTTCTGCTAGTTGGACACAAAAGCCTTTGGTGATTGACTGGCAAAGTTCAGAGGTGTCCACTGTGCCCGGAGTTGGTAAAACAAAGAATACAGGTTGCTACATAAAAATTAATAAGGGATGACTTCCTCCCCTCACTTTCCAGCATGCATAAAAATAGCAGAAGCTTTAGCAGAGTCCCCCATGCTGTAGGTGACAGAGCTTCAGCAGTGACTTCTTCTTGTTTCCCTTCTGGCTTTTCCCAGGAGGCAGCTTAGGTTTGAAGCAGCATTTCACTTTCCATCTCTAAACAAGTACCATATGTTTACAACTTTGGGAGTTCTCACTCCTCTTTCTGGAGTCAAGGGTGTTCCCTGGGTGGTGAGGGAAAGGGTGTGTGCTTTGGAAGGTCGGGAAGGTGACATTTATCAAGTGCCTGCCATGTGTCAGGACAGAGCTGGCTGGATGTTTAACCTCTATTATATCTTGATGTGTTTTTGATGTGTGCCCCACCCAAATCTCGTGTCGAATTGTAATCTCTAGTGTTGAAGGTGGGCCCTGGTGGGAGGTGACTGGATCACGGGGGTGGATTCTTCATGAATGCCTTAGCGCCGTCCCCTTGGTGCTGTTCTCATGATAGTGAGTGAGTTATCACAAGATCTGGTTGTTTAAAAGCATGCAGCACATCTTCCCTCTCCTCCTCCTGTTCCAGCCACATGAAGACACCTGCTTCTGGTTTGCCTTCCACCATGAGTACAAGTTCCTTGAGGCCTCCCCAGAAGCAGAATCACCATGCTTCCTGTACAGCCTGCAGAACCATGAGACAGTTAAACCTCTTTTCTTTATAAATTACCCAGTCTCACGTATTTTTATAGCAATATGAGAACAGACCAATACATATCTACATATCCTCAAACCACCCGAGGAAGTGGGTCCTCATGACCTATTTTACATGGGGAATTTATAAATTACCCAGTCTCAGGTATTTTTTATAGCAATATGAGAACAGACTAATACATATATACAAATCCTCAAACCACCCGAGGAAGTGGGTCCTGATGCCGTATTATATATGGGGAAGCTGAGGCACAGAGAACTTCAGTAACACATTCATGGTCACCAACCCCACAAGCATCCATCAGAACCTGGAAAGGAGATGATTTTCTGCACCGAAGCTAACCTGGAAATGTATGAATTCTGTGGATACTTTCTTAGGAACCATGGGAATGCTCTCATCCCCCAGAAAGAACCCCTTGGCATGCAGACAAGAGTCTTTCCACCACAACAATTTGCTTTCAGGATTCCTTCTCTGAGGCCAGTGGAGGAACATGGGTAGGATTATTTTTCATGGCTCAGTTACCCAGCAATCTGCAATTGCAAGATGGTGGGAAGGACTCCTCTTACTCTGTGGTAACCTAGAGCAAATCCTGGGCATCTCTCTGAGGACTGGGCTTAGTGACAGGTAATGGGCTTTTCCCACCTCCCCCTCCTGTGCTGTAGAACCTGCAAGTGTACCCTATAACAGATTTCATCACAGAGAATCATATAAAAATAGCAAAACCACTTATGAGCCTGTTTTGGAAAGGAAATAACTTATAGTTTGGGAAAGGTTCCTTATATTAAAATTACCAAGCTGCTTCCTTCCCATAATTTTTTCAAATTTAAATAATTTTATCTCCAAATAAGAAAATCTTGCAGGCATGAGGTAATACTTGCCTAGGATTTGAGGTTAGATGTTCTTGATTAAAAGTCTGATGTACTCTGTACAAGACTGGGCAAGTCAGTGAATTTCTCTCAGCCTCAGTTTCCTCATTTCTGAAAGGGACTGTAATGTCTGTGCCTGGTTGCTGTGAAAGCCAATTGCATTTGGGGAGGTGAAAAGTCCATAAATTGTCAAGAGCTGAACTCATGTGAGGTATTATTATTATTCATAGTAACAATATATAGATCTTAGGATATCATAAGGGAAGTTTTGCCCTTCTGGGGACTGGCTGAGTAGATCACAAAATACATGGCAAAAGGCCGTACGAATTCCTCAATAAAGGGTTCAGAATCAGCACCGAAGGGCACTGGCCAGAACTGAGCTCCTTTTCCCCCTGTGGCTCTGAGCTGGCATGGGTAGGGGCTGGGGTGGCTGAGGCTCCTGCCCCCAATCACCCGGGGCAGCTTTGCAAATTGGGTGGGATGTCATGGCTTGCCACAGAAGTGGGGGTGCTGGGGTTAGGCGCAGGGTCTCTGGAGTCCACCTCCCTGGATTCAAAGCCTGACCCTGCTATTTTCTAGCATTGAGGCTTTGGGCAGTTGATTTTTACTTCCTGGCTCCTCATCAGCAAAATGAGGATATGAGCAAAATGAGCAATGGTAATAATAGAATATTCCTCATAGGGTCACCATGAGGATGAAGAGCTTCAATAAGCACAGTGGGCACTGCCCATTGTGGCACAGAGGCAGTGTGGAGAGTGCTGTATTTCACGCAGCCGTTTCTCTAAGTGTCCATATCCAGCATGGCTCCTGGCTGCTGCCAGTCACTCTGTAGCTCCTGTCCACTCCCCACCCTCAGTGCCAGGCCCTTTCCTCTGTGACAATCTGGGAAGCAGCAGGGTAGAGTCCACCCTTCCCTGATCCCCCTGCCTGGGAAGCATCCCCCAGTGTACACAGGCTTGTGTAGAGCTCTTACGTGGGGCAGGGCAATCCCTTGGGGTCACAGAGGATTACGTCCCGTTAGGGGTGACACTCAAGACCGGGTTCCACTTGGGTTTTCCCTTGCGTTGCTCAGGGCTTGAGCCTTCTGCAAGGGGACCCCCGCCCTACCCCTGTCTCATTGCCCTGTCTAAGCCCCATCCAGTTCCCTCTCCAAGCCTCTCAGTGTGAAACTTTACCCCTTTTTCTGGGAATGGATTAATGGTGCAGCAAGGGAGTCATCCATGGGTATCCTGAGCTCGGCAGTTGGGAGATGTGCAGCAGCCCCAACCTGGGTGGGCGCTGGTGCTCTTTTCCGCTCATGAATCATCTGAGCTCAACATTGGCTAACGTGCCCTACTGGAACCTGAGCTCCCACCTCAATCCCCACCCCACCCCCAGAACCAGCGGCAGGCTGGCAGCCCCTCTTCCTGTGATCCATCTTTCAGAGATGTGTGCGGCTTGGCCTTGATGACCCCATGGTCTATTTCCATCTCGAGAAAAGATGATTTTCCCTGTCGGTAAGGCTAGGACCCTGCCCTTGGAAACAGTGGGGCCTATTATGCCCATGAGGAGCAACTGAGTTAGCAATTGAGTTAGGGACTTCTCTGAGCATGTTACAAAGACCAGAATCTCCCTCTGCTGGTGCTGGCTTTTGGGGACGTGCAGGCAAATCATGAAATCTGACTCCCATTTTCATGCTCCTGCCTTCTCTTAGGGGCTTACCTTGGAGAATGGCACCACCGTCTCATCAGTTACTCAAGCCATGAACCTGCTGCCATATTTGAGTCTTTCCCCTCCCTCGGAGCCTACATCCGACTGCTCAGTGGTGTCTCGTGTCGTCCTTATTTTGTCACTTGACAAGCATTGGCTGAGTCCCTGCTGTGTGCCCTGCACTGCACTGGACATTCAGAGTACAACACAGTCCCTATAATCAGGCTCTTGCAATCCCGAGGGATCAAGATGCAAAGATCGTTGAGTCCATCAGCCCTACACCCTGCATCTCCTGCTATGGGAGCAGAGTGGGAAGGACACCAAGGCTTACAGAGGCTGTGCGCAATCACGTGGCGTCAGCAGCAGAGCCCCGTGCCCAGGCACCTGGAAATTGCATCCATCCCTGGACTGTGGTGGGTCCATGGGGCTCAGGGTGGGGATGGGGCTCCTTCCCGGACTTCACAGGGGTGGGCTCAGCCACCCCCGTGGGCTGTTTCAGCTCCAGCATTCTCTGGGCCAAGATTAAACGTTAATTTGTAATGGGGTCTGCTGAAGGTATCTTCGGTTGCAGCCTCGAGGCAGATTACTCCGGAATCTCAGTGGAATGAATCAGAGGCCTGCTTTTGGCAGTAAGCATCTGAAGCTTAACCAGGGAAAGATGACAATTTATGCTGCGTCGAAGAGGACGATAGCTTTCTTGTTTTACTGCCAGAAGAACACCATGGGGTAGGGATCTGAAGATGGAAAACCAACGCTGTGTCGGCTGGAAAACTTTTGTTTTTATTTATGAGACTGATTTGTATATGTTAAGGCCAATTGGTAGAAATTGGCCCATTTGCAAATTGGCAGACAGAGAAAAATCTTGATTTAGGACTAAAAGCAACGAAGCTAAGACAATAAAAAGAGAATCATGTTCATTAAGTTAAAAAAGCAGACTCCTATTCAAGCTTTTTTTCCCTTAAATTCTTAACTTCTCTAATTGCAAATGAGTTTGAGATAGTTTACAGAGACGCAATATAATAGGATAAAAATAAATAGATTAAGAAATCAGGACAAAGGGAAAATAAAGAAAGGATAATAGAATAAAGCCAGAGAAAGATAATAAACAGAACTATATATGATACTCTTGGGAACATTAAAAATAATATTTAAAAAACTTTTAAATTGAGGTATAACGTGCATATAAGTAAGAAAGTCTTAAGTGTTTAGCTAGCTCAATGAAGCTTGTGGCCCAAAATTACCTGAGACAGGTCTCAACCAACTTAGAAAGTTTATTTTGCCAAGGTTAACAGCCTCAGGAGGTCCTGACGACATGTGTCCATGATGGTCCGGGTACGGCTTGCTTTTATACATTTTAGGGAGACATAATACATCAATCAATACATGTAAGATTTACATTGGTTTGATCTGGAAGGAGGGTACAATTTCAACTGGGATGGGGGGCACTTCCTGGTCATAGGTAGATTTAAAATGTTTCTACCTGGCAATTGGTTGAAAGAGTTACTATCAATAGAAAGGAATGTGTGGGTTATACTAAGGGGTTGCGAAGGCCAAGGCTTTATCATGCAGCTGAAGCCTCCAAGTAGCAGGCTTCAGAGAGAAGAGTTTGTAAATGTTTCTTGTCAGACCTAAGGTCTGTGTTGATGATAATGCTGGAGGGTAGATGAGGCAGGTCCGATCCTCTCTTCCATCGTGTCCTGAACTCGTTTTTCAGGTTGACTCTGGAATGGCCTTGGCCAAGAGGAGGGGTCCCCATTCACATGGTTGATGGGAGGCCTTAGAATTTTAGTTTTGGTTTACAGGTTTTACATGTGTGGCCAACAGGTGACCACCACCAATAAAGATATAGAACCCTTGTAGATTCTATTAGGCTTCCCCTTCTCATCAGCACCTCAGAAGAGGTGGCCACTACTCCAACTTTTCTCACCATATATTAGTTCTGCCTGCTCTTAAGCCTTCATGTAAATTGGATTACATGGTAAATACTCCTTTGTATCTATCTCCCTTCACTATTACATCTGTGAGTTTCACTCACGTTATTGTAGGCAGCTGTACCCTCCTCTCCCTCACTGCTGCATAGTACTCTTTATATCTCATGTGAAGGACTTATCCATTCTACTGGTGAGGGAAATGTGGGCCATTTCTACTTTTTGGCTTTATACATGAAGGTGCTGTGAACATTCTTAGGCATGTGGTATGGTTTGGATCTACGTCCCCACCCAAATCTCATGTTCAATTGTAATGCCCAGTGTTGGAGATGGGGCCTGGTGGAAGGTGATTAGATCATGGGGGTAGAGTTCTCATGAATGGTTTGGCACCATCCCCCACTTGGTACTGTATAGTGAGTGAGTTCTCACTGGGATCTGGTTGTAAAAGTGTGTGGCACCTCCCCCCACCTAATCCCCCACTTTTCTCCTGCTCTGGTAATGTAAAGTGCTGGCTTCCCCTTCACCTTCCACCATGATTGTAAGTTTCCTGAGGTCTTCCCAGAAGCAGATGCTGCCATGTTGCCTGTACAGACTGCAGAACTATGAGCCAATTAAATCTCTTTTATTTGTAAATTACCCAGTTTCAGATATTTCTTTATAGCAATGTGAGAAGAGGCTAATATAGTATGACTCTTGGGGGGACATAAACACTCATTTCTGCTGGGTATATATACCCAGGAGTTGGGTTGCTGGGTCATATTGTATGTGAATGGTTAGCTTTAGTAGAAAATGCCAAGCATCTTTCCTACATACAGTACAGGCATACCTCACTTTATTGTGCTTTGTGATACAGTAGTTGTACCATTTTAGACTTCTATCAGCAGCACACAAGAGTTCCTGTTGTTTCATATTCTTGTCAACACTTGATGTTGTCAGTCTTTAATTTCAGCCATTCCCATGGGGGCATGGTGGTTCTAGAAGACTTTTTCCCCCTTTTCAGCAATCATTTCCCCTTCTTTGGATGAAAGCATTGATTTTCAATAGAATCCATCATTCGCTAGCCCTGAGGGGGATCACATGACCCAGATCTAAGACTGGGCATCACTTTGCCCTAACATAGTAATTGGTGTGGTTTGAGCCACTTAGGTAGATGCCTGAGCTGGTCCAATAAGAGTGAATCTCCAGCCTTTTGCCAGAATTTAGGTAGCTATTCTGTAGCTCTGAGGGGAGAATTGGTCTAAGAACAGAGTTAACATGAGAGAGTGAGCCAAGAAGACAGAAGCAAAAGCAGCTTGCCAATACTGTTTGACCTCCGTGGTTGTGTCTGGAACTACATCTACCCCTAAAGGCTATATTTTCTCTTTTATGCTTCAGCCAGGTTGAATCAGGTTTTCAATTATTTGTCATCCAAAGAGTACTATTCAATGTCCATCAAGTCCTAAAAGCCCACTTCAGCATTATTCTGAATACAAGAGGCTTCCTCACTTGTGAATCTTTTCTCCACTTTCAGAGCCTCTGCAGGGGCTATGCCCTCCCCAGAGAATGCTCTTGCTCTCGCAAGCCTGGATCCTTCCCATTCTTTAGGGAAGAAATGTCCCCTCCTCCAATATTCTCTAGCATAGTTCCCTCCTCTTATTTCTGCAAGGCACTTGTGCTGTTCTTTCACAATTTCTCATTTGTTTATTGGTTATTGATGGAATTTTGCCATCTCTCTGTGATTTTCATGAGGTCAGACACAATCTCTATTTTGTTCTCACCAGAAACCTTGTGCCTAGCAGAGTGCCTGGCCCATCAAGGCATACAATAAATGTTTGTTGAATGAATGAACAATGAATGAATATAACTGTGTCTTAACCTTGGTCTGGGCTCACATCGACCTGGCCTGGAATGACCCAGCTGTCAGGTTAGTTCCCCTGGGCCCATCCCACACATCTGAGTTTGGATTCTCCCAGAAGCAGAACCTGGGACAGACTTGAGAGGAGGTGGGAAGTGAGATAGGGAAGGGGAGCCAGGCAACCAAGAATGTGTTAGAAAGCAGGTGTGGCTCATGCCTGCAGGGAGCTCTGAGAACAAGTGTAGTCAGGCAACCCAGACTTATTTCACCCAAGGGAGAGGGAGCTGTGGTATTTATACCCCAACTACCCCACATCAGCGACTAAGGGCTATTTACTGGGAGGTATGGATTCCTGACACTTCTAGCTTTGCCTGTGGTGGCCAGAGAAAGCTATCAGGCAGGAAAATACAGGGGCAGCCGGTGGGAAATGGGGCAGCATGCTTTGCGAGGTAAGGGTGAGGGGATAAAGGTGTGACCCCCGTAGCATCTGAACCATAGCCTTATTGAGGTTCTTGCCATTACCTGCTGTCCTGGGGAAGCTACTCTGAAGGGCAGAGCACCTGCTCTGTACCTAGTCTGAACCTACCACCTCCTTTGTTGCTGTGTGGCTTTACCCAATTCTCTTTACTGGGATGGGCTTCAATTCCCTCACCTATGAAATGCAGATAGCAGGCCACACCTGCAGTGTTGCTGGCAGTACTTCAGGCATGGATAGCTGCTCAGCACCTGGCAAAGGTTCTGGCCATAGCAATTGTTCACAGCTCAGTTTCCTACCTCTCTGCCCAAGGGCTGTTCCTTCTAGCAGGCTTGCACTCTACTTGTCCTCAAGGACAAGGTGCAAAACAGAAGCTCAGTGTGACAAGTCTGAAGTGAGGGTTGTTTAAAGTGCCAGTGGCTCCTGAGCATCCCATCTCTAGGCTCTTGTAATTGTGCTTACTGGAGGACATACCTTTCCCACTGACGTGCACTGGGGGCCCACGGCCGGGGATGGCCACTAGCCAAGAGAGGATTAGACCATTTTTGAGAAGTCTTAAGCAAACAAATAAATAACTATCCCCACCACTCCCCTGCCATGTGGGTGGAGAATGCCTTCTCAGTTTAATTTCCAACAGCTCCTCTTTGTGGGCCGACCAGCCACAGGCCACATTTTTTGGGGCACAGGACCCTGAATAGACTTCCCTTTGGATCCCAGCAGAAGACTTCGCCTGGGGGACTTTTCCCATTGCCAGGAAGGATAAAATTGCCATGACTCGACCCAGAGCTCAAGCCCTTGACAGTTCTCAAAACCCTTTTTCGTCCAGCTTCTCTTTTGATTTTTGAAATCAGCCCTACTGTGAGCAGGCCAGAGTGGCCTCATTATATCAACTTTGACAAAGATCAAGGGAAGCCCGGAGAGGGAGAGCTACCTGTCTAGCATCACACAGCAAGAGCCAGAGTAGGGACCTTGCCTGCTGGCTCCTGCTGGGGACACTTTCCCCAGCATGGCCCTCTGCACCCCAATATGAAACCCCCCAAGTTCCGGAAGGGAAGCGACGCCAGGCCCTTCCTGCCTTTTAAAGAGACTTCTCTTCTTCTCTCCACCCCCTTCTTCTTTAGTAAGTAGAACCATTAGTTTTTATTGACGGGACTAATGCTTTTCATTTAGGGCCAATTACAATAGGAAGGGAGACGCTTAAGGGTAACTGGGTGATGAAAGGCCCCCATTAGGGAACAAGCTCAGGAGCTGCTGTTTCCCATTTGTAATGCTGGTTCCACATGCGAGTCATATTTAAGCCATAAACGGTGGCGCCCAGGGAGCACTCGTGGATTGCCTTGAGAAACCCGATACTTTTATCAAATCTCCAGATGGCTGTGTATTTGAGAAACCATTTATTTAATTTATTTTTTCCCCTTAGAGATGCTTAGATTCTCAGAAGCTGGCTCCACCTAACCCCATGGACCTTCCAGTAACATCTATGCTCCTGCTTGAAATAATTGCCCTCTGGGTTTTACTGGCACCCCAGTGGCTGCTTGTAAACTCTTGCTCATTTTTTTTTTTCCTTTGCTTTTTGCAATTTTGCTCCGTAGGGGAGAAAATAAAGATGTGCTCGGTGCTTTCCTGGTGTTGGGTGCTGGGTTCCACCCTTCACTTACCTTAGATCATTTGGTCTGGGTAGGGCCCCACCAATTGCACCCATTTCACAGATGAGAAAAGAGAGGCTCCCAGTAGCCCCTTTGCTTGCCTAAACCAGGAAGGGCAGAGGAGGGACGCCAGCCCAGGGCTGTCTGCCTCCTTTCAGGGCTGCAAATAATTTGCAACCTACCCTGAACATTTCTAATAGCCTGATATATTGTCTATTTACAAAGTATTTTCCCCCTTTAAACCAGAAACTTGGCAGGGCCCCGTGATTACGTAGTGGTTCCCCAGATGATTACGATGCGGTGTCTGGACTTCTTGGAAAGTTTTGGCATTAGTGGCTGCCTTTTGTTTTTTCTTTTCTTAAGGTTTGTGAAAGTAAACTGGCGCTTGCCCTGAGGGGCCTGGGCAAGTGGGGGCTGGAGCTGCTGAGGGAGGGTTAGGCAGGCTGCAGGCCCAGGAAGGGAGGGTGAACATAAACAGAGAAATGAGAGCGTAAACAGCAAATCAGCCTGGGACAGACACTCAAGGGATGGGTAGGAAGGGAATTCTGTCTGGGGTTGGTGGAAAATGAAGAAGGAAGTTGGAACCTGCTTTGAATCCTTTGAATCCTGCAGGCGGACTGACTTCAGGAGGGTGGGAAAGTCCAGAGTGTGTGGGGAAGTCTCCTGTTCCTGCTTGAGATGTCATTCCCAGGGTTGGAGAGTGCCCATGCCCAGCCCGGGAACTACAAGGACAAATGCCCTTCTCCTCTGACGAACTCGAACTAGGGGCAAGGTGCAGATGAACAATGGAATCAGTGCATTCAGTATGTTCTGCAGCAGATAACAGTCCCACAATTGTGTTCCCATTTCATTTTACACTGCTAGGCTTTACAGTACCAGTACTGGTCTCATTTTAGGGACAAGAAAGTTGAGTTCCAGGAGGCTGTCATTGGCTAAAATCTCCTAAAGTGTGAGTGGGAGGCTGAGATTCGAACCCCTTTTCAGCTTCCAAAATTGGAGAGTTTCAGCTCTCATCATTGCACAGAGCCACCTCTCTGGTAGAAGGCAGAGAATGGAGGAAAAGGCACCAAGGAGGGAGGGGACCACCCAGCTTGAGGTCAGGGAAGGCTTCCAGGAAGAGGTGATGCTGGAACCGAGCATTGGCAGGTGGAAGGGGCAAGTATTCTAGACAGACAAAATGGACTGGGCAAAGGTCTGGAGGCTTCATCCTACCCAGAGTGCATGGGGAGCTGACCAGAGTTTGGAGAGGGTGAGGCAATGGAGACTTTGGTGGTGGGGTGAGGAAAGTTGGAACCCCAAGCAGCCTGTCACCCAGCCCAGGGGACATGAGCTCCTGATTTTACCTTTGACATGTGTTTTGTAAGCGAAGTCTGATGGGACAATGGAGCATGCACATGGGCAGAGGAGCTCCATGCCATGTGTGTGCCCAGTGTTCCTGTGGCCCTTTTTGCACAAAGCATCTGTGAGGCCCCAGAGGTGCGGGGTGCATAGGAATTCAGCAGGACTCAAATCAAGTCCAAGGAAAGCAGGTTACATGTGTGGCTATGGAGGTCGTGGGGTGGGGTGCAGTAAGAAGAAGCTGCACTTTCTGTTCCAACCAGGACGTGCTTCAAGTGCAGAAAGAAGACAATGACATTCTAAGCAATGGGAATGACCCATTCTGTCCTTGCCTTTTCCTGCTACTTCCTTGGTATAAGACAACCACCTATGCTGACAATGATGACAGAGAAAGAAAAAGAAGGATAGGGAAATCACAGGCTTTTTTTCGACTCAGTACTTCCTTAGTCCTCCATAAGCTGAAGGTAGAAAGTGGTGGCAGAATGCGTTCATCTCAAGACGTAAACTAAAAACAGCTGAATTGGCTTTGTGCAGTGTTTCCAGTTTTGGAAACAAGGACATGCACAATACGCCACACGAATGTGTGATTTCTGCGATTTCACCTTCAAGTTAATTACTCTTATATGTGCATTAAAACTGGCATCACATGCTATGAAGTTGAACCATGAAATTCATGCTAATAATATGAAATTTTAATTTAAAAAACTTACAATGTCATTAAATAACAAATTAAAATACACCACAGCAAGTCCAGAGAGACTACAAAAGAATGGAAAACACTTTACATTTCTGTACATTTTTGTTGCTGTTGTTCTGTTTTTACAAAAAGGGGCCCTGAGCTCAGCTCCTGGGGGGGCTTGTTTGCTTTTAGGCCATGGCTTTGTCTGTTGGGAAAGGAATCTTCACAAGTCCTGACACCTCTCCAGGCCTCAGTCTCCCCACTGTTAAAATCAAAAGAGCAGGAAAATAGTATCAGAATTGTGGACAGAGACTAGACTTGGTCAGACAGAATGGGGGGTGGGACCCTGGCTCTACCAGCTCATAGCTGTGGGTTTGGACATATTGTTTAATCCCTCAGAACCTTGATTTCTTCATCTGAAAAGTAAGGCCACCCATGCTCACTTTGCAGTGTGGCTGTGCGCATTGACTGGGTGTGTGCTGACTGTGGGGGCTAATCTTGAGTGAGTTGCCTGACCTCAGCTTTAATGTCTTCATCCAGAAAATAAGGAAAATCATACTCCATAGAGTTGTCATCAGACATTTAGCGCCATAGATGGCAAAATACTAAATATTTAGTAAATGATTGGGTGCTATTATTTTAAATTAATTAAAATTATTTGAGACAGAGTCTCACTCCCTCACCCAGGCTGGAGTGCTGTGACGCCATGCAGCTCTCTGCAGCCTCGACTCCCTGGGCTCAAGCAATCTGCAGGCTTCAGCCTCCTGAGTAGCTGGGACTACAGGCCTGCGCCACCACACTGGCTTTTTTTTTTTTTTTTTTTTTTTTAAAGTAGAGAGAGGGTTTTGTCTTGTTGCCCAGGCTGGTCTCAAACTCCTGGGGTCAAGCAGTTTGTCCAGCTGGGCCTTCCAAAGTGATGGGATTACAGGTGTGAGCCACCACACTGGGCTTTAGATTAATTTTTAAGATACATAGTAGATGTACACCCATGGTGACCACCTTCAGTTTTATGTGCCAGATCCCTGCCCACACAATTTCTTGGTGCAGCGCCTATCTGCTTCTAGAATGTTCCCATCTTCCCATTATGTGGTTTCCAGAGGCAGCCATGTTCCCAGGTGATTCCTCCCATCTGGCCACTGTTGATTAGTCTGTGGGTGTCCCGTGACCAACTTGCAGAAACGTGAAAAATAAATGTCTGTTGTTTAAACCACCCAGCCTACGGTATTTTGTTACAGCAGCCCAAATTGAGACACCTACCCCTACTACCCACATATGTTCAACTGATTTTCAACAAATGTGTAAAGATAATTCAGTTTCATCAAATGGTGCTGGAAAAACTGGACCTCTAGATGCAAAAATATGAGCCTTAATCTATACCTTGTATCATATAGAAAATGCAAAATGGATTATAGACATAAATGTAAAACCGAAAATGCTAAAACATCTAGAAGAAAACATCATGGAAAATCTTTGTGGCTTTGCTTTATGCAAAGATTTCTTAGATACAACACCAAAAGCACAGTGCATAAAGAACAAATTGATGAATTGTACTTTATTAAAATTAACAACTCCTGTTCTTCAAAAGACACTGTTAAGAGATTGAAAAGGCAGAGATTAAGAGAAATTATTTGTAATCACATATTAGTAAAGGTTTTGTTTTCAGAATATGTTTAAAAACTCTTTAAAATGAGAAAATAAACATTGGGGAAAATATTTGAACAGACACTACACCAAGGAAAATATGTGTATTAAAAGATGCTCCCCGCTATTAATCATTAAAGAAATGCAAATTAAAACTACAATACGATACCACTGCATGCCAACTGGAATGGCTAAAATTAAAAAGACAGACCATCCCAAGTGTGGGTGAGGATGCAAAGCAACTGGTGGGTTCTCAAACACTGGTGGTAGGAATGTGAAAGGGTACAACAACTATGGAAAACAGTTGTTTAAAAAGTTAAACGTACACCTACCATATCACCCACTCATTCTATTCCTGTGTATCCCCAAGAGGAACAATGGCATCTGTGCACACAAACGCTTGTACAGGAATGTCCATAGCAGCTTTTTAAATAATAGTGAGAAACTAGAAACAACCTAAATATCCACCAATGGGAGAATGCATAAACAAATTGTGGTACGTCTATACAATGGAATACTTAACAACTAAAAAGAATGAATAACTGATGCATACAACAACATGCATAACACTCAAAAGCATTATTGCTAAGGTTTGAATATTTGTCCCCTCCAAAACTCATGTCGAAGCTTAATCCCCACTGCAGCAGCATTGAGAGGTAGGGTCTTTAGGAAGTGATTGGGTTCATTCATGGACCCAATGGGATTAGTCCATTTATGAATTAATGGATTAATGCATTAATGGATTAATGGGTTATCATGGGACTGGGACCAGTGGCTTCATAAGAAGAGGAAGAGAGACCTGGGCCAGCACACTCAGCCCCCTTGTCATGAAGTGCCCTGTACTGCCTTGGGACTCTGCAGAGAGTCCCTGCCAGCAAGAAGGCCCTCACCAGATGAGCTCCTGGACTTTGGACTTCTCAGCCACTATAACTGTAAGAAATAAATTCCTCTTCTTTATAAATTACCCAGTTTCAGGTATTCTGTTATAAGCAACAGAAAACAGACTAAGACACTTATGCTGAATGAAATAAACCAGACTAAAGAGTACATGTATGATTTCATTGATGCAAAATTCTGGAAAATGCATATTAATCTACAGTGACAAAAAGCAAATCAATATTTCCCTGAGTAGGGGGTAGGGAGGACAGGAAGAAAAGAGTACAGATAGGCATACGGAAAGTTCGGGATCATGGATTTGTTTACTCTCTTGATTGTGATAGTTCACAGGTATAGAAATATGTCAATTGTATACAATTGTACACTTAAAATATGTGCAGTTTATTATATGTCAATTATACCTCAGTAAAGATATAAAGACAAAATTGAAGCAATGCTAAGCACAGTAAATGTCAATGATTGCTAATATTTTTCCTGATAGCATAACTGAAGCCCAGAGAGAGATGTGACTTCATCTCACATTTATTCTATTCATTCACTCATTCATCCTTTTACGCACTTTTTTGCCCCTACAAATATTTCTTGTGCACCTACTATGTCCTCAGCCCTGGTTTAGGAGCCTGAGATGCAAAGACGAATGGAAAGGCATCCCTTTCCCCTCTGGACCTCTCAGTGGTCACAAGTTAATGATCCTAAATGAGAGACAGCCCTTCAGCATTTCTGGGCCTCAGTGGCCTTGCATGGGACACACACAGATTACATTAGTTGCTGAGAATCCTAGAGACCTATTTGTCCTCAGATCCAGATCTCACACTTCCCCTGATTTGCTCGGTATCTACAGAGGCTGACTCCCGCAGGCTGCAACTCCCAGGCTCCATGTCAGCTTAATGGAAGGTTCAACTAATGGAAGGTTCTGGAAGGACACTCAAGGGAAGATTCAGGGAGGAGGAGTGGTGCAGGATCTCTCCCCTTCTTCTTTGCCTCACTGCGTCTCCAGAAGCAACCACACCTCCTGCATGGCTCAGCTGCCATCCTGGGATACAGCACAGCCCACTAGTCCTGGCTCCACTAGCACCATCTCCCTTTGCCTCTGCAACGTAGGGGTGCCAGTGTCTCCTGCTGTCACAATCTCTGTACATCTGCACACATTTCCTACCTTGTCAAGTCTGAAAGTGGCTTCTACTTTCCTGGTTAAACTCTGACTGGCGAAAATCTCTTCTAAGGTTTCTTCTGGATTAAAAAAAAATTCAAGAACTTCATACTAGAATTTCAAGCAGGGTGTCAGGCAGGGAGGGAGATATTTGGGGGTTGGGAGGGCCTCCTAGAGGCCTCTGCAGGCTCATCACACAGACAGCTGCATTACTTCATGGCAGGACCCCTGAGAAATCATGCCTGGGGCCTGAATCCAGCCCCAAATCTGTAGTTCAGGGAAGCATTCGGCAGGAAGCTTAGATGTGTTTCCATCCAGAGTTCAACACAGATCAAAGTGGTGTGGCAACGCCATGCCCTGTCACTTCAATTAAAGTGATCCCAAGGTGCGTTGGCGGGACATATTGGGTCCAACCAGACTCTGCCATCCAGTATCAGCTGGGAATTTCAAGTGGAACAGCTGCTGTGTCACTGTACATGTGTGTCTCTCTACACTCACGTGTGCGTCCTCAAGTCTAGAAATCCTATTGATCCTGTGTAACTCTTGAGAAACGGAGATGCCCAGGACTGAATGTATGCAAAATGTTTTGCTTCTTTTCTTTCAAAGAAAGCTGTTACTAAATCCATGATGCTTCTGATAATTGATGGTGCCTTAGAATTGAGGAAATAGAGGCTCCCCTCCCCAAGAATACCACTTTGGTTAATGTGCTCCCAGGAGGAATCTCCTTGGTTTTTAATATCCAAATTTTATAGACTATCTATATCTCATAGTACTTCATTTTGAGGGATGAGTGTTTACATTTAAAAGTTATATTTATGTCTAAATAACTCAACATAACATTTTCCCTAAATAAAATGATGAGTAAGAAAAGTCTCCAATTACATCCCAAATAAAATCCGCAGACTCTCAGAATCATATATACACATGTCAACCAAAGGAGTGTGTGTTTCAGCTGATGTTGGCACTGAAGGAGGCCTTCCATATTCTGCCCGGTGTGAGCCATCTGTGCTGTCGTGTGCTTGTCCACAGTGATGTCAAAGTGCGCCCTTGCTTTTGCCTGGTGTTGAACAATATGTCCCCTCAAGAGTTGAGTATTATGGCGAGGAAACTGGTTATGGTGGAAAGAAAGATGCTATCCAACAAGAAGTACATCAGCCAGCTATTAAGTAACAAATCACCCCCAAAGCTCAGTGACTTAAAACACCAATCATGCATCTTCAGGGTGGAGGTTGGCTGAGCTAGGTTGGGTGCAGCTGGATATTCTAGGATAGAATTGGCATTTACTGGGAGGGGAAGACACTAGAAATGACAGGTTTGTGGGTACAGGGAGCTTCAGTGGTTGGGTCAAGGGCATGTTCAGTTTGAGAGAGTGAGTAGACTTCCAGATAAAGGTGTTAAGCAGGAAGTTGGAGAATTGAGCCTGGGCCTCAGGGGAGAGAACAGGCCTTGAGATTCCAGTTTGGGGAGCATCTGTTGATATTTAAAGCCATCAGATAGGGTCAAGTTAGCAAGGGCATGAATATGGACAAGAAGAGAAGATACCCAAGCGTATCCAGGACAAGGAGGATCTGGTGCAGTGTGGATTTGGGAATTCACAGAGCATCACTCCACTCCTAAGAGACTGAGGGCAATGATAAGCAGAAATCACTGCTGCCTCGACTGGCCTCCGAGTGGTGGCCCAAGGGCTATAAAGTAGCCCAGCCCAGACATGTGTTTTCTCAAACTTCATAGTGTTTTTTCAAAGAATTTGAATTAGCAACTGGCATTCAAAAATGGAACAATTTCCCCAAAAGTTCTAGATGTTCAACTTCTATTGACAGATTAGAAGCTCTGGGCATCATGGGCCTGTATTCCTACCTGGCAACACTCAGCCAGAGCTGAGAAGTAGTTGCCATGGAGGCAGGCCAGAGCGGAGACATGGTTGCCATGGAGACAGGCCTGGGCACCTCAGTTTCCCCATCCCCACCACTCCCTATTGCCTTACACCCACTGCACTTGGCTCATTTGTGTTTCCTGCCTAACCCCTGTGGGCCCTTAAGTGTGTAAGTCCCTGGCTTAGTCTATGGAAGTTCTCTGTATATCTGCACATCATGTCCCCAGGATTCCTGACCTCAGAGAAGATTTGGGGCTTCTTGAATCTGTGCCCCCCATAGCCATGGAGCCCATGGGGTGGCCAAAGCCTCCTGGATACCTCACAACATATCTTTGGAGCATTGGAGCATGAGTTTGCCATTGAGGACCTAAACTGCAAGGCTGTGTAAAACATTTTATGTGAGAAGTGAGGAGCTTTCCTTCTCGGCTGTAGTTGGGCTATGTCAGAGCCAAGTCCAGAGTTCATGTCATGGACTAAACTCACCCAGAGGCCTTTAGGAAATGAAGGAGCAAAGTGAGAAGGAAGGAGCTGGGCACTTCTTTGCATCGTCCAGGCCCCTTGCATGCCCTGCCAGCCTTCCCCTGGGACACTTACCTTTTGTGGTACATCAGGGTCTTGAATGACTACAGCGTGAAAATGGCAAAGCAGACATTTTTCCCAAGCTCCGTCCTCAAGGCACAGAGGAATTTTAAATGGCTCTGGGTTGGGGTACTTGGCATAATTTGCAGCACTAAATCCAAAACAGATTTGAGCAGCCACAGCCACAGAGCCACAGTGCTGGGTCCCAGGTCTGGAATGTCATTGGAACAGGAGTTGCCCAGCTTGTGCTGGAAGAATGAGGAGCACTGGTGGGAGAATGGAGTGGAGGCTACACAGCGTTCTGGGCACCAGATGCAAGGTGGCCGAGTCGCAGCGCTGCAGTCATGGGCAAATCACTTGGCTTTTCTGGACCTCACTTTTCTCATCTCTGAAATGGGAGAGGGGTTTCAGTTGATGATGCCAACGAATTACAATGGCTCAAGGAAGTGGTGTTGAGAGGATTCCCACCTTGGCCCTCAGCAGCCCTATGGGACACTGGGGAGTAGTGTTTAAGGCACTTGGCACCAGACTGGATGAGACTGAGTCCTGCCTCTACCACTTATGGGCTGTGTGGCTTTGGGAAAGTAACTTTACCTCTCTGTGCCTCAATTTCTTCCTCTGCAGAATGGGGATGATCGTAACCCCCACCGTATAGGTTAGCAGTGAAGATCGGTAATAACGCTAAGATCATGGATGCTTGCCATGGTCCAGGCTCTGTTGTAAGTGCTCTGCAGTTTGTGGAGTTAAAACTTGTTGTGAGCTCAGCACAGCCATGACATGCCACCTCTGTTGGATGCAAGCTGGCCATTGTACTGGGTTGAACAGTGTCCCCCCAGAATTCATGTTCACCTGGAGCCTCAGAATGGGATCTTATTTGGAAGTAGGGTCTTTGCAGATTTAATTAGTTAAGACAAAGTCATACTGGATTAGAGTAGACCCTAAATCCAATGACTACTCTGCCTAGAAGAATCTGTAGGAAGACAGAGGCAGAGATTGGTGGGATGCTGCCACAAGCTAAGGAATGCTAGGAAACCCCAGGAGCTGGAAGTGGCAAGTAAGGATCCTCCCCTGGAACCTTCAGAGAGAGCATGGCCCTGCTGACACCTTGAGGCCAGTTGCTGGCCTCTACAATTGCCAGAGAATAAGTTTTGATTGTTTAAAGCCACCTGGTTAGTGGTGTTTTGTTACCACAGCCCTAGGAGCCGTGTTTATCACTTTATGAATAAAGACAGGGATAATCAGAGATGGGGTGGAGGTGGGCTGAGGTGAACGCGAATGCAGAACTTAGCAATTTGCCAGGTATTTGGGAGCTTAAAAAAAAAAAGTAGAAGGGAAAGAGGAAGGAAAGTGCTACTTTTTGAGTATCTCTGAAGGATTAGGCAAGATGTGATTTTATTCCTATTATTCATAAGAAAATCAGGGCTCAGGTAGATGGAGCAACTCACTCCTGGTCACACATCTAAGGGAAGGAGGCTGAGTTTCAAACCTTGCCTTGGTGACTCCATTGCCCTTGTACTGTCTACTGCCCCTCACTCCCTTCTGCTCTGCTAGAATGCAGGCTTCACTGGGACCAAGCCAGGTTTGAATTCCCTGTGACTGGCACAGAGTGAGCCAGCTGTAAATATTGGCTGATGAATGAATGAATGTCCAGAGTTCCCTAATAGTACTGGAATTCTAGGTCTCTAATTTTTCCTGTTTCTTAGTTCCGATTTTTATTCCAACTTCAGTCTTATGATTATGACTCCTGGGAAACAGGAAGGGGATTTTCTTCCCAAATATAACTGTGCCCCCAAAGTTGTGGTCACGCTGGCTGCGGCCCCTCAGATCTCCCTGTGTAGAGAACCAGCCATGAGGAGTGAAATTGGGTGCAGCCCCTGACTGCTGCACCTTTGGGATCTGCTGCAGTGTCCACACTCCCCCAGGTGGCTCCTGGACAGTGACCTCTCAGAATGGGGCTAGGAGAGCTGGTCATTTCTACCCAATGCCTGCCTCCCTGCTCTTGCTTTCAACTTTTCTTTTTTCTGTTTAGATGTAGAACCCTTTAAAAAATTTCAAATAGATTCTTATATAGGGTTCTGGTAAAATAAAAACTATATGAATGGCATTTTATTAGTCTACAATAACATTTACTTGTAAAACTGTACAATGAGGAAAATGGAGTGGTTACAAACACAAACGTTTAAAATAAGGAGTTATGTCTGAGACGGTCTCTCTTAGCCTCCAAAGCTAATTTATTTCTGATTTCTGAAGTTTGTTTGGATTCACTGTATTGCAAGTACAAATGCTCATTCACAAAAATAAATATATGCAAATGGTGACATCCTTCAAACATCTTGTCTCACTGTCTCAGGTAATGCATTAATTAAATACAGATGAAAGGAGGGGGTTTTTGAGGTGTTTCTTTTTCTTAAGTCTGAATGAAACCTAGTTAACCTGGCAGTCCAAGTTATAACAGATTTGTGGTGGCCCCCAGTGTGTTAAAATCTGTCTCCATCCATTGGATTGTATGTTATTTTTTATTCCATTTTTAGAAGGGTTGACAATTCTATTAAAACATTGAAATATGAAACAAACATCTGAGAAATTCTTAAAGAGCAATTTAAAATCACTGGCTGAGATTTTATGAGGATCCTTCCCAGCTCAGACATGCTGTGGTAAGGGGGCTCTGTTATTTATTACCACAATAAAGCTGCATAATAACACAACCCTCAGTGGCTTAAAAGAAGAAAGCATTTCTTTCTCTCATGAGTGGCTGTTGTTTTAGGCTGGGCTCAGCTGGGCGGTTCTTCTGGTCTTGGCTGGAGTCACTTTCATTTTTGGTGACTGGTGGTAGGCTGGCTAACCTAGAAGAGTCCTTGCTGGGGCAGCTGGGGAGATGGGCTGCTCCACATGTCTCCCCATCCAGCAGGCCAGTCCAGGTATGCTTTTGCAGCCAAGGCTGAGAACAAGAGCAGATGGGAAACACATCAGCACTCTTTCAAGTTTGTGCTTGTGTCACATTCACTCCCATCTCTTTGGCCAAAGCAAGGCACTAAGATGAACTCAGACCTAGGGGTAGGGAGACAGGCTCAGTTTCTTCAGTGAGAGGAACTTCAAAGTCATGTGGCAAAGGATGTGGGAAGAGGTAGATCATCAGGGTCATCAATGCAGCCGTATACCATACTACCTTCCCCAAGTTCTTGCCTTGACTCACTGGAATAAGGAAGTTCAACCAATCCCTGTTGGGTATATTAGGTATATTAGTTTGGGGATAGTGGGTATAATAGTTTGCAGGGGTTTACAAAACAAAATATCACCAACTGGGTGGCTTAAACAACAGAAATTAATTTTCTCATAATTCTGGAGGCTAGAAATCCAAGATCAAGGTGTCAGCAGCTTAGGTTTCTTCTGTGGCCTCCCTAGGTGGCTTGTAGACAGTGTCTTTTCCCTGTGTCTTCACATGGTAATCCCTCTATGTGTGTTTGTGTATCAGTCTTCTCTTCTTATAAGGACTTCAGTCATATTGGATTAGGGCCCACCTAATGACCTTATTTTCGCTGAATCACCTCTTCAAAGGCTCTATCTCCAAATATGGCAATATTCTGAGGTACTGGGGGTTAGGACTTCGAAATATGAATTTTGGATTGGACACAAGTCAGCCCATAACAGTTAGAAGAGACTTTTTCTCTTCTCACCACCCCTTATAGGCAAGATTGGACTAGGGGCTGGGGTTTTTACACCATGCAAAAAGCAGGCTCTGCTGCCTCTCTCTGTGTCTTCTGTTCTCTGAGAATGCCTGTCCTTGGCCAGAGTGAATTCATTCTGCATTCTTGGCTCCAGAAAGGGGGCCTCCCATAGAACCTTCCCAGCCTGTAGAAGAGGAAGTTTTCTCCAGCTTCATAGCCCATACTTGCTGGATAAGACCCAAGCGCAAGAGGAGTGAGCTCCATTAGACCCTTGAGGCAAAGCTATTGTTCTCCAACCCAGCTTACCAGGGGTAACGCACTTTGGGTCACAAAGTTCATGCCACAAGCAGGAATTAGCCCAGTTCTTTGTGTATCTTCTACCTGGGAAGTGGGAAGCGTAGCTGATAGCCTACTCTAATCTGTAACATCTCCAAGACCGTCACAATGAAGCCCCTGGGCACGTCCCAGGCGCCACCAAGTCAATGAGGCTAACATGCACTTTTCTGAGCCCTGGTTCCTCTCTCCTGTGAAGACAGCTATGTGATTAGGAGCCCTGGCTGAGCACCACACCATGATCCCTCCAGTTCTTGCCACTGCCAGAGCCAGGGAAGTGCAATGTTGGCAGAAACCATGGGAAATACTGGGATGGAGCCATTTTTGGTAGTAGATGTGATCTTTTTCTCTTAATACAGCTGTAACATAATGGAATGGCAGGAGGAAAACTAGATCGTGGCTGGAATTCTTCCAGAGCTCTTAAGGCTAAGGTGAAAAGTGGAGAAATCCATGAGATGACCACAAGGGCTCTGGATGGCCATGGCCATCCAATGTGGCTCTTTGCACTCTCTGTCTCCCTGAATGCCTGGCTTAATATTGACTGTGTAAAAACCTAATATGTCACTTTAGCAAATTTGTTGGAGCAATTTTTATGAATGGGATGGATGGGAGGTGGGAAGCAGAATGTTGGAACAGGAAGGTTTAATTGACTTATTTACATTCTATTATTTCTAAACTTCTACCTCACATCAAAAAGGATTTGAGGCCAGGCATGATGGCTCATGCCTCTAATCCCAGCACTTTGGGAGGCTGAGGCAGCAGGATTGCCTGAGGTTAAGGGTTCAAGACCAGCCTGGCAACATAGTAAGACCCCATCTCTAAAAAATTAAAAACATAAGATTAGCCAGGCATGGTGGCATCCACCTGTAGTCCCAGCTACTTGGGAGGCTGAGGCAGGAGGATTGCTTGAGCCTAGGAACTCAAGGCTTCAGTAAACTGTGATTGCACCATCTCATTCCAGCCTGGGTGATGGAGCAAGACCTCAACTCTTAAAAATAAATTTGAAACATCATGTTAATGTGTATTTAATACCATAAGAATGGAAACAAAATCAAGGGCATTTAGTACAATAGGAAAACAGAAGTAAGAAAATAAGAGTGAGCCAAAGCTAAGTTCGGTCTTCGGAGGGAAGCATACCATAGGTAGTGTGTATTTGCCACAGCCATGCTGAAAGGTTGGTCTCTGTGGTTCCTTGTGGCCAAAGCAGAAGGTAAAAATGATCAGATACAAGATTCACAGAGACTCTAAGACAAAAACATTTGCTCAAACGTTTGAAAACATTTGCTCAAAGGAAGCTCAACTGCTCCTGGTACAGAGACCTATGAAGAAATTTTTCCTGTAAGTCCTCAGAAAGCAAGCCTCTCCAGCTGAGCTCCACAGGGCTGGGAATTCAGGCCTGTCCTGCACATTGCATGAAGCCAACTGAAGCAAGAGGAACGCATGGAGCAGAGAAGCAGAGAGAGGCAAAGGAAGAGGCTGTCTCTGCATCATCAATCACACAGATGCAGAGTCTACCCTGTCATGGGGGTCACTGTGGCTTAAGCATGGCTTCCAGACCATTTTTTTTCAAGGTTGGGCAAATGTTTGAGTCAAAGGCGGAGGTGGGCGGCCAAGCCTACCTTGGCCCCGCTGGGGAGGAAGGGGCAGACCGGGGGGGTCTCTGGGTCTCTGGAGCCTTCTAGGTTGGAAATTCCCATGAACCCCCTGACACCAGGCAGGCAGAAGCAGTGAGGTCTGGGAGTTTGGGGTTTTGTTTCTTGGGGGAAGAGGTGAGTTCGTTCTAAGTTTGGGGTGAAATGTTTGCTGAATATTCAGAGTCCAAAAAGGCAGGCTGTGGAGTCACTTCCTCTCCTTGGTGAGCACAGTACAGGAGTCTCTCCCTGCTTATCTCGGGGGGATATATCAGATGACCCCAGTGGACGCCTGAAACTGCAGGTAGTACAGAACCCTACGTATACTATACACAAATTTCTTTTTTTTCTTCCTAATTTCACAGATAGAAGATTCATTCTTTAAAATATCTTGGCAACCTCAGCACATATTTTTTTCTCTTTCCTTATAAAGTCCGGAACTTCACCTTTTTGCTTGGAGGAAACACTTTATGTGCACTTTTGCACATCTAAATGGCCAGCATCACCACTCCGTGCTTTGGAGCCATTGTGAATAAAGCGGCTGTAGATCTGATAACTGAGGCAGCTACTAAGTGACTAACAGCATAGTGTAGACAGCATGGATACCTGAAGGCTGCAAATTTCATCAAACGAGCAATTTAAAACTTATGAATTGAATTATTTGTTTCTGGAATTTTTCGTTTAATATTTTCAAACCCCTTGTTGACCATGGGTAACTGAAACCACAGAAAGGGAAAGGCAGTTAAGAGAGGACTAATGTACTCGAAGCCCACACTTTCCAGTCCTCCCCTCCCCTGCGGCTGACCCCCGTGCTCCCCCACCTTGTCCCGTGGAGTCACATTACTGGTTCTGGCCAATGGATTAGGAGTGGAAGGAAGCCACGCCCCTTCCCAAGCCACACCCCTCCTGGTCAGGTGTGACCCACCTACTGTGCTCTTTTTTGGACCAGGTGGCCCAGTAACCTGAATGCCTGGAGGTGACCAGACACACACCGGCTATCTAACTCTCCACATCACCTTTTGAAAGGGCTGCTTGGAGAGCCACCAGGCCAACCGACTTTGTGTCTTTAAGATTGAACACTTAGTTTATTACTGCCACAGATACAGTGGGGGCCAAGGCAGACAGGATAGTAAATCTTAGCACACTCCATTGCTGTGGGGACTAAATGAGAGGGCTCCAGCATGCTCTGGAGCCTGTCGGCTTGGGTTTGAATCTCAGCTTTGCCCCCTACTAGCGCTGTTACTTTGGGCAAGGAATAGCACCTCAGTTGCTCCACCCATAAATGGGGATAATCATAGCCCCTGCCAAGAGGGCTGCTGAGAGCTCTCATAAGACAGGAGACGTAGGCACCCAGCGCCTGCCGAGAACTTAAGGTGCTGAGCACAGTGTGGCACAGCTGCTAGCTCCCTGCCCCCAGTCCAACATCCCCACTTCTCCAGCCTTCCCCACCTTGTTATGTCATCCTGCATGGAGTGGAAGAGCCAAAGATGAACAATAAACAAAGCTAGCCCAAGGGGGTGTTCAGTCCTAAGTGCCCCAAGAGGCTGCACTCATGTGCTGTGTAACCTTGAGTAAGTCACACAACATCTCCGTGTGTCAGTTTTCTCAGCTGTGGAATGAAGGCTGTGCAGGAGTGTGTGTTGTGAATTTGGCTCCCTTCTGCGGGATGGGAACTGCATTTCCCAGAACTCCCTCCCCTATATTGTCCTGTAGAGTTGCCCAGGAAGGAAGCTCCGAGCGGGATGTGGGAGATGGAAGGGAAGCTGAGGCCATTGATCCCGGATGATCACGTTGGCCACACTTGGTGGCAGACTCAGAGGTGTGTGGTGGGCTTCCGCGTGTCCTTACTGTCCTGCTCTCTGCATCTAGCTCATCTTCCCAAGTGACAGCCCTGCTGGCAAACATCAGCCCAAGCCTGCCACTAGGAGCTTGGTTGCGGGCAGCTTGGAAGGGGGCAGCTCCCAGAGGAGCCAGGTTCTCCAGGCCTCAGCCCCTCAGGTGCCCTTCTCCAGACGCATGCCGCTTCTTGGATTTTCCTGCAAACCTTCGCCTGTCTGGCCCTGCTGGTGCCGGACCTGTGTGGCAAGGCGCTGAGTGATGTCTCTCTCAGGTCCTCAGGGTGCTCCTCCAGACCTCCCCTTCCAGGTGGCCCTCATCTGCGTGCAGGCTAATTCCTGTAAGAAATTCCCTCTTCCCTTAGGACTCCTGCAGCTCTGCTGAACCCTGAGTGCAAGGGTGACCCCCGGCCCCAGGGCGTCATGGAGACAGCCAGGGGAGGGTTGACTCCCTCCTTACCAACCTTGCCGCTGTTCCTGCTACAGGGCCGGGGGTGGGGGTGCCCCTTTGGCATGGTGGCATGCCTTTCTCTTGTCACCACAAATTCTTTACGAAGATAAATATTGAATGGCTGCTTAGCGGTCCATTGACTAGATGACCCTTAGTTTATTTAACTAGTCCCCCATGGTTGGACGTTTCTGTTATTTCCAATTCTCTAATATAATTAACGCCATGGTGGAAGCTTTTGTTCCTGATCTTTATTCAAACATCGGGTTCTTTCCATATGATAGGTTTCTAGAAGTGGAATTCCCAAGTCAAAATTGTTTGAGACTCGTTGTATGGACAGTCGAATTGCCCCTAGAAACGTGCCTTTATTACAGGGCTGCAGACATGGAGCCCAGGGAGGGGCGAGCTGCCTGGACTCACAAAACAAGTCTGGGCAGTGTAGACAGGAAGGCAGCCGGCGCCTGCCAGCAAGAGAACCCAGGAGTTTGCTGGGGGACTTGGGTGATGACAGAGCCTGGGGTGGGGTGGGATGCAGCCAGGGGAGATTGCCGGAGCTGACAGGGCCTTATGCTGTGGGGACTAAAGACTCTCGGGCGTCGTCTGAGCCAGTCATTTTCAACATTCGCTTTGGCTCCAGAACCAGGTGTGTCTGTGGGTGTGTGCAGATCAGTTCATTTCCTCGAAAGATGGGTAGACAAGCAGACTTGTGCAAAGACTCATCTCAGTGTTCATCACAGTGTCATCCATACCAGAGAAGGCTGGGAAATCACCACTACCATAGCTCTGGTGACTGGGGTGGGACCTGAAGCCCCTCCCACTCCCCTGCCACGGCCACGAGGTCCCTGCGGCCCCACCTGGAATGGTCATGGTGCACCCTTGCCTCTGCTTCCCTGAGCTGGCTCAGAACCCATTCCTGGCTGGGCCCTCCCCACTGCAAGGCTTGAAAGGCCTGGAGAGAGGGGACAGACACCCACAGACATCCCGACCAGCTCAGCACATCCTGATTCAGGGTGACTTCCCCCTCTCCATTAAAACAGCCCTGGCCCAAAGACAAACAAGCATCCTGAATTTATGGTCCTGTTAGCACGACAGCAGCGCAGCCAGGCGTTCCTTCTTGGCCACGCTCTGCAGAGGGCTCCCTGTAGGTCTCCCCTCCTATTGGAGAAATGTCCCAGCCAGGCCTGCTCCCCCTGCCCCCAGTTAACTCTGGGGGTCTCAGGCCACTCCTAAGGGCTTGTTCTGTGTGCACCAACTGAACAGCAGCCTCTCATTCAGTATGCGGGTTAGGGAGAGGAGAAAAACAACCAAAGTCGCTTGGGCGGAAAAAACCAGGACACGATTGATTCCCAAAGGCCATATTTTTTTTTGCACTGTTTCCTTCAAGTCTGTGGCCCAGGCAGGCAAGGAGTAATATATTAGCTCCGTTGGTTTAACTGGACAGCAGCATGAGCTTGTAATAAGGATGTGGTAATACACCACGAGAATCTGTAGGCTCATAAAACTTGACCTTATAAATCTCCAAGTGTATCAATTCCATACAGCAGCCACTCCCTGCAGTGGAAGCCACAGACTTATAAAGTGGCCGTTGATAACAGAACAGTTTACCCCCAACCCACCTCCCTTCTTTAAAACTCCCCAAGACAGACTAATCAGGGCACATTCATAATTCCTCCTGAAACAGGAATGCCACATCAAAACACACAAGACCCAAACTGGTCTCTAGGATCAGGGAGTAGGAGCCCAAGAGGTTAAGCAAGCTCATTAACAATTGGGATAAAATGTTCCCTAGACAACTTCCTCTCTCTTCCCCCTGCCTGTCTTCAGCCTCTTTGGGTGTGAGGGCAGTGGTGCTACTGCTATATGCTCCCTAGATCAGGATTTGTGAAACGTTTTCTGTAAAGGGACAGACACTAGATATTTTAGGCTTCTTGGGCCATTTGGCTTCTGGTGTCTGTCATAACTACCAACTCTGCTGTTGTCGGGTGAGAACAGCCATAGACAATGTGTAAACTAGTGGGTGTGGTTCTGTGCCAATAAAACTTTATTTACAAAAATAAGCAGGCAGGATTTGGCCCTCGGGTTGGCGTTTGCTAACCTCTGCTCTAAATGGTGCATCCTCATCCTTAACATCCTCGTCACTGGCAACTCGCCCTCCGAGTGATAAGGGGGCTAGCCTGCAGAATTCAAGTCAGCACCTGGGATTCCCAGCAAGGGCTCCTGACACCCAGAGGTGTGTCAGACTGTTTTCCACACCTCATCTCATTTGAACTGGGAGAGGGAGGTGTCATTGCCTCTTCCTGTTCCACAGATAAGAAAACTGAGATCCAGAGAGGTTAAGTGGTTTTCCCAAAGTCATAGAACTAGCATGGGACATGACACGATTCGAGCCGGCAGCTCCGGTCTCACATGCTCAGGAGAAGGGCAGGGAGGTAGCAGTGACCATATGTGAGGCACTACGGTGACATCACTTCATTTGCCCCAGAATAAGGTGCTTGGCATATTGTGTCTGGTTTTCTCAAATCCTTGCAAGCTCTCGGGTCTCCCGTCATCAGCCTTCCTCCTGGCTATCACCACATCCCCCACACTTATGTTTTATGTGTCTGTCATAACTGCTCTTTTAGAGTTGACGGGTCCTCGCTCCTAGCTGTGTAGACTTGAGCAGTTACTAAACCTCTCAGACCCTCATCTGCAAAAGGACATAGAAGAGCCGTACTGCAAGATCGTCACAAGGATTAAACAAAACACGCGGGAAAGTTCCTGGGAAACTAAAATGCTGAGTAAATGTTAGTTTATCTAATTTTCTTAAAGAGTCTGGCCAGATGACTTGACAGACCTCTTTTCTGAATTAAAAGGCTCTATGTTGGCATCTCCTTTCTGCAGTCCCCCATCTTGGCATGATGACTCTGCAGGTGGAGCTGAATGTGAATCTGATTATAGTCCCCAGCTCTAAGCTGAAAGTGGATGTGAGCTTTGCTCGCCCCGCCGGCCCCAAAGGGAAGGACTCTGAACCCATTTCGAACAGACAGGCCGGTGCAGGGGGCAGCTCCCTGCCGGCCCTTTAGAGGAGGCTCCCAGCAGCATGGGGTTCTATTTAGGGAAGCTGTTTCCCTGTCTGGGCAGATGGCCTGCAGGAACGGGGGCTTGGCTGATCTGGTTTCAACTAATTCTATTAAATGAAAAGTTCTGTAGAGCAGATTCCTTCGCAAGCCTCTGTCCACATGGTGATTTAATCGAGTAAAATTAAAACATTGCTGCTTTCTGTCCAAATTGCTGCTTTCTGCGGTGGCCTTGTAGAGGACTTGGCGGGGGAGGAGGGGAAGTCTGGATCTGGGGTGGGGGTTGGCCGGAGGTGGGGGTGCTGGATGCTCCTGGAGACAGAGGCAGGGCTGAGACGGTGGAAAGCAGGTGGCAAGGAGAGGACCCTGGCGAATTTAGGGTTAGGATGGCAGAGCTCACAGGATGCTTCAGACCATCCAGTTCACCCCTGGTGGTGCAGATGGGGAAACTGAGGTGCAGATGGGGAAACTGAGGCCCAGAGGGGAAGTGATGTCATCAAGATCACCCAGGGACCTGAGAATGTGCAGCGATTTGAGCAAATCAGACACAAGGAGCATTTCTGCTCCTGGAGCCGTTGCTGTCTTGGGAGCCTGAGGAGGCCCATGTGGCATCATCACTCCCTGGGGAAACGGGATTTGTTTCATCCTTATTATTCTTCAAGGAGCTTGGATTCTTCCCCTGCTAACTCCTGTTCAGCAGCTCTGCCTGGGGCTGTTTAGGGGATTTGTGTCCCCACTAAGTCCACCAGAGGCACTGTGCATTGTTGAGTTGTGGCTTTTAAATTTCTCCATCAAGAACTAGAACTCTCTTGCACTGAAACCTCACAATTTACCAGGCCAAAAAGAGCAGAGTTGAGTTGGTGGGCCCTAAGCTCTGCCCTCCTTGACCTCCCTTTTTGCCTTCCCCTAGAGGTGACCCTTAAGGGATGGCCCCAGGCTCCTCCGGCTCTTTGGGGCACTGCGGGAAACTCACTGAATTTGGAAAAATTCGGACTTGGGATTTGCTCACTCCTTGCTATCATATCAGGGGAGCCACGTAAAGATATGTTGCCTTAAATTCTCTCATTCCACAGTATTCCTATGAAATCAGGATGCCTTTGATGGACATGCCTTAAATTCTCTCATTCCACAGTATTCCTATGAAATCAGGATGCCTTTGATGGACATGCCTTAAATTCTCTCATTCCACAGTATTCCTATGAAATCAGGATGCCTTTGATGGACATGCCTTAAATTCTCTCATTCCACAGTATTCCTATGAAATCAGGATGCCTTTGATGGACTTGCCTTAAATTCTCTCATTCCACAGTATTCCTATGAAATCAGGATGTCTTTGATGGACTTGCCTTAAATTCTCTCATTCCACAGTATTCCTATGAAATCAGGATGTCATTGATGGACATGCACTTCACAGTTTGCACTTCACTTTTACCCATCATCTAATTTCCTGCCTCCCACATTCCTGTGAGATACTCAGGCCAGCTTTAGGGTTGTTCTCATTTCGTGGATGAGGAAGCTGAGGCTCAGAAGGGTGACCTGAGGGCCCGCAAGCTCAGATTCCCACCTGGTTGTGCTATCATCTGTGCAGCTATCCATAGCTGGGGACAGAGTGGCTTGTGATGGCCCCCAGCAAGGGATGAATAAGGGGGTGTGGGGTCAGTAGAAGGTCAGTCCTAGACAAAGCTGCAAAGAGAGAAGATTCGGGTTTCTGTGTCGCTCCCCTATTCACTGCCATGCCCCTCATCTAAGCCCCATTTTTACCACGTTGTCCTCAGGGTTAGTTGATCTCTAGGCTGCTGGTAGTTAGGAAGGGCTTAGCAAGACTCCAGGTGGGACTCACTGCCAGCAGAAGGGCAGCGACTCCCACCTGCCGTGGGGAAGCAGCTTTGTCCGTGAGGGCAGAGGCCAGCCTGGGGTCACCTCCTGGCCCCTTTCATTCTGCTGGTTGCTGTGAGAATGTGGAAGAGAGCAGGCAGCCCCAACCCTCTGCAGGTGCCTGCACTTCCGAGAGCCATTCTGTAATCGCCGTCTGTGCCTCCTTCTGCCAGGGCTTTCATGAGAACCTGCTGAGTCAAATGATCCAGTGGATCCACTTCCACCATCAGTGTTTTGACCTTACTCATTGTCATCAGAGGGTGGCCTGGATGGATGTCAATCTTCTCATCCCACCCCAGATTTCACTCTAGCATCCAGCAACCTTCTATTCTTTATAGGAGTCAGGGTCTCTTTCTATTGCTATGTTTAACAGGAGCCAGGGCTGTGGTGCACATGGAGAGGGGATCTCAGCATGGGCCGAGGTGGCGTCCACAGCTCATGGGCAAAGATTTCTGGGCACACCTGGCTGCTTGCAGAGGAATATACCCAGGTTGAATCTGGGCAGCTGAGGGTCTGCTGAGGAGGAACACAATCTTAGCAAACAGGGGCTGGGATGCACTATTTGCTTCTGCATGTATGGCCATTGGAGAGAACCACCTAGTGACGAAGCCCAGTCATTAGAGGACAGTAACCCAGGGTTCAGGTAACAACTCAGTCAAATCCATCCCCTGGACAGACCCACATGTGGCTCTAGAAGGAAGACAGCCTCTAGAAAGAAAAATGGCAGCACTTCCCCCTGTGCTCTCAGGTCCCCCTGGGACCTGAGCAGCGCAGGCAGGGACCGTATAACAGTGTAACCGAAGGAGGGGCAAGGACGCTATTCCCCAGCTCTTACAATGGGGCATAGTCTGCCTTGGCACGCTGAGAACTTGGTGAATGAGCTGGAGCCACCATGGACACAGAGATGCCAAGCAAACGTAGGGAAGTGAATTTCAGCAGCACCTGGAAGGAAAGAACTTAACCTGAGATCTCTCCTGCAGGCTCTTGACAGCGCTGGAGTCTCCCTTTGGAGGCCGAGGGTGGGGTTGGGAATCTCAGGGGATGTCTTGAACTGGGCAGGGGTGAGGAGCTAGTGACATGCTAGGGTTGGTAAGGGTGCGAGTCCCTCACCCCTTAGGATCAAGACTTGGGGAAATCATGTCTCTAGATCATTGAGACTTGGGGGAAATCAGGTTTGCATTGGGGCATGATTGTTAATCCATGCGGCAACCCTATAAAATCACAGATGAGGATCCTGAGCTTCTCCATTTGGGGCAGAACTCACTGGGACATCTTGATACCTCGAAATGTTAGCACGACGTGCACCATGCGGGCACTGAGAAGCAGCGCAAGGCAGCAGTGCAGGTGTTTGCAGGATTGAATCTCAGCAGCCGCTTGTTACTCTGAGGCCTTGAGCGAGTTCCTTGACCTCTCTGAGCATCAGTAGCCTCCTCCACAACACAGGATGTTGATATCTAATGTCTCAAACACAGCCCAGAGATAAACAAATGCAAAGTGTCAAATGGAACCTTGGAAGAGTAGAGTGCAGCCTGGGAGGCCAGGCTTTTTCTCGCACTCATAAGGACAGGACTGGATTTGGCCTGTCGGAGAGAATAGTGGGAATTTCTGTTCTTTTCTTGCATAATCTTCCGGCCCTGGTTAATGAATCTGGACAAAATGTCACTTAAAAGGCACACTGGTCCTTTGTTGCCAGAAGGGTTCGATTCAAATCTCTTTGCTGGGCCAAAGCAAGCCATATTTATGCCTTTGGTTCAGACATGGAAGAAACAGAAAATTGATTATGTTCCTGTTGGTTTCATCAAACCCATCATATTCCTGGTATCCTCTGACAGTCTGCAATAAAGCAGTGAGATCTCAACCCTTCCCAGGCCATGGGGATGATGGAATCTGGGAAGCTGGCATCTTCAACAGCTGCTCCCAAATTGGCTGGGCTGTGAGATGAATCCTGTCTCCATAAGAAGACACACAAGATGCTTCTCTCTTCCGGAACCCCTTCCTGCATCTGGGTCACTGAGTCCCTTTCTAGGGAACCAAGTCACACAATGTTAATTCTCTCAGCTCGTCACTTCTTCCATATTCATTGAATGCTAAGCAAGTGTAAATGGAGTCAAGATTTCGTTCTGCAAATGCCTTACATATGCAATTGCTCATTTCAGAACCACTCACCTCGCACACGCCCATGATCTGAAACAGGTTTCTCAGTCGCCTGCTCCTGAAACAGCCCTACAGGTGCCCTGGCTGATCTCTGCAACCTCGGAAGGCTTAGGTGCTTTCCAAGGCCTCCCTGAGCTGCCGTTGTGGTGTGAAGAAGCTGGAGGAGGTTGGTTTTAGAAGAAAACAACCCAGTGGTCCAGCTCTGCCACTTTTAAGTTCTGCTTCATGCTGGAAAACCTTTTTCTTCTGTCAAATTTCAAGCACTAAATTTCCTCAACATACTTTCGAAGGCTCGTGTTTTATCCGTTTTTAATTAACTCATTTTGAAGCTTTCATACTTGTCCCCAAAATATTTTCTTGGCATTTCATGGTCATTGTTTTCCTTGGGAAGGCCGCCGGTGCTGCGGAGGAGGGTCACCGAGCAACATGGCTTGGCATTTGGACACGCTTTTGTTCCCTTCTCCCCGCCAGGCCTCTCTGGGGCTCTTGCATTTACTGTTAAAATATTACAGAGGCCCACACCCGAACGTCCATAATCCCCGGTGCTAGACTGTCTCTAATTGATTTAATTATTCATAATTGCTCAGCTGGGCTTATGCATACTTGTGCGTGATTATAGTGAACAGATGGGTCTGTGGCGGATGATGTGTCCCTTCCTGATTAGCGGGTGGATCTGGAGTTTCTGGGAGCCTGTCATGGCCTTGCGGACACTTGGACAGCACCTTTAGAAAGTTGGGATGAAACCCCTTAGCTTGTTGGCTTTAGTGTGGTGCCACCCTCGAACGTTTGCTTAAAATGTTTGGGAAATTAGAATTCTTGGTGCCAATGGAATTTAAAAACAAAAGACAGACAGAAACATTGGCAAAGGGTGGGGAAGGGCAGGGGTAGTTGGGTTCAAAGGAAAGGAAAGTAGGAAAGCAAGACATGGAGTAAAGCAAACAGACACCTGTCAACTAGATAGACCCTCAGCTCATCTCTCACGGGGCTGTCTGTCTGTCCACGTGCCTGTAGAACCACAAATCCAGCCCTAACATATACCTGAGATACTTTGGGAAAAAATGAACCTGCTGATATCTGGGGGCATGCAGGGAGGCAAATGGGATGCAGAAGCAAATTCCATCCCAACAAGATGAGATATCATCAGCCTGAGGGTCCCCTAATTGTCCCCATACGAGTCTTCTTAATTAATTCAAGACAAGTAAATGATACGAGGCCTCATAGGCTTCGCGGGGCAGCTTCCTGGTGACTAATATTTGAAGCAATAAAAGGAGCCAGAGCATTCCTGCTTCTTAATGGTCTCCAGTCATCCCCACCCTCGACCCAGCCCCACACAGCCCCAGCCTCCTCCGGCTTGGGTCAGAAAATAGCATGGACCAACTTTGGGATGCTTCTGGCTTTCTGGTCATTTACAAAGTGCGTTGGCATCTTTTCCCTTGTCTGAGCCTTGTGTAAAGTCAGGTAAAAAACAGGAGATTTGCCAGGGCAGGGAGTATGATTCCCATGATACACGGAAGGGAACTGAGGTTCTGGGAGAAAAGTGAGTTGGTGGAGCCACACTGCGGGAAGAGAAGTGAGGACTGGATTCTAGGCCTGGGGAGACGCTTTCCTTTCATCTCTTCCCTCCCTCCAAGTAGAGGCTTGTGAAGAGCTCACCAGAATATCTCATTCTGGGTTCTGTGTTCCTAGGGAATGATGGTGGTCAAAGAAGCCAGGTAACCCACAGATCCCAGTACCCACAGATCCCGGAAACAGCCCCTCCAAACCACGGAGCGGAGTGAAGGAGGCAGTGTCCAGATCGCAGAGGGCTTTCATGCCCACTTTCTCCCAACGGCCTTACAAATGACCCTGGCAAGGCATGCATTCACCCAGGTCAGAGCTCAATAAATACTTGTGGTGTGAGTAAATGAGCCCCAGGTTATAACTGGGGAAATTGAGGCCAGGAGAAACCAGGTAAAGTCATAAAGAAGAGCCAGAACCCCACGACCAGTCATCTGATGCTCCCTCCACCCCATCACCCCTCAAGGGCCTCTGCAGGCAGCAGTTTAATCTGAAGCAAATCCTAAAATAGTCCTCAAGAAGATGAGCACATCCCAGCTCTAATTCGCCCTCCAAGTGCCTCGAAAGATCTTTTCTAACAAAAACACAGAAATGATTTTTACAATCCAACCAACCATCAGCTCCATGAACCTTGAGAGAGACGGGAAGGCAGCCGCAACCTCTGCGAACTGAAATGTATTGTCAGAAGGATGTAATTACAAGTATTTATGTACACTGATTCTGAACCAGAGAATCCCGGGATGGCTCTGGGGCCAAAAAAAAAAAAAAAAAAAAAGAGAGAGAAAGAGGGAGAGAGAAAAAAAAGGCTTAAAAACTCCTGACAATGAGCAATTCTTCATGGAACAAAACTATTACAATAGCCAGCCTTTGATCTTGCCCGTCTCCTGTTGCCAATTGTATTTTGTCACCATTGGACTGTCACCCGCGAGGGAGCACTTTTGAATTAAGCAGTCTACAGCAATTTAGTCTGCACTGGCTTTGAAGTGCCAACATCAGTCAGGCCAGGACTAACTTTTTTCATTAAAAATTTTTCAGCTTCTCTAAGGGAGCTTTTTGCCTTTTTTTTTTTTTTTTTTAAGCCTGCCGGGACATTTAGATAAGTTGAGCCTCCAACCCGTGGCCCCAAGACATCAAAAGGCGCGGGGTCCAGTAATGCTGGAGGCAGCCATCACTAAGCCCTAATGGAGTGCTTCATTAAGATCGCTTCAAAGGCCCCCGTTTACAGACTCGGAGATTGACTAATTTACACATTGTGGGAAAATTGCTACCAGCTCTGCCCACACCCCAGCAGGGGGAGAGACGCCCTCTTTCTTTGAAAGGCAAGAACTGCAAAAGGCCCCTCTAATTGCAGACTGGCCTTTACAAGGGAAAAACCCAGGCCCTGCCCTAAATTTTGCATTCGGCTGCCTTAGCACTCTGCGTCCTCGCACCGACCCTGGGGTCCTGTTTGTCCGGAGACAGCGTGGCACCAACCCAGCTGTGTGTGCTTTGGAGCTGGATACTCCTAAACACGTTTGGGTTTGAACTCCAGCTCTGATCCTGCCAGCGAGGAGCCTTAGAGCAAGTGACTTAACCTTCTGGGCCTCAGTTTCCCTCATCTGAAAATGGGCGTGATCAAGTCACCTCCCAGGGATATTTTCGAGGATGAGAGGTAAGGACGGCAGGAGAAGCTCAATGTGCTGGCTACTTTTACCTTAGCGTAAACATATAAGAGAGCGAAAAGGCATCCCTGAAACTGAAGCCATGTTTTCACAAGCTGTCTTCACGGCTTATTGATTATTTGAGATGTTTGCACACAGACTGGGGCATGAGGTCCATAGATAGGTGCGGGTCAGGCCCGTGGCTGTTTTGAGAACTGTGTTATGTGGCCTCAATGGCAGCACGTAACAGCATCAATTCATCTATTAATAGTTTTCCTTTGTCGTAAAAGCAAGTTGGGAAGGGCGTGATGAGGCGAGCTCTCTGGGATGCTGTCATGTGGATTCACCCACGGGTCTGAAACCAGGGCTGGCTATGGAAGGTTGGTCACCAGAGGCCCTGTGGGAAAAGCACCAAGCTCAGGGTGCAGTCACCCTTCCAGTCTGGCTCTGTCCCCAACGTCCTGAGCAACACCAACCATGCCGCCTGTCCTCTCTGGTCAGCAGGGTTCTCCTGGGACTGAAAGGGCAAGGCCTAGGTATGCCCAAAGCCTCCTCCCCAGCCTGATGACTCGGGGTCTTCACCCCGCTTGAGGCCTCAGCATCTCTGGGACCTTGTGAGAGATGCATGTTCATAGGCTGCCCGGCCCTCCTGAATGGGAATCTGCATTTGGAATGATCCCTGGTGATTCGGGCACACAGTAAAGTGGAGGAGCTCTGCCCCAATGCTTCTTTGGCCCAGGAAAACACAGTGATGCTTGTTTCCTCAGGGGATCCAGCCCGGTGACTTTGGCCTGGGAAGTCATGATTTTTGGGACTAACAGCCTGGCAGGCCCCTTGCCTACCACCCAACTGGGACTCATTGTGTTTACATCAGTGTCATGCAGCTTTACTCTCTAGGGTCATGTGGGGTCCCAAGTGAGGTAAAGGAAACTGCTGCGTCATTCATCGAGCACCTACTGTGTTCAGGCATCCTGCTGGGTGCAGCGCACCTGGTAAGTAACTGAGATTGTGAGTCATTTGGTCTTTTGGTTGAGTCATTGAGGAAGAGATTGAGTGACTGGCCCAGGGTCACACAGTCAGTGAGTGGCCTCCTTCCAAGCACCCCCTGCACCACCCCCTGCACCAGGCTGCACAGAGGAATCCCAGGGTGCCCATTTCTGGAGGTGCCCCCCCGAAGAGGCTGGTTAGATGGGGACCCAAGGGGAGGCCTGAACTGCCACGTCCTCCGGTATTGTCCCCTTCCCCTCTACTTTCTATTTGCCCATCTTCCTAATTAGAGGGAAAAAATCTACACTCACTTCCTCTATTCAACCTTTCACTTAAAAAAAAAAAATGCAACTCCCACCCCCCTGGTTCCCAGCCTCGAAGGGAAGCCACCCTGGCCAGGGGCAAGCATCGCAGCAAACCACTTAGCAAACCGCAAATTTCAGAGGCCTCGTCACATCTGCATTTTATCAGCTTTTTCCGGATAGTATTACCCCGAGCAATTGTCTGCAGATCGGCCGACAGCTGAGACGTTCAAGCTCTGAATTACGGAGAAAGGGCCGGAGATAAAGCCGAGCACATGTATCCCATCAAAGTAATGAAAGCCGCCTGCCGCCAGGACGCCCTGCTGCCTCCTTCCTAGCCGCCCTGCCGCCCCGCAGGAAGGCTGATTAACCCTTGCGAGGCAGGGGAAGAAGAGCAGCGGTCATCCAATACTCAGGCTAATCAGGGTCCCAAGAATGGGAGGGAGGCAGAGGGGGTGGGCCGGAAAGAACAGCCATCGCAGAGGGCCACTCTGACCTCAGGATTAGACCTGCTGCATTTCCTGTCACAGGACTTTGGTGGGACGGCAAAAAGGTAGATGAATAAAGGACTTGGTGTCCACAAGGTCCCAGAGACACTGCCTGGGTATTAAGCATTCCTAGAGGAGTGAGGGCAAGCAGTTTCCTGTGAGTAAGCCTTGCCTTGCTGTGAACGGATGCCATGTTTGCAAGAGTTGGTAATAATGTTTGCTGAGCACTTACTGTGGACTGGGCACCTTTGTTCCCCTTGCTTCCTGTCCCACCCCATGGTGTGCTATGCCTGGAGCTCACTGCATTGAACTCCAGTGTCTCCTAGTGAGCGGTGGATGCCAGGATGTCCCCAGTCCTCTGCTCCCATGACCAATGCTACTTGGGTATCCATGTTCTGCTCTTCTAGGGGCCTATGTGACAACTTCCCTGGCATCCATACCTCCACAGCCCAGAGTGGGGTCTCCGGGATGTGAGCTGTACCCAGGCCTAACTTACGTCCGGACTGACCAGCACGCCTTCAGAAAGACTCTCAGGTTTACAGTACACGAGAGTGCACAGCTCTCCAAGACATTCCAAGCAATGTTACTTCATCGACTTATGGAAATTTGCCTTTCTCATAGTAAGTCTAAAGCAACGCTGCTGCTTTAAAAACTACCAGTCCTTTTTGCTGAGGAGTTCGAACATCTCGTTATCCTTGTTAACCGTTTAGACCTCTCTTCTGCCTTTCACAACCTGTGGCTATTTTTCTATCAGATCTTTGATGTTTTTCTTATTGTTTGGTAAGAGTTCCGTGTATATTCCAAGTAGTCGCCACTCACCAGTTTGACTCTTTGCAGCAGCATCCCGTGAGTCCTCTGTCTGCTGCCGTGGCCGGCGGTGCCCTGGGTGGACGGGAATCCTTAGTTTTCACGCAGTCCAATTCTTCATATTTGTCTCCTTCTGTCTTGTGCTCTTAGGGTCTTTTGGAGTAGAGTCATTCCTTTTTAGGCACAAAGATATCTCCTTATGCTTTTTTGATTGGCTTTATTATTTTAGCATTCACATTTAGGCCCGTAATCCATCTGGAGCGCACCTTTTTTTTTTTTTTTTTTTTTTTTGAGACGGAGTCTCGCTCTGTCGCCCAGGCTGGAGTGCAGTGGCGGGATCTCGGCTCACTGCAATCTCCGCCTCCCGGGTTCACGCCATTCTCCTGCCTCAGCCTCCCGAGTAGCTGGGACTACAGGCGCCCGCCACTACGCCCGGCTAATTTTTTGTATTTTTAGTAGAGACGGGGTTTCACCGTGTTAGCCGGGATGGTCTCGATCTCCTGACCTCGTGATCCGCCCGCCTCGGCCTCCCAAAGTGCTGGGATTACGGGCGTGAGCCACCGCGCCCGGCCGGAGCCCACCTTTTGAAAGGCTTAAGGAAGAGATTATCCATTTTTATTGAAGTAAGACAGCTCTGTCTGATGCAGCATGCTGTTGGCTTAACTGGACCTTTGATTTCCCAGCAGGGACCTCAGCTTGCTCTGGGGCCTTGTCCTGCACCCCAGGTTCCCCATCAATGTCTTGGGGTGGGGAGCATCACTTAAAGTCTCATTTCCCTGCCACCTTCTCCACTTCCATAAGCTGCTGCATAGGTTTGGACATCTTCTCTCTGTTTTGTATTCAACCACAATACACACAAACTAAAGGAGGCCAAGATGATAGAAGATGGTTCTGCAGTTAGGACCCCTCCCACCCACCTTCAACCCAGCATTGCAGCCTCGTGTGCATCCTTGCCAGGGATCTTTGCCATTGCAGATCCCTCTGCTGTGAGGGCTTTTCTTTCTTCAGTCCTTCCCATCTGATTGGCCATCTCTCCCCTCAAGAGTCAGCTCATTTGTTCACCAATCTGTGTGATCTGTGCACTAAAGAATAATGGATATGCTGTATCTGCCAGAGTTTTCTGGGGAAAAGCAACACAGATGGACGCCAGCAAACCTCATGCAACAAAAGGCGCTATTTCCAAGATTTGGAGTAGCTCACAAAAGTCAAGAGAAGTTGAACCATCAGGCTGCAGGAAGACAGGAATTGGGTAGCTCTGGGTTTCTACAGAGCAGGAAGTAAGGGGAGATCAGAAAACCTTGGTGTCAACTCTTATCCCGCCTGGTGTCGCTCTCTCATGCCTGAAGTTCTCAGCAGGGAGCACAGAATTCGTTCAGCTTGGGTCATGTGCTCAAAAAGGGTCAGACACCATGACTGACCCTCCACCAAGACCGCTTGCAACAGGAAGGAGCTGGCTCCTGGAGGAAAACAACTCGCAAGGCTTCTGGCAGCCCAGACACGGGTCATCCCTGATGGGCTCTTTATCCCAGCTGTGGCCTTGATGAGTGCCGGACCCCTACGTGGGTCCCACAGTGCCTGCTCAAGGACCTCACAGCCCAGTGGAGGAGGCTAGTTAAGTAGAAAGTGCTCGAAACAAGGTAAAGAGTGCTGTGACAGAGGGGGCACATGGGTAGGACCCCCTAACTCCAGGCGGAGCATCAGAGAAGGCTTCCTGTAGGAAGCAGTGCTGTGCTGGGCATACACAGAGCTGCAGGAGCTGGTTGAATAGAGAAGCGGGGGAGGGTGTTCTGAGCAGAGGGTGAGCAAAACACGCAGTGAGAAATAGACAAGCAGTTGATGTGGGAATGCATTTCCTCCTGAGTAACAGAGGGGTCCTGGAATGTTCCATGTGGCCTCAGGGTCTCTGGGGCCCCACTCAGGGTTGGGTTGGAGAAGGCTGAATGCTGCGTGGAAGGAGATTTCCTATGTTTCTGATCTGGCTTGAGAGCTTTTTGATGGCTGGGAGGGCCGGGTACTCTTTCTTAAGACATTGATATAACAGCCCCAAAGAGCTGACTTGATCATCAGGGCCAGACCCCTCACCTCGGAGTAGATGAGAAACTCCAGATGAAGGGGAATCTATCTGAATGACTCATCTTTTCCTCCCCTGGGACTCCAGAAAGGATCTGCACTATTCCATTTCAGTGGCAAGATATCTCCGTCCTCTTCTCTCTGCCATTTCCAGAGAGCTCATTTGAGACACACTAATCAAAACCAACCGGGTCATGTTACAGAGGGGAAAACTGAGGCCCAGAGAGAGGAAATCCTGGCCACAGTCTGTTCCTTGAGTCTCCTTGTTGAGCTTACAGAGGGTCAACGCTGTGGGGTCAATGCTTGTGTTACAAAAAAGTCACATCCTACCTTCATTTGAAAACCATGTTGTTATCCATTCACAACCACCAGGCTGGCTAATTTTAAAAATGGAAAATAAATGTTGGTGAGAATGTGGAGAGATCAGAACCCTTGGGTGTTGTTGGTGGGAATGTAAAATGGTGCATCTGCTGTAAAAAACAGTTTGGTGATTTCTTAAAAACTTACACATAAAGCTACCATATGACCCAGCAATTCCACTCCTAGGTATATGCCCAAGAGAAAGGAAAAGCGATGTCAACACGAAAACTTGCACGTGAATGTCCATAGCAATGCTACTCTCTACTGCCAAGAGGTAGAAACAGATGTCCATCACTGATGAATGGATAAATAAAATGTAGTCTATTAAGGCAATGGAATATTATTCAGACATAAAAAAATGAGGATCTACAGTGTGGGTGAACCTTGAAGATATTGTGCTAAGGGAAAGAAGGCAGACACAAATGGGTAAACATTGCATGATTCCATTCATATGAAATTTCCAGAATTTGTCCAAGAAAATCCATAGTGGAAGACAGCTGATGAGTGGTTTACAGGGACTTGGGAGAGGGAAGAAGGAAAGTGACTGGCGAATAGGTATGGGGTTTCCCTTTGGGGTGATGGAAATGTGTTGGAACTAAATAGTGGTGATGGCTGCATAGCATGTGAGTTTAATGTACTAAATGCCATTGAATTGTACACTTTAGAATGGTTACTTTTATGCTAGGTGAGTTTTACCTCAATAAAAATTAAAACCAGGCTGGTTGCTTACACCCGTAATCCCAGCACCTTGGTTGGCTGAGGCAGGAGGATCACTTGAGCCCAGGAGTTCAAGACCAGCCTGGGCAACATAGGGAGACCTTGTCTCTAAAAAAAAAAAAAAAAAAAAATTTGCCAGGCATGGCAGGCGTACCTGTGGTCCCAGCTACTTGGGAGGCTGAGGTGGGAGGACCAGCTGGGCCCAGGGGGTTCAAGGCTGCAGTGATTCTTGATCGCACCTCTGCACTCCAGCCTGGGCATCACAGCGAAACCCCAGCAACCCCAGTCTCTAAATAGATAAATAAAACCATGTTGTTTATGTCTGAGGAACTTTTGAATGCCATTCTTACACTGTGTCGATAGAGGATGATGTGAAGTCGCAGCGGAACACTTACCAGTGTATGCCCGGTTCTGAGCCCTTACAGCTCCTCTAGTTCTCACGGCAGCCCTGTCACAAAGCTATCCTCATTATTACCATTTTACAGAGGGGGAAACTGAGGCCCTGAATGATAAAGCAGATAGCCCCATGTCATCAAGGAAGGGTGGAGCTGGGATTTGAATCCAAGCAGTTTGGCTCCAGAGCCCATGCGCTAAAGCGTCACAGTGAGACCCTGACTTCGAGTAAGAACCCACACCACTCTGAGCCCTGACACTGCAGTGTGGATCAGAGGACTAGGGTGGCGGTGAGAATGGATACCTGGGCCTTAAAGCTGCTCCGCCAGGCCCAGAGCCACCCTTCCTCAAAAGTGCCTTGCTTGGGCTTGGTGGGCCTTGAAACAACAGTTTGAGGCTTCCTATCCATCCCCAGGGGTTCCCTGGGTAATCATGATTAATGCCAGAACTAGGAGCCGGGTGCACTCAGGGCCCTGCTCAGTGATTGGCCCTGTGATCACCCACCCCGGCCCCTTGTTACCGGCCCCTGCTCCATAGTGGGCAGCCCGTGGATTCCCTAATGAATTCTGTCAGCCCAGCGTGCAGGAGATGGACAGATAGAGAGGCCAAATCCCAAAGTGGATTTATAAGTGGAAATCCAGGGATAAATGCGGGGTTGGCGTAGGTGAGGGGAGTTGACCACATCCACTGCTAAATCTCAGATTCCAAGAGGAGCTTAATTCGTAAGGCTATGTGCTAGAAAAGTCTGCATTAGCCACTTTGGCGTGAGTATATCTCTAAAACCACTAATGAAATTGTGCTTTGGTCAATCAACATTTCTGGGGCCAGTGGCATGGGTAATCACTGGGCTTGCGTTGTGCTTTTAGACAGGGAAGCCAATGTGGTCCCTGGTACACGCAGTTTTCTTCAACACCGAACGTTTGTTTTTCCATCTTGTGGGTAGTGAGCCTTTCTTGAGCCAAAATATATGTAGCTCACCCATACAACTTTATTTTGTAGAAAAGGGAGGATAAAAGCTCCATTGACCAAGCATCCGTCTCCTGCCACATTCTGCCTGAGGCAGGCCCATGTGGATTATTGCTTGAATCTGGGAAGTGGTTATTCTTGCAGGTGGGAAACTGAGGCTTTGGGAGATGGGGTACCATGTGCAGGGTCACAGAGCAAGTTGGGGCAAAACAAAAAACCCGATTCAGTGCTGTGAGCCTGAAAAGTGAGTTCTCTCTGCTTCACCAATGGTTCCCAGCAAGTGCCGTGGACCCTCAGGGAGCTGGAGAGCTGAGACTGTCTCAGAAAGCCGGCTTTGGAGTGGATGGGGTGTAGGGAGTGAGTGGCAGGAGCTAAGTACAGGGCAGGATGGGGCCCAAATGCCTTGCTCAGTGTCTGCAGTGTCCATCAACCTGTTTCCCTCTCCTGGCCACCTGGGAGAGGACTCTGGAGTTTCTTGGATTCTGGAGGTCAAACCATCAGGCATGCACTTCCAATAAGGCCTTACACCTGCACATCAGTTGAAACTCCAAAAGCTGCACAGATCTTTGGAGGACACATCCTGGCATGGCCACTCACAAGCTGTGTGACTTTGGGGCAAGTTGCTCAGCTTTCTTCTCCTACAAACTTAAACCCTGATCTCAGTCTATTGTCAGCCTAGGAATAGCTGCAATAACAAAATAAGGAAAAGAAAAGAAATTACTATTGGGATGGATGGAAAAGAATACATCTCAGCCATGTACCAGCTGTGTGCCCTTAGTCAAGTTACTCAGCCTCTCTGCGCTCAGTTTCCTTACCTGTAAAATGGGCATATTTTACCTACTTTGAAGGTATTGCCTGTCATTAAATGAGATGATACATTTAATGGCATTAAATGAGTGCTCATTAAAGCACTTAGCAAAGCTCCTTGCATATGATGTTCAAAAAACTGGCTGTTTTATTGACACCATCATCATCATCAGTATCATCACTGTAATTACCATCATTGTCACTGCCATGATTTCCACTACCATCACAGTTAGCATCAGCATTATCATTTTCATTACCATCCTTATCATTGTCATCATCATCACCACCATCACCATCACAGCCACGATCTTCACCAACATTCCCATCATAACCATCACCATCACAGCCACGATCATCACCAACATTACCATCATCACCATTACCACCACCATCATCATCATAATCATTAGCATCACCGTCGTCACCACCACTATCATTACCAACATCACTACTGTAACTATCACCATCACCATCATCACCATTACCATCATCATCATCATAATCATTAGCATCACCATCATCATCACCACCACCATTACCAACATCACTAATGTAGCTATCACCATCACCATCATCACCGTTACCACCGCCATGATCGTCACAATCATTACCATTACTATCATCATTATCATCATCATCATTATCACGATAGTTACCATCATCATTGCCATGGTTTCCATTATCATCACAATTAGCATTAGCATTATCATTTTCATTACCATCCTTATCATTGTCATTATCATCACCATCATCACCATTGCCAACACCATCATCATAATCATTATCATCACCATCATCATCACCACCACCATCATCACCAACATCAACATCATAACTGTAACCATAACCGTCATCGTCACAATCATCACCATTACCACCACCATTGTCATCACCATCATTTCTATTATTGACATCATCGATTGCCATGATCATCATGACAATCAGCATCATCTTCATCATTATCGATTGTCATGATCATGATCATCATGACATCAGCATCATCTTCATCATTATCATCCTTTTCGTCATCACCACCACCATCGTCACGACCACCGTTATTACCATCAGATGGGCTGTTGGTGTTTCCATGGGACAGATCTGTCATAGTAAGTCTGAGTGATGGTTTAGGACTTGAAGCTGATTTTTTCTGGCTTGTGGTAGTTAAAAATACTATCCTGACATTCTCTCCACTGTTTATTGTTTTAGAAAATCTATTAGAAAATTGCTTTCTTCCCAGTATGGTTCTCAATTAGCCAGCATCAGGATTTTCCACTGGCATCTCGGAATGTTCTCATCAGAAACCTCCCGAAAGGCATGATCGTTGAAGCTGGGAGATTTGCCCAAAGGCTGTCTGGGCACAGAGTTTCTAATGCCAATATTATTTGCTCATGCCCAGCTCTTTCCAGCAAACAGAGGCCTTTCAAACTATTAATATATAAACCAACAGCACAAGCACTTTGAAAGGAGAAGAGTGTGGGGGCAGGGTGCATTCATCTATCCGAGCTGCCATGACAAAATACCAAGGACTAGGTGGCTTAAACAACAGAAATCTATTATCTCACCGTTCTGGAGGTTGGAAAGTTTGAGATCAGGTGGCAGCAAATTTGGTTTCTGGTGAGGGCTCTCTTCCTGGCTTATAGATGGCTGTCATCTCACTGTGTCCTTTCCTCTGTGCTTTCGTAGTGTTGTGGGGGGTGGGACAGTGGGCAGGGCGGGGGGAGAGAAAGGGAGAGAGAGAGAAACCTGGTGTCTCTCTTCTCATAAGGACACCAGTTCTATCGGATTAAGGTCCCACCCTTGTGACCTCACCTATCATTTATTATCTCCATAAAGGCCCCATCTCCAAGTATAGTCTCATTAGGGTTGAGGATTCAATATGTGAATTGGCCGGGGGACACAAAAAAGTCCATAAGAGGAGGAAAGGGCATATTAATGAAGCATGTGCCATGTGCCAGGCATTGAACCAGGCACTTTCGTAGATACCATTTCATTTGAGTCTCAAGAGGACTCCGTGAGGCAGGCAGCATAATCTCCATTTTATGAATGAGGAAGCTGAGACCTAGTGAGTGTAAGCAAATTGTTCAATACCACACAGCTAGTAGGACCTGGGTTTTTAGTTCAGGTCTATCTGACTTCAAATACCACACCCTTTTTTAATATCAATTATTCTCAGCAAATGGCCCATGGACCCCTGGACATTCTCTGAGGTCTATGAGGTAAAATCTTGTGTTGATAGTAATATTAATATTGTATCGTAATGTTAGTATTAATACTAATACTACTAACACTAAGTTATATTTTACTCTGTTGACTAATCACTGATGATACAAATCCAACAGTGGGGAAAACCGCTAAGGCTTAACTCGAATCAAAATGCTGGCCCCAAACTATGCTATGCCATGCCATGCCATGCCATGCCATGCCACGCCACGCCATGCCATGCCATGCCATGCCATGCTATGCTATGCTATGCTATGCTATGCTATGCTATGCTATGCTATGCTATGCTATGCTATACTATGCTAATAGTTACGGTATTGTTCACCATCATGCAGTCAGTAAAACATAAACACATAATCTTCAATGAAGCAATAAAATTCGTTAAGGATTGTCAAATCTCAATCTTTGAGAATGTCTTTTCAGCATTCTGTGTGACAAAATGGGAAGCCTGCATAAAGCACTTCCACTGCAGATGGAAGAAACACAGTCGTGCAGTCATTTGAGTGGTAAGCGAAACTCACTGCCTTCTTCACGGAGTACCCTTTTTATTTGAAAGAATGATTGACAGGCTAACCATGGTTATTCGGACTTGTGTTTTTGGTAGACAATTTTTTTTTTTGAGAAAAGGACACTAAGTTTTTAATAAGGGGAACAAAAAATTGTTTTCACCAGTATAGATTCACATTACAGTACACCAATATTGACAGCATTCTCTTGTCTATTTTTGGTACAGAAGATGGTATCTCTCGGTAGACATTTTTTGAGAATGAACAAAGTGAGTCTGTTGCTTCAAGGTGAACAGCTAATAGTGTTTATCTGCAGAGAGATCTGAGCCTTTTTTTTTTGAGACAGAGTCTCACTCTGTCACACAGGCCAGAGTACCGTGGCACAATCTCGGCTCACTGCAACCTCCGCCTCCTAGGTTCAAGCGATTCTCCTGCCTCAGCCTCCTGAGTAGCTGGGACTACAGACACACACCATCACACCCAGCTAATTTTGGTGTTTTTACTAGAGACGGGGTTTCATTATGTTGGCCAGGTTGGTCTTGATCCCTTGACCTCATGATCCACCCACCTCAGCCTCCCAAAGTGCTGGGATTACAGGCGTGAGCCACCGTGCCAGGCCGAGATTTGCACTTTTAACAAAACTTAGAATTTTAGAAAGCTTGTATCCATCATTGTGAGCTTGTTCTCCAAATTTAAAGACTTTTTGATGATAGTATTAGCGAATGTGCTTCCTTTTGATGTTGTAAAATTCAGTGTGTGAACATTTGGCAGATCTTGTAAGTCAGTGAACCAGCATTTTCCAAGGACTAATGCTGATGTTTCAGAATCTCACATAGGCAAAAGATACCTCCAAAGTGCTAGACAGACTAATGGATTTTAATGTGACAAAGAACAAAATGTTCACTGATGTGTTTTCAGGTTCCACATTAAAATACTATACTACTGCTTGTCAAGTTTTTTGTGGTATCAAGAAATTATCTGAAAAGCCTATAAAAATACTTGTCCTGCATCCAACAACATATCTGTGAGGCCAGATTTTCTTTATATACTTCAACCAAACAATCTATCTCACAACAGATTGCAGAAGGAGATAGGAGAATTCAACAATCCTCTAGTAAACCAGAAGATAAAAAATTTGCAAAAATATAAGACAATGCCACTCTTCTCACCGATTTTTTTTTTAATAAAAACAAGTTATTTGTGTTAACGCATACAAGTTTTGTTATTATGGTTTTTAAGTGAATTAATATTTAAAAATATTTTTAGTTTTAATTTCTAGTGCTGGTAGATTTAGTACATAAGCAAAAGCAATTTAGGGGTCCTCAATAATTTTTAAGAGTACAAACGAGGCCAGGTGCAGTGGCTCACACCGGTAATCCCAGCACTTTGGGAGGCTGAGGTGGGCGGATCACTTGAGGTCGGGAGTTCAAGACCAACCTGGCCAACATGGTGAAACCCCATCTCTACTAAAAATACAAAAATTAGTTGGGCATAGTGGTGGGCACCTGTGATCCCAGCTACTCAGGAGGCTGAGGTGGGAGAATCGCTTGAACCTGGGAGGTGGAGGTTGCAGTGAGCCAAGATCACACCACTGCACTCTAGCCCGGACAACAGAGCGAGACACTGTTTCAGAGAGAAAAAAAAAAAAAAAAAGTACAAAGGAATCCTGAGATCAAAAAAGTTGAGAACCACTGGTTAGTCCATTTTGCAGTTGAGGAAACGAAAGCTGGGAGAGGCTGGCGATGTGGCTGAGGTCGCCATGCTGGAAAATGACCCAACATGATGGCAAGGGCTGGTGATGCGCTGCCCAGATTCCCCAGCTGTTGGAAGATGGAACTCAGCTGTTGGCCCTCTTTGGGGATTTTTTTGGCTGAAGAAAACTGAACCTGTACTTGGGCTGGAGTTATGCAAACTCACGCCCCTTTCCAGGGTCAGCTCCATCCATGGCCTGTCCAGCTGGGCATCAAGGCCTGGCCTCTAGTCCCAGCTGGGATGGCTCTGAAGGGTCATCCCTGATACAAAACCCTGGGGAAACTGCACTGCAGTTCCATGCCTTCCTCTGCTCAGCCTGCTCCCTCCTCGCCCACCCCATAGGTGTGGAGCCCTGGAACATACCCTAAGAACCATCCTGCTCACTTCCTGGGGGACCCACTGTGACAGCCAATGGGAATGCAAACTGGGCACCTCAGACCCCAGTCCCAGGCTCTTCCGCTCGAGGAAGGTCTCACATCAGCGGAGGGTTTGGTTGACACTGAATACATTTGTCCCATCCTTGATTTGCAAGCCACCACAAAGTCAGCTCCTGATACTCCATTGTTTGATCGACGGGGCGAGGGAAGCCACACAATATTCAGGATCCTTCATACTAGTGGGTCACTTGAAGAAAAGACAGTCCAGTAAAGTGCTGCCTAAAGGGAACTGATTCATTACCCAACTTTTCTCTGTGTACCTCCTGTGTGCTAAGCATCTTGCCAGACCCCAAGGAGATCTGTCCCCTTTCTGAGAGGAGCCAGGGGATGGGGGAGAGAAACCTACAGCTACAGGAAACCATTCTCTGCTTTCCAGTTGAGTGTTCTTTTCCTGAGAACCCACAGTCTACAGTTTGAGGTGTAGCTTCAGAAGCCAGCACTCTGGTCCTCAAACACCCCTCTGTGACTCTCTGCCTCAGTTTCCTCACCTATAAACTGGGATAGTGATGTACCTACCTCCTAAGGTTACCTTGAGGAACAAAGAACACGTAACAAACCTTTTGCCGATGTGAGCTATTATTAGAACTTCTCTATCCAGCCCAAGTCCAGACCCTGCATCGGGGAGATTTTAGGTCGTCTGTAAAAGGATGGGGAAGGGTATTCTGCTGTGAGGGGCCAGCATGAGTGAGGGCCTAGGGCTGGAAAGTGTGTGGCTCCATTAGTCTACCAATGTTCCTCGAGCGTCTGCTCTGTGCCGGGTCACACACCAGGCAGGAGGAAGCAGACTTGGCGCCAGCTTCACGGTGCTAACAGAGTTATGCTGGACGTGGCATCAAGCAAAGCACTAAAATAGTCACTGTGCAGCCGCCACCGTGGCTATTCAGAGAGTGAAGAGGAGGGGAGGGACTGGCTGGGGCTGAACTTAGGCCTATGTGGGGCTTTGATGGGATGTGGAGGGAGAGGGGTGGGGAGGGCCCGGACCAACTACAGTCAGCTCTGAGTTCAGTTGGAGGAATGCAGACCTGATCCTCTGCTGGCACTAAGTAGCCTTCATCAGGTTCACAGCTCTCCTCTGCCTGGGTTTGAGAGACTTCAGGGTCAAGGACAGAGCACCTACAACTCAGAAGAGCAGCTTTGAGCCTATAATTCTGGCACTTTCTACCTCCTTTCAAAGTGCATGAGAGATGAGAATTGAGCTCTCTAAATGTGCTTGTGTATAAGAGGGGAGTGGTTATCTGATCAGAACCTCGGTCTCTCAGAGGTAGGAGAAGCCTGTGCAGCCATTCCTGGATGCATGAATCCACCCTAGGACTCCCCAGACACAGGTACGTGCAGCCCTGCTTGCACATCTCCAGCGACAGTGAGCTCATTACGTCGCTGGAATGTAGCTGGGAAGCTCTCTACATTCTCCTGCTGAGGCTAAGGCCTTCCCTTTGCTAAAGGTCTTCTTCCTCTGTCTCTTGCTTTTATTGTGACCGATTTCCCTTCCAGACTTGCTTCTGGTTGACTTTCTCCTTATGTTTTGCCCTTTTACTCTTCTGCTTCCTTCCTTCCTGTGTTCCCCAGGCCTCCCGCTCCCGTGCTTTCCCTGCATCAAACCCCTGGAGTCCCATTCACTCACCGTTACCTGAGCCTCTCCTGCATGTCACAGGAACAGAGGTGTTAACTGGGTCAATCCTTGCTCTCACGAAGCTCATAGTGCACTGGGGCCCTGCCCACGTGGTGGATGAGGTGTGAGGGGCGAAGGAGAAACCATTTATAAATAAATCTCTCCTAGCCAGAAGACTGGAGAATCACAGCATGAAATGAACACGGAATTCAAACCCAGATCTGCCTGAGTGTGGACAGATCCCGTTTCTCCTGCCCCTGTCTGTGTACACCAGTGACTTTACTTTTCTGAGCCTCAGTTTCCTCACCTGGAAAGTAGATAGATTACGATCTACCTCTCTGGCCTGTTGTGAGGATAAAATAAAGTCTGGTGTGTTAGCCCCTGGCACGCAGTAGGTACACAGCCCCAGTAAGTTGGGGTCCTCCTGTCCAAAATCAGCAGGGCCTTGGAGCAGCTCCCGAATTCTAGCACCTGGCAAGTGGCTGGTGGGTCGGATTAGGGACATATGTTAGCAACTTTCTGGTCAGCAGAGGTCGGCCAAGCAATTGGCTCCACCAGACTCTGGGCTTCCTTAACCAATTTGGACACAAGAAACAGCCACAGCACAGACCTTGGCGTTCCTCATGTAACCCCAGCTCCCACATACCCAGGGAGGAGCCGTAGCCTCCAATGGTGTGGCCAGGCTAATCAAAGAGGGCCAATGTGCGCTGGGCAGCTGCTTCTAGAGGTGAGCCCATGCTACCACTTGAAGGCCAGTGTGGCTGAGCCCGGTCCCTCATGCCCAGCTGTCTAGGGCCTGGGGCCTCTCCCCACCACCTGAAAGGCTGGGCCTGTGCTCTGGTGTCAGATGCACCTCGATTTAAACTCCCTGCTGCCATTTTCTAGTTGTGGTCCTCTGGGCAAGTCACATCACCTCTCTGACCTCAGTTTCCCCTTCTGTAAAATGGGAGTAAAACGATGCACACTCCACTGAATCACTGTGAGGATGAAATGGGAGAAAGGATACTTAGCACTGCACAGGTGGTCATTTGGGAAATGCTATTTATTAAGGTGAGTTTTCCCACGAAGGCCAATGCCAGGAACAGAGCTGAAGAGAATCTGATCGCTCACATCTACAGGAAATGATAAAAAATGGAGCAGGACCTAAAACCATGCCCAGGGGGTAACAGTGAATAGCTGGCAAGGCTTGGCCTGGCAGTGGGGGGGATGCTGGCAGGTGGGAGGGGCTCAGCACATACCTGTTGACTAAAGGAATGAGAAGTCACTCAGGAGGACTTGATCTCTGCCTTCAACTACATGTGAGAAGGAAAAGCCAGCTTCATCTCTGAGGGGCTAAGAGGCAGATCAAGATGAGAAAGATGTGAGGAGGCAAGGCTCAGGGTAAGGAAGTCTCCTCCTGCAGCCAGGGCAGTCCAAAGATAGAGAAAGAAGCTTCTGGGAAAGTGAGCTCCCCGTCACTGGAGGTGTGTAAATCTGGTTGGAAGAATTGTAGGCAGACATGTCATAAAGGGATTCCTGCACTGGGTGGAAACTTTATTTCTGGGATGTCCAAGGTACTTTCCAACCCTGAGAGCCTATGATACTAGGAGAAATTTTTTCTTCCAACTCCAAGATTAGTGAAGGTAGCCTAATGCTGTTGCCAACAACCTCGTCACTCATTGCTTCATGCTGTGGAAGTGTATTTCTTGGCCAAGTAACAGCTCCATGCAGGTACTTACCAGTGGCCTTCCTCCAGGCAGTGACTCAGGCATCAAGGCTCCTTCCACCTGTGGTTCCACCTTCCCTTGAGTCTCTGAGTTCTTAGATGGATCCTGTGCATAAGGCTACACAATGTGGGAAAAGAAAAAGTGGAGGATCACACGGAAGATTTTCACCGACCAACCTTAGAAATGGTGCACTTAATGCCTCCCCATAGTCCATTGGCCAGAACTGCAAGGGAGGCTGGAAAATGCAGTCTAGCTGGGTGCCCAGGGGAAGAGGAAGTGGGCGTGGTGAGCAGCTAGTCACTACCTTAGGAGCTGGGGCTCTCATTTGTGCATTCATCATTTATCCATCCAGTGAGCGCTCAGTGAGCACCTACTGTGTGCCAAGCCTGTACCCTGGGATATAAACATGAATCGGACACAGTCCCCTCTCTGGGAGTCCACACCTAGGTTCGCAGCCCAGGCACATCCACCAGCTATTGCCTGCAGTTTGGCAGTGACAACCATGATCTAAAGACAGGATAACTGATGACCTTCATCCTAGCACCACCATGTGATATGGAAATGATCTCTCGGGCCCATGCCCTCATCTGTAAAGCAGGAAGAATACTACTGAGCTCAAAGGATGATGCAATACAAGCAAAGCATGGGAAGCCCTCTGCAAATGGGAGTGAATATTCCCTATGTCCACGTCCTCCAGTATCAGTCCTCTCTGAGTGTTTTGGGTTGGATCAGGAGATGCTGGGTACCACAGTACAACAGTGGTGGCCTTCCGCACACCCCGCAGTGTGGGGAGTGAACATGAATTTAGTCAGGGATGTAGGAGGCTTTTGCCCTTAAATCCTTGGCAGGTTGGTAGTGACCCCTCTGTCCTCACAAACAGTGGCCTGAACAGAGGTGCCCAGTCCCAGCTCCACTCACTTCAAGGACTGGAGAGGGAAGAGTCTGAAGGGAAAAGTACCTGGAGCCAATGTGTGTATTCCTCCATCCCTCAGCGCATCAGCCTCACTGGAAAGAATAATCCAGGGCAGTTTCTCTTTTATCTCAGAGCCTAAGCTCAAAGAGTTGCATTACACAGCCCTGGGGGAGTTTTCCCAGAATGGAAAAGCTTAATATCAGAGAGGTTTAGCAAGCTTCCTGCTGTCGCAGAGCTGAGTGGAAGAGCAGGGATTGCCACCCAAGTTGGCCTGCTTAATGACATCTTTAGGGACATGAGTGTCAAACTCCCAGGGGAAACCCTGGTTCTAGCTCAGCCATTTTTGCCTCCTGTGTGAGCACTACTCACTTTCTTTGAAAACAGAGATGACAGCAATGTCTTCCCATCTGGAGAGATCAGTGAGAAATATTTTGTGTAAAATCTTGGCCCCAGGTCCAGCATGTAGCAGAGAACAAACTGGAAGGTGGTACGGTAAGGTAGTTAGGTGCATGGACACTGAGAGTCAGCCTCCGCCGCTTAGTAGCTGTGACAACTTATGCAAATGCATCTTCTTTGCGCTTCAGTTTGCTCATCTGTTAAACGGAGGTGATGAAATACCTAGTAAGCATCACGTACGCATAGTTTTATTCTCATCTGTACATTGATGAGGTTGATTCCTATTAGTTTGTTAAGCTACCTACTCTTTGCAAATAGATAAGATGAAGGTGTCTTAAGCTAGAGTTTTGCATTTTTACTTTATGGTGCCTGGAAACGAGTCCAGCAATCTCAGCTCTGGGAAGGATGTTTGAGTAGAGAGAAGATTGAGTCTAGGAATTCAACTTCCTCCACTTTACTGATGGGGAACCAGAGGTCCAGAAAAGGAAAGGGGTTTACCCAGGAGCTTGCAACTCACTCAGTGCTACCCTTGTACGCTTTGCCCACCTCTTTCTGTCTTAGAAAATGATGCCAAGCCTTGGTTAATGTGTGTGATGGAAACCTGCAGAGGCTCTGATGAAGCAGTCCTGGGCCATGACGGGGAAGCCTTGCGTGTCCGATGTTAGCCTGGGCTTTGCATTTATTCTCAATGTGAGTCTCCTTTCTTCTTTCTGTCTTATGCCTCGCACATCCCCTCTCAGGCTAAGGCAAACAAGTTGGAGAATTTTAGAATTGTAGCCACATAGACCCTCAGGCAGCAAGAGGTTCTAGACTCCACATTTCAATCCTACAAACATTTATTATATTAGGCGCCAGACCCCGAACTAAGGGGATTTAGTAGTAAATAAAACAGACATGGCTTCTGATCTCGCAGTCATGCTGGGAGACAGACGCTAAACAAACACAAACAGGTCTGGGCTGGGTCATCTTCAGCAAGTTGCCCCTCAAGCCTCAGTTTCTCCATTTATAAAATAAGGTGAATGACCCCTGCTTCCCAGAGTTGACCTGAGGATAAAATGAAGTGGGTTGAGACATAGGCCACCACATTAGTAGACATTCTAAAAAGTGGAATTATTTCCTGCTCTCCCTGATTGCGGAGGGAAAGACTGCACTTGGGTTTCTAAGGCTCCTCGAGTAGCTGAAAAAGAAGAGGGTGATACAAATAAACAGAAGGGCGTGCTCTGTGCCAGTCCGGGCCAGGGCCCTCTTGGCATGGCAATTCCACTAGGTCTGAGAAGCTGAAAGCAAAGGTTATTAGCTGAAAATGCACCACTGAGCCTGTTCGTTCTCCAGATAATCCAGTTTATGTATCTGATAAAATGGGATCAAAATGAGAAACACATTTCCAAAAGGAGTTGGAAACAGCATTGTCCTTCCTCCAGAGCATTTTACAACTGCAAAATCACGGTGATTCATGACTATTTCACATGATCGATCCTCAAGCAGCAGCGAGTGCAGCACTGCAGTTACCCAGACCAGGGGTGGACTCCAGCTCCACCACATGGAAGCTGGGCAGCCATGTGGGCGAGTCACAGCTTCTGTGAGCCCTGGTTTTCTCAACTATGAAAATGGAAATAATCATATCTGATGAGCAATGCTACTGGCATGTAATTGAAACTCAAAGGGAACTTCAGAATGTAAGCTTATGAGAGAGAAGATTTGGTCTATTTCGTTGTGATACCTGCAATGTTAAAACAGTACTTAGAGCATACTAGGTGCTCATTAAAATGTTCATTGAATGAACAGTACACAACAGTGCTCAGCAAATACTTGTTGAATGAATAATTGAATAGACATAATCATATAAGTATGTCTTTCTAGCCTCACAGCATTTCCTGGAGATTTTTGTTTGTTTGTGGGTTTTTGTTTTTGTTTGTTTTTTATTTTGGTAGCTGAGACATTTCGACTCAGAGAGGTGAAGTAATGCATCCTGGTCCATGCACCTAATTAGGGGCTGCCTCTTACCTTTGAACCCAGTTGTGTTTGGTCCCATATGCCTTATATTTTCCATTGCATCTAGAAGTTTCTTGGAAGTTGTATCAATTAGGAATGCTTTCAACAGTATCTTAAGCTATAAAGCGTAACAGTAGCTTAAGCGATAAAGATGGACTCCTCTTCCACGAGGAGAAGTGGCAGATGGCAGTTCAGGACTGGGGCAACAGCTGAGCATTGGCATCATGGAACCAGGCTATTTCCAGCTTTCTCTTCTGTCATACTCCACCAGATGGCTTTTTGTCCTAATGGTTGTTGCTTTATGGTCACAAATGGCTGCTACAGCTCCAGGCATCACAACCAAGTTCAAAGGCGGGAGGCAGGAAGGAAGGAGGGGGTGGCGAGTTTCCTGAAGTGCTTTCTTCTTATATCAGCAAAGGAAAAAGGGAACCAGAGGCAGCTGTCTCAGAAGACTTTCCTTTAAGCCTTGCTTGTTAGTTTGGCCACATGGCCAATCCTGGCTGCAAGGGCGGCTGGAGAAGTGGACCTCCAGCAAAGATGGACGGGATGGCCAGAGTCGCCCAGGCCAATCATGATTGTTCCACAGGAACAGGCTCACTGCTGCTCTGAACAAAATTGGGGCCAGATGGTGAGGGGAAGGGAAAGGGGTTGCTCCCTTCGAGTTTCAATTACATGCCAGTAACATTGCTCAGCAGATATGATTATTTCCTTTTCATAGATGAGAAAACCAGGGCTCACAGAAGCTGTGACTCGCCCCCTCGGCTGCCCAGCTTGCGTGTGGTAGAGCCGGAGTCCACCCCTGGCCTGGGTAACTGCAGTGCTGCACTCGCTGCTGTTTGGGGGTCAGTCACATGAAACATTCATGAATCACAATGATTTTGCAGCCGAAAGGGAAGGGAAAGGGGGTATGGAAGCCCTGACCACACCGTCATTTAACAATCCAGGAGACCAAATCCAGTGTGACTGCCCAAGGACGGGATCTGGAGGAGATCTAGCTTTGTACTGATTTTTGGAAGCAATCTCAGTGGGCAGGGTTCCTAGAAGGCGCCCCACATGAGAGTGTTGATGTTCTCTGCGTGCTGACACAGCATTCTGCAGCCAAGCAGGAAGGGAGAGTCCCCTCATTCAGTCTGCTTTCAGTTCTTCAGATCACATCTTGGAGAAATGATCAGTAAGTGCAATGAGTGATCCTTGATGATTGCTGGAATTTGCAAAGAAAAAGGATCTAAAGAGTATGATTGGGTTAACTGGGAGGAAATTTGAATGTAGATTAAGAAGTACATGATAGAATTGAATGGATTTTAAATTTTCTGGGTGTGAGAATCATTGCTGTGGTTATGTAGAAGAATGCCCTTGTGCTAGGAGATATGTGCTGAAGTATTTAGGAGACAACTCATGTTTGTCTCATACTTGTCTACAAATGGTTCACAAAAAATATGTGTGCGCTTTTGCACACGTGCCCACATGTGCGCGCACACACACACACACCAGTCGCCCCTTATCCATGGTTTCGCTCTCATGGTTTCTGTTAGTCTCAGTCAAACAAGGTCTGAAAATATGAAATGGAAAATTCCAGAAATAAACAATTGATAAATTTTAAATTTTGCAATATTCTGAGTGGCCGTGATGAAATCTCATGCTGTCCCACACCATCCTGCCAGGACATGAATCATCCCTTTGTCCAGTGGGTCCACACTGGAGATACTACGTACTGTTAGTCACAGAGATCGTCTGCTCCTGACATCCAGCCATCGACATCATCCTGTCTTTATGATACAGGATCACCCAAAGCAGGTGTTCCTTCTTCCAAAGCATCATCAGAAGGTAACAGCAGCCTAACCTCCCTTCATCTCATCACGCAGGCGTGTTACCAACTCACATCATCACAAGAAGAAGGGGGAGAGCAGTACAAGAAGACACTTTGAGAGAGGGAGAAAGCGTTCACATAACTTTTATTATAGTAGATTGTTATAACTGTTCTATCTTCTTATTAGTTGTTAAACTCTTAGTGCACCTAATTTATAAATTAAACTTTATCCTAGATATGTATAGGAATAAAACATAGTATATATAGGATTCGGTACTATCTGAGGTTTCACGTAGCCACTGGGGGTCTTGGAACATATCCCCTATGGATAAGGGGGCACTGCTGTAATCAACTGTGCACATATCTGTATATATACACATACATATAAATACATATACACATATATATACACATGCAAAGAGAGAGAGAAGAGGGTGAGACAGAGAAAAAAGCAAATATCAGCGTTAACATCCAGTGCATCTAGACTCTAAAGAAAGGCCATATAAATGTTCGCTGTGTTATTCATGCAACTCTTTAGTAGGCTTGAAATTTTTCAAAATAAAAAGTTGGAAAAATAATAAATTAAAAATTTTAAAAGTGAGAAAGCTTAAAGAAAGTATCAAGTAAACACACAATGTGTTAGTGGGCATTAAACCGAGCCCTGCTGTGGGGCCTCCAGGTGGCCAGTAGATCCCACATTCCAGCGTCAGTCGGCCCCAGGTCTGAGTCCCTCCTATGCCAGATGGGGATGAGGTCGGTCACGGCCTCACAGGTGTGTGGTGAGCATTGTATGAATGGCATGCGTAGAGTCCTCGGCACCAAGCCTGCACCAGAAGCCAGGTTTCAAAGAAGGGTGACTGTGGTGTGGGTCCCTGTAAGTACTACTGGGCTTGGCACATGGGAAGCAGGAAATTGGATGTAACCTGTGGGAGACCCGAACCTGGTGACTTCACCTGTCTGAGTCCCTCCAGAAGGGGATAGCTGGGGATTAAAGGCACGAAAAGACCCCCCACCTTATCCCCACCACACACACACACACACACACACACACACACACACACACACACTCATATCTCCTCTTCAGGGAGATCCTGTCCATCAGCTGAGGAGTTGGGGCTGGGTGAGACAGCTGGCCTCTGTGCACTGGAATGGAGCTAGTTCCATTTTCCAGTCCCTGTGTCCCAGCACTGGGGTGCCCCCTCCTCCGGGGCAGTGGCCAGCGCCTGGCAGCTCAGAGGAACAGAGAGCTCCTCTTCCCTGGCCCTCTCGGGCAGACCTGACAATCCCCACTGCTGCGGGGAGGCTCTGCCATCCTTGTGCTAATCCCATTACCCACAAATGAAGATGTAATCACAGCCCTTTCAAAGGGCTCCCAAAGCAGATCCCTCTTTGGAAAGAGAAAAGCAAGTGCAATTGTCCGAGCCACTGACTTCTGAAGCTCCTGCTGGGAGGAGGGGATGCAGAAGTTATTTGGGGCCAGCAGCCTCTCAGCTGGGAAGGGACTGAAATGGCGGTCAGGGCAGAGACAGCCCGAGTGTGGGTGACTAGTTAGGACCAGGTGGTGGGGTGAGGTGTGCAAGGGGCTGAGGCCTCCCAGCTCCCACACTGACCTTACTGCGACCTCGCTAGAGCTACAAGCCTATGCCCTGGGATATAAACATGAATAGGATACAGTCCCCTCTCTGGGAGTCCACGCCTAGGTTCATACGCAGGCACATCAACCATACCTCTGTTAGCACCATGAAGCTGGGGCCAAGTCTCCTTCCTCCTACCTGGTGTGTGACCCAGCACAAAGCAGACACTCGAGGAACATTGATAGACTAATGGAGCCACACGCTTTCCAACCCTGGGCCTTTGCTAATGCTGGTCCCTCACTGCAGAAGATCCTTCCCCATCCTTTTACAGATGACCTAAAATCTCCCCCTTGCAGGGTCTGGACTTGGGCTGTATGGAGAAGTTCTAATCTTTACTGTAACCTCAGCTAGAGCTACATAATTTCAGCGCCTCCCACTGTGCATCTTTCAAATGGGTGCAAAGGTCTTATCTGATATGTTGCTGAGCAGCTGTGTGTGGAGGTGAAATATAAATGGTGACATGGGCACAGATGTGAGGGCCCCGTTGATGTCAACGTCACATTATATGAACAGTAGTAAACTTTCCTCAACACTGACTACATGCCCGGCACTTTTGTGATGCTACTTTCATTCCCATTTTACAGATGAGGAAACTGAGGCACAGAGTGGCCAAGTGACTTTTTCAATATCATAGGGCTGGAGAATGGTGACTAGTTTTAATGGCCAGCAAAAGCAGGAACAAAAGCTACCATCTGCTTGGAAGCGTCGTTACTTTTGAACAGAAACTCTGGTGTCTGGCAGACAGCAATGAATTCATCTACTTTTGCATAGGAGTACGGTTATCTTGCCCTTTGACTGTGCCCTTGTAGGCCAGCAGAAGTTCTGAGATTCAAGGTGGATGAAGGGATTGAACCATGACCTGGAGTGGAAAATGCATCCTTGGGGCTAAGTATGTCCTGTGTGCCCCGGGCCTGGGCTCCACGTGGCCCTCACTGCCTTCTAACAATCATTGCTGGCTATGTGTGAAGCGCCTTGTGCTAGGTACTGTCCTGTGTGAAATCAGTGGCATGCTGGGAAATGTCTGACAAACAGCCCTTGGAGATAGAACTCCCATCCACAGTATTTCTCCTCCATGGTGTAAATAATCCCACTTCCCACCATGGTGGATCTCAAGCTATCAATATGAGATTATTGACAGGGAATTGGGAGGGGTTGCACACAACTGGGTCTCCTGTGTGGCTCCAGTGCACTGATTCTTAAGAACTCACAGCACCCTGATTGGGGGACAGCACTTTTATTATGCCAGTTTTATAGATTAGAGCATTAACTCATGGAGAGGTTAAGACAAGCACTTCCCAAGATCACCTGTCAAGTAAATTCTGATGCTGAACCCTTGTCTCCAGGAACCCAGATGAAGATGCTGCCCTCTGAGCAATGGCCTGTGTCCAGCTCCTCTCTTCCTGATCTTCTCAGGGCCAAGTCTACCCCGAGTTAAACTCTACTCTCCTTAAGGGCAAGAATCCCAGCACAAAGCATGAGCACCAGGCACACACTAAGCAACAAGGAAATATTTGGAGAATTGAATTGAATGCTTTAATTTCAGTTGGATCAACAACCTTGTCCAAGGTCACACAGGGAGGCAATAACAGAGCCCATGACTGGAACCCATGACTGGAACTCATGATTGTTGACTTTGGATATGAACCTTAAGTAGCACCTTCAGTGTCAATTCTGAGATTACTGTCACATCCAAGCATGGACATGGAGAGTTCTGTTATTCCTGGGAGGGGGCAGAGGGGCCGTGGCTTTGTACTTTGCATTTTCAATGCACCTTTGTCCCCTTTCTTTGGTCATGAAAAGCATGACCCAGCACCTTGTATGTGTTGGAGGCTGGGCAAGACCAAGGGCACCTGGAGGGTGGAGGTCTGAGATTTATGGGATACTTGATCATTTTCAAGATTTTTTTTCATTTGCTGTGGACTGAATGCTTGTTTCCTCTCAAAATATGTATATAGAAGCCCTAATCCCCCATGGGGTGGTATTTGGAGATGGGGCCCATGGGAGCTGGTTAAGGTTAGATGATGTCATGGAGATGGAACCCCCATGATAGATTTTGCTCTTGCAAAAGGAGAAAAAGACAGGATAGGTTTCTCTCCACTGAATGAGGATGCAACAAGAAGATAGTCTGCAAACCAGAAGAGCACTCTCAGCAGACACCAAATCTGCTAGTACCCTGATCTTGGACTTCCCAGTGTCCAGAGCTGTGAGAAATGTTCATTGTCTAAGCCACCCAGTCTATGGTATTTTGTTATAGCGTCCAAATAGACTAAGACACATGATGTAAGTGTTTCCTAAAGTAGCATTGCACTGGGGGCAACCAGTGTAACATGGTTGGTGATATGTGAATGAACCTTTTAAAATGTTAATACTTTTGCATTTATTTTAATATGTGTTAAAAATATTTCTGGTGTATTATATCAGAAATAGTTTTCACTGCAAACAACAAGACAAAAAGTAAAGAAAACAACAACAAAAACCAGTGGCTTCAACAGAAGTTTATTTTGCCCTCTGCTGTAAGTCAGGGGCTGGCATGGCATGTGATATGGTTTGGCTCTGTGTCCGCACCAAAATTTCATCTCAAATTGTAATCCTCAGTGTTGCATGAGGAGCCTGGTGGAAGGCAATTGGATCATGGGGATGGTTTCCCCCATGCTGTTCTTGTGATAATGAGTTCCCACAAGATCTGATGGTTTAAAAGTGACACTTCCCCTTTCTCTCTCCCTCTTGCTGCTATGGTAAGACATGCCTTGCTTCCCCTTCATCTTCCGCCATGATTGTGTTTCCTGAGGCCTCCCAGTTATGCTTCCTGTTAAGCCTGTGAAACTGTGAGTCAGTTAAACCTCCTTTCTTCATAAATTACCCGTTCTCAGGTAGTTCTTTATAGCAGTGTAAACACAGACTAATACAGAGAATTGGTACCAGGAATGGGGCACTGCTATAAAGATACCTGAAAATGTGGAAGTGACTTTAGAACTGGGTAATGGGCAGAGGTTGGGACAGTTTGGAAGGCTCAGAAGAAGACAGGAAGATGTGGGAAAGTTTGGAACTTCCTAGAGACTTGTTAAATGGTTTTGACCAAAATGTTGATAGTGATAGGGATAGTGAAGTCCACCCTGAGGTGGTCTCAGACAGAGATGAGAAACTTATTGGGAACTGGAGTAGAGATCACTTTTGCTATGCTTTAGCAAAGAGACTGGAAGCATTTTGCCCCTGCCCTAGAGAACTGTGGAACTTGAGAGAGATGATTTAGGGCATCTGGTGGAAGAAATTTCTAAGCAGCACAACATTCAAGAGGTAACCTGGCTTTTTCTAAAAGTATATGCCATATGTGTTCACAAACATAATTTGAAATTGGAACTTACGTTTAAAAGGGAATCAGAGCATAAAAGTTTAGAAAATTTGAGGCTTGACCACGTGCTAGAAAAGAAAAACCAATTTTCTGGGGAGAAATTCAAGCCACTGGCTGCAGAAATTTGCATAAGTAAAGAGAAGCCTAATGTTAATAGCCAAGACAATGGGGAAAAATGTCTCCAGAGCATTTCAGAGACCTTCATGGCAGCCTCTCCCATCAAAAGCCTAGAGGCCTAGGAGGAAAAAATGGCTTCCTGGGCTAAGCTCGGGCCCCACTGTTCTGTGCAGCCTCAGGACACTGTGCCCTTTGTCCCAGCTGCTCCAGCTCCAGCCATGGCTAAAAAGAGCCAAGGTACAGCTTTGGCCATTGTTTCAGAGGGTGCAAGCCCTGAGCCTTGGTAGCTTCCATATGGTGTTGGCCCTGTGGGTACACAGAATGCAAAAGTTAAGGTTTGAGAGCCTCTTCCTAGATTTCAGAAGATGTATGGAAACAACTGGATGCCCAGGCAGAAGTCTGCTGCAGGGGTGGAGCCCTCATGGAGAACTTCTACTAGGGCAGTGCAGAGGGGAAAATGTGGGATTGGAGCCCCCACACAGAGTCCCCACTGGTGCACTGCCTTGTGGAACTGTGACCCCTCCAGACCCCAGAATGGTAGATCCACTGACAGCTTGCACCTTGCATCTGGAAAAACCACAGGCACTAAATGCCAACCTGTGAAAGCAGCCTCAGGGTCTGTACTCTGCAGAGCCATAGAAGTGGAGCTGCCCAAGGCCTTGTGAGCCCACCTCTTGCATCAGCATGCCCTGGATGTGAGACATGGAGTTAAAGCAGATCATTTCAGAGCTTTAAGATTTAATGACTGTCTTGCTGAGTTTCTGACTTGCATGGGGCCTGTAGCCCCTTTGTTTTGGCCAATTTCTCCCATTTGGAACTGGAAGATTTACCTAATTCCTGTACTCCCATTGCATCTTGGAAGTTACTAACTTGATTTTTATTTTACAGGCTCATAGGTGGAAAGGACTTGCCTTGTCTCAGATGAGACTTTGGACTTGGACTTTTGGGTTAATGCTGAAATGAGTTAACACTTTGGGGGACTGTTGGGAAGGTATGATTGTGTTTTGAAAAGTGAAAAGGACATGAGATTTGGGAGGGGACAGGGGACAGGAATGGAATGATATGATTTGGGGCTGTGTTTCTACCCAAATCTCATCTCAAATTGTAATCCCCATGTGTTGAGGGAGGGGCCTGGTGGGAGGTGATTGAATTATGGGGGTGGTTCCCCCATGCTGTTCTCACAATAGTGAGTGAGTTCTCATGGGATCTGGTGGTTTAAAAGTGACACTTCCTCCTTCACTGTCTCTCTCTCCTGCCGCATGGTAAGATATGCCTTACTTCCCCTTTGCCTTCCACTATGATTATAAGTTTCCTGAAGCCTCCTAGTCATGTTTCCTGTTTAGCCTGTGGAACTATGAGTCCATTAAACCTCTTTTCTTCATAACTTTCCCAGTCTCAGGTAGTTCTTTATAGCCAAGTGAAAACAGACTAATACAGTATGCCACAAGATCAAGGTCCATCTCTTTCTATTTTGTTACTCTGCTATGCAGGGCTTCCATTCTCAAGGTCACCTCATGGTCTAATCTGGCTGCTGCTGCTCTGGCTATCATGCCCATATTCCAGACAGCAGGAAGGAGAACAGGAAAGGAGAAAGACACATTCCTCTCTTTTAACTCACACTTACATCCCACTGGTGAGTACAAGTTATAAAACCACACTTAATGAGATGGGTATGGTGGCTCATGACTGTAATCCCAACACTTTGGGAGGCCAAGGCTGGAGGATCACTTGAGGCCAGGAGTTTGAGACCAGCCTGGGCAACATAGCAAGACCACATCTCTAAAAACATTTACAAAAACAAAAAACCCACACTTTTCCTTCTAAGAGAAGCCAGGACTGGGAATCTTTATTCCAAGCTACTCTGTGGCCAGCAAAGAAATAAGAGGTTCTTCCACAGGGAGGAAGGGGAGAGCGATTATTGTGGAAAAGACACTAGTCTTTTCCACACACATCCAAAGTGTGATTTCATTGATATTATTGCTTGGGATGAGATTAGAGTATTTAAAAGTTGAGGCCATTGAAAAAAATGATTAAGGACATTAAGTCCAGGTGACAGGTGGGTGTGGTAACCATCATGAAGGCAGTAAGAAATGGTGAGCCTCTGCATTACTCCAGGATCTGGAGTTGGTACCATTAGCATAGCTTCCTTCCTCTTGCAAAGGAGGCAAGCCTAGGCTCAGAGAGGCTGGGCGGCCGGCCCTGCTGCCTCCAAGGCCGGGGCTCACACCCTCGCCTCTTCCCAGGATCGTGGCAGCCACTCACCCAGGGCTCTCCCAACAGCACAGCTTCTTTCTGGCCCAACATCCATCACAGAGGCTGCAAAGATGGAATCCTCCCTTTCCAGCCTCCCTGGCAGCTCGGGGTGTGCCAGGGACCTGATGTAAGCATTAAAGCATAAAACAAGGTAGGGAATTTGGGACTGTCATTGATGTTGATTTTGACTCTGGGTTCTCATGGATTTCAGAACCACATATGTCCTCAGGAACTAGCCACAGGTTGCCCGGCCACCTGAAAAGAAACTCATCCAGCAAGTTCAACCTTGAATGATAAAAAGGAAAAAGTGCCAAGTGCAGTGCTTGACACGCAGTAGGCACTTACCATCAGTTTACGCTTATCAGTATTCCACACCAGGGCATTCCAAGTGTATTCATTCTTTCCTCAAATGCATTTAATGCATGGAAAGACTTAAGACTAGTGCCAGGCATGGAAAATACTCCCTAAGCGTTAGCCACTATTCTTATGATTATCATGGCATTGTTGTGATTGTCATCATTCATTCATTCAACAAACATCTATTGCACCCCCATGTGTGCCAGGCACAGCCTTGGCACTGTGGAGTCGGCAATAAAAAAGGCAGAGTCTCTGCCCTGCTGGGAGCCCAGCCCCTAAATGATTCATCCCACACTTAATGAGCTTGAGTTGTGATTCATGCCGGGGGTCCTGAAAGCATGAAGCAGGGCCACTGAGCTTACCCGGGGCTTCCCTGGGGAGCAGCTGTCATGAGTTGAGTCCTCAGGAACCAGCTGGAGTCAGCCCAGCTAAGAGTGGAGAAGAGCTCACGGGGCTCCAGAGGCTCATCCAGGGCTGCTCAGCAAACCAGGCATGAAGGCCAAGGCCCCTCCGTGCTGGCTGCATTAACCAGCTTGTCGGGCCTCAGCTCCCAGGCCCAGAGTTTGGGACCGGGCCAGGCAGGCTCAGAGCAGGCCAGGCATTGGCAGATGCCTGTGTGCTGAAGGCAGGGTAGCGCTGCCTGGCTGCCTCCCTGACCTCCCAGGGCATCTCCTTTGTGTGGCAGCACTGTCCCCCATGCCGAGCCCCTTGGGATCCAGTTTCTGTGGAGGCCGACTTGCAAAACCCGGGGTATTGTCTTGTAACAGCAGGCTCTGGGGTGGGTTCAATGAAAATCCAGCCCTGCATGTCTCTGTATTCTAACCTGAAAAGAATTATGTTACATCAATAAATGATACCCATTATGTGCCAGCATCCAGGGCTCTTAATTGACTCGGGCTTAGTTAATGATTGGGAGAACATCCACGGAGAGCCTGAGGCTCCAAAGGGAGGGGCTGGGGATAGATTAATAACATAAAGGACTGGATGGAGACACTCCGTTCAACTGCTGCTGGGCCCTGTGTGGAGCTGGCTTTGGCGTGTGACAGTACAAAGTGGGATGGGAAGATATTTGATGACAAAATCCCTCATCTTATGCTGAGAGGACCTGCTCCTTCCCTGCTGCTCAAATCAGAAGTTACAGCTTGAGACACATCTGCTGCCTGCCTTCTCACCACATTTAGTGAAGACACCCACTCTAAGAATCCTTGGACAAAGTGACCCCAAGGACTGGACCCGTCTTATCCTCGATAGTTTGGAGACTCATTAGTTTTTGCTCCCAAGGAATTCTGCAAGTTTTCTTGGAGTCCTTTCTGTGGTTTCTAAGAAAATTTAATGCAAGCTCGGTGAACATGTTTTTGGAATTTTATTAACATGCCATGAGGGTTAGTTAAGAATTCCATGGAAGCTGGGGGTCTATTCCAAGTAAGAATTCCACACTGTTTCTGTGAGAATTCATTAAGGATCACATGGCAACTCTGAGAGATTTTCACGAAAATTCATTGAGAACTCCATAGGTCTTCTATGAACATTCCATCAGACTTGTGGAAAAATTCTATGAGAAGGAGACACAGCTGACATGAACATTCTAGGAGCAGCCGAAGAAAGTGCAGCAGGACTTATGGGAGGGTTTATAAAAGATTCCATGAGGCTGCCTTGCAAAAATTCCATCCAAATGTTTCAAGATTTCCGTAGGAGTTCTTTGGAAGCCTGTCAGAACCTTAAGCACATCCACAGCAGAATTTTCTGTAGGAGTCACCACTGCCTTAGCACTACGTCCACATGTGTCAGAGCCCCAGCTCCAAATCACCAATCAGGGAGGCTCCCTTGAAAGAGATTCCTACTTTCTTTTTCTTTCTTAGTTTCATTTTTTAAATTTCTTTTACTAAAACGAAAATCAGTTTGTTAGAAACATACTCGCTCTGGATACCTGCTGAGGGTCTAAACACAGTGGATAACTGACTATGGAAACATACCACAAGGAAATGGAAGAGTTAGGACCACTCTGAAGAGGAAAGAATCTTCAAATCTTTCACTCCCTATGAATCCTGTGAAGAATGTGTGCTGATTGACAATATTTCTCACATGGTCTGGTATCAGGGGCAAGAACATGGGAGTGGCAGCCAGGAGTACCTGGTTCTAGTTCCAGGTCTGCCATTAACTCATTGTATAAGCTTAGGCCAGTCTCTGGGTCTCAATTTCCCCTTTTGTAAAATGAGAATTTTTAGACTAGGAAATCCCCATGGACTCTTCCTACCCTGACAGTCTGTGGTTCTGCAAAGTAATAATGATGGTGCTGGTAACGATGATAATGGTGGTGATGGTGAGGTTGGTATTGATTTTGTTGGTGGTGATGGTGGCGATAATAGTGGTTGTAATGGTGGTGATGGTAATGATGGTGACGGTGATGGTAGTGATGATGACGGTGGTGATGTTGGTGGTAATGATGGTGGTGATGGTGGTGGTGGTGGTAATGGTGGTAGTAACAGTGGGCTGTGGTGATGACTGATGTTGCTGGTGGTGGTAATAGTGATGGTGGTGATGGTGGTAATGATGGGGGTGATGGTGGTGATGGTGGTGACGGTGCTGATGGTGGTAGGAATGATGGTGGTGATAGTGACGGAGATGATAGTGATGGAGGTGGTGGTGATTGTAGTGATGTTGATGATGGTAGTGAAGGCTGTGGTAGTGATGGTGGTGGGGGTGGGGGTGATGGTGGTGGTGATGGTGATGGTGGTGGTAATGGTGACGGTGATGATGGTGATGGTGGTGGTGATGATGGTGAGGGTGATGTTGGTGGTGATGGTGGTGGTGGTGGTGATAATGGTGATAATGTTTGAGGTGATGGTGGTGGTAGTAATGATGATGATGATGATGATGGAGGTGGTGGTGGTAACAACGGTGATTACCATCCCTGAGCATTTATACTATACGGTCTACTGCTGTGCTAAGCACCCCCCATTCTCTTCTTAAACTCACATATTCAACCATTTGAGATAAGAACTATATTTATCTCTCCTAATTTATAGAAGAGGAGATTAAAGCCCCCAGAAATTTGATGAAAGTCACATGGCTGATAACCAGCAGATTTAGCATCTAATCCATGATTGTCCTACTTCCCAGCCTTCTCTTAGGCACCACTCCACACTGTTTCTTCTACCACTTGCAGCTCTAATCTTTTGACTTTCAAGGAAGTTCTCCAATGTATCATGCAAAGGACCTGTGATAGCAAAAGCCTCAGGCTGCCTGATTTGTTCACGTTTTGTAAACACCTACTTTCATCCCTCATCCCTGCTACATCATGATCTGCCCTTTTGTTTGCTTATCCCTGATCCAAGATTCTAATCATGTACCTCTTCTCCCATGTGGTCTATCCTGCACATACCAGGTGAATTTCTTGCAAACGATATGTACCATCACAAAATCCTTATGCTCAGAAATTTTTAGTGGATTCTCCTAGTGTGAAGGACTAAATAGACTAAGCTAAACTTTTGAAAGTCCCTTAGGACATCCTTCTAGGACCTCTAATATCACAGTCTCTGTGATAGCTCCTTAATGCCCTGGGCTGAATTCCATCTCTGTGACTTTGTTTATGCACATACTGCCTGGAATGCCTTCCTCCTCCCTCTCCATCCTGCTTCTTCTGAAAATGAGACTTACTAGACTATTTTAATCTGCAATCTAGAACATTCACACATTCTTCATCATGGAGTAGCACGATCTAAGGTTGGGCTGCAATGAATATTGTTTGGACAGCTCTTCTCACACTGAATGGACAGGGCAAGTCACTAAAAGCAAGGACCACACTGTGTCAGAGCCATGCAGATCTGACCCTGCTGCTGACCAGCTACATGATCTTGGGCAAGTGGCTTTACCTCTCCTAGCCAATTTCCTTATCTATTACAAAATGGAATGGAAATAATAAAATCTTAGTGGGCAGAGGTATGGTGAAAAATGAAATGAGAGAAGAGAAAGATCTTCCTGATAAGCTTTAGAAGTTGTAAAGACAATCAGGAATGTCAGGCACAGAGCACACTGCCTGGATTGGAAAAGGTGTTTGGGAATGTGACTTGATTGCCCTCTCCTACACATCCTCAAGCACACTGCAGGGCACATGGTGCTGTAATAATCATTTAGAGCCCCTGTGCTCCAGGCATTGTGCCAAATCTTGGCATCAAGAGTGCTTTTAATCCTTTTTCTCTCCTTTAATTGTTCTTATTCTTTTCTGCCAATATCCCTGTGTTACAGCATATATTGAGGCTTACAGACAGGATTCAAAGCTGGGTTGGCTCATCTGTTTCTTAGCCCCTTGGCTTTGCTGCCCTTCAGCAGCACACACTAAATAGCTATGTGCTTCTTTTCTTTCCTTTTTTTTTGACAAGGTCTCACTCTGTCACCCAGATTGGAGTGAAGTGGCAAGATCATGGCTTACTGCAGCCTCGACCTCCCAGGCTCATGTGATCTTCCCACCTCAGCCTCCTGAATAGCTGGGACTACAGGCATGTGTCACTACATGAATAATTTTCTTTTATTTTTTGTAGTGATAGGATTTTGCTATGTTGCCCATGCTGGTCTCAAACTCCTGGACTCAAGTGATCCACCTGCCTTGGCCTCCCAAAGTGCTGGGATTACAAGCATGAGCCACTGCACCTGGCCGCCATGTGCTTCTCGACCAAGCAAACTTCCTAGTTCCTCAGGCCTGGAGTGCCTCCATGCACACAAATGGACCACATCCCGCTCCTCAGGGAGAGCTTGTGGTTTGTGCTTGTGCGGGAAATGGTTTCTAATCAACAACAGTAGAGGAGGCTGACCTACAGGTCAAATTTAAATGCCCCTTGTTATGGAGGGGAAGGAAATTTCCACGTAGTTTTACAGGGAGCGGGTAAGTCAACAGCAAGGCCTTTGGAATCATCATTGCAAAGCTAAGGAGAAAGTCAAGGTTGATAAAGAGCCTAGACCTTTGATTCTGATGGAAAAATGGGTTCAGAGAGAAGGAGTGATTTGCTGAAGCTAGTGGCAGGGCTTGGGGGGAATCTGGAGCCTGATTCCCTGTTCACTGCACCACATCTCGACCACCTCTCCTGTGTCCCATTCCCTAGAGGCCTGGCTCTCTGCCAGGACTAACCTGGCCATCTCCTCCATGTTCTAATGGCGATGGGTGAGTGTGTGACATTTTACACTTCCCAGCTATCATTTTCTGTCATTTTTATTTATAACATCTTCACCATGTTTCTGGCCTTACGCTTGTCTCTATGAAAATTATTGAGCAGTGAAGGAGTTGAACCACGATTAAGACAAAGTCATTGCTCTCCCTAAGGGTTGTAGTGACACATGGCCAACTTAAAGAAGTATAAAAATCAAACAAGTAGGACTCATTTTTCTCTGACATAAGAATTCTGGAAATAACTGGTCCAGAATCCAGGGCTCCTTAGGACCCAAGACTCCTCAACTCACTGGTGCCACCATCCATAGCCTGCAGTTCCTGTACTCTTGGTCACAGGGCGGACCGTCCTCCACCCCCACCATCATAATGTCTTTCTGAGCAGGAAGAAGGGGTAAATGTGAGGGGCAAAAAAGCATATGCCAATTGGTTCATCCCTGTTTAAGGTCTTTACTAGAAAGATCTTCCCCATACATCCCATTGGCTACTGCAAACTGCAAGAGAGGCTGAGAATTAAGTTTGTATTTGAGTTGGTATACTGAAGGCTCCCAGTAAAACTAACGTGCTTTTAGAAAGAAAGAAGGGAAGTGGATATTGAATAGACTACCAGCTGTCTCTGCCACAGTGGAGTTAAAGACTTCCTAAAATTGTATGCAAAATGAAGAATATATACATGTGATTTTCAGGGAAGAGAGTCTACAACATTTCTTAAATTTTCAATGGGATCCCTTGGGTTGAGTACCTCTAGTCCAAACAAAGATCTGTGCAGCAACAATTCTAATAGCTTAACATTGGTTCTTCATGCCTACACCCAGTCAATTTCCTCAGCATTAAGAGCATGGGAGGCATTAGGAAAAAAATGCAAGGCTCCCAGGCAGGGATTCTGCTTTACCAGCCCAGAGCTTCCACATCACAACTGCGTGACCATGGGAAATCCCATAACCCTTTTGAACCTCAGTTTCTTAGTCTATTAAAAGGGAGGGAAAACCTACCTCAAAAACTTGTAAGAGGATATTTCTACTTCTTGCATAGAAATAGGAACAGGAACCAGATTTATTCTCCCTCCTGAAACAAATAAAAACCAAGACAAAACATGTTAAAACTGGTTTTCAGATATTGGCCATCAGGCAGCACAAGACCAAAATCCTTGAGAAAGAGAAAACAAACAAGGCTACAATTGCCCAGCCTATTGCTTGGACACCATTTCCTGAGATCAGTGCAGGGAGGCTATCTTAGTAAGTTTTATCCTGCTACAACAGAATACCTGAGACTGAGTAGTTTATAAACAACAGAGATTTATTTCTTACAGTTCTGGGGGCTGGGAAGTCCAAGATCAGGTGGCCTCCATCTGGCAAGGGTCTTTGTGCTGGGTCATCCCATGGTGGATGGCAGGAGGGCAAGGGAGGGTGAAAGAGAGCAAGAAATCAAACTCTCAGCCTCAAGCTCTTTTATAATCAGCACTAATCCATTCTTAAGAATGTAGCCCTCATAGCCCAAACACCTCCCATTAGGCCCCATCTCCCAACACTGTTGCATTGGGGATTTGATTTCCAGCACATGTGTTCTGAGCAACACATTCCAACTACAGGAGAGGTCGAACCTAGGCAGCACTTGACCATCTCCACGAGCTGAAGTGCTGGAAGTGAGAGTACAGGGAGTACAAGATGGCTAAAATTCACGCAGAGTACCAGAGGTGGAAATAACACAGAAAGGGCTGCACAGGGTCCCTCCTGAGTCTTCATCTGATCCTGTAAGTACTTATCGGCACTTGCATGAGAGGAAGCTACCCTCCTCCAAAGAATTAGGGAAAACATCCCTAGCGTGCAAACAGACCAGGAATATAGCGTTTTCACCAGCCACAGTGGATAAGCCTCAGAGTTAGAAGGATGTCAGAGTACTACAGAAGGTATTTATAGTCTTAAAAGTGGGCAAAATTGGCCCTAGACTAAAGGCTGCCTCGATAGCATCTAACAAAGATTAAAAACAAAGCTTGAAAGGAACAAATGGCTCCCAAGTTATTTAACCGTGTTGCAGGAAAAAAATCTCAAGAATACTTACAGAATATAAAAATGTCTAGCACACAAGAAAATAAGTATCATCATATGTGGTATAAAAGAAGCAATGGCATGCAGAGAAACTGTAAAATAAAATGCATGATGAGAGCATCAGTCAACAGAAACAGAACAAAAAATAACACAGGTGATAGCATTAAGAGACAAGGACCCTAAAACAGTTATTACAACTACATAACTATGTCTAAGAAAGTAGAGAAAAAATTGAGCACGTTGAGACATAGAAGGTATAAAAGAATCGAACTTCTAGAAATGAAAATTACAATGCCTGAGATTTTTAAAAAATAAAACAAAACACTTTATGAGATTAACAGCAGATTAGAAACTGCAGAGAGAAAAGATATGTGAACTTGAAGACCTAGTAATATAAACTATTCAAAAATGAACTACAAAGGAGAAAAAAACTGAAAAAAAATCAAACAGAGCATCATTGACTTGCGGTACAGATTCTAGTTTGCTAACATATGTGTATTATAATCCACAAAGGAGAAGAGAGAAAGGGAAAATAGAAACAATATTGGAAGAATTAAGAGCTAAAAAATTTCCAAATTTGATGAAATCTTTAACACACAGAGCCAGTGAACCCACTGCAAAAAAAAAAAAGAAGAAAAAGAAAACATTATCAAGGTTCATCATAATTAAATTGCTTTAAAACAGTGATAAGGAGAAAATCTCAAAAGGACCCTGTAACAAAAAAGACATTACATATAGAAAAACAATGATAATAATAGCTGCAGATCTCTCATTGGAATCAATGTAAGCCAGAAAGAAGTGGAGCAAAATATTTAAAGAACTGAAAGAAAAAAAAAAGGTTGGATAAAAATCTTATGACCAGCAAAAAGTTCTTTATAAAGAAAGGGGAAATAAAAAGAGAGGATTGAAAAGGACATACAAAAATTAAAAGCAGCAGAGCAATATTACAAGAAGTATTAAAGGAAATTATTCAGGCAAAGTAACATGAGATGGGATGAAAACCTGGATCTACACAAAGAAAAAATGAACAGCAGAAATAGTAAATGTGTTGGTAATGTAAAGGGTTTCTTTTCTAAATTTCTGACCACTTTGAAACATAATTGGCAGTTTATATTTTAAAATAACAACCGTGTGGTTTATAACCTGTAGAGGCTGAGTATGTAACAACAGCAGCACAAAGGCTAGGAGGTGGTTCATTCTTATACTACAATGTGAAGCGGTGCAATACTACTTGAAGGTAAACCGTGATAGGTTAAAAATGTATACTATCAACACTAACGCATCACTAGAGAAAGAAAACATTCAACTTTTGCCAAGGTGCCAAGGCAATTCAATAAGGAAAAGATAATCTTTCAACAAATGATGCTGTAACAATTGGATAGCCATATGCAAGAAAATGAACCCTGACATTTACGCTAAAGCATGTGCAAAAACTAACCTAAACTATATCATAAATCTAAAATGTAAGAGCTAAAACTATAAAACTTCAAGAGGATAGCATAGAAGAAAATCGTAGTGATCTTTGATTTGTTAAGATTTCTTAAGTAGGACACAGAAATTTCCAACTATAAAAGAAAAGTATCTAATTGTATTTAATCAAAATATAAAGTTTTTGCTTTTTGAAAGACACTCAAATGAAAAGGTAAGCCACAAATTCGGCAGAGTTTTTTGTGAAACATATATCCAGAAAAGGACTCATATCTAGACTATATAAAGAATTATCAGAACTCTGTAAGAAAAATAAACTAATTTTTAAATGGACAAAAGACTTAAATAAGATATGTGGATAGCAAATACTGACATTAAAAGATGCCCAACATCATTAATCATTGGGGAATTAAAACTACAAGGAGGTAGGGCGAGGTGGCTCATACCTGTAATCCTTGTGCTTCGGGATGCTGGAGCCGGAGGATCACTTGAGGCCAGGAGTTTGAGACCAGCATGGGCAGCATAGTGAGACTGTGTCTTTAATTTTTTTTTTAATTAGTTGGACATGATGATCAGCGCCTGTAGTCTGAGCTACTTCAGAGGCTGAGGTGGGAGATTCACTTAAGCTCAGGAGTTAGAGGCTGCAGTGCACTAAGATGGAGCCACTGTACTCCAGCGTGGTTGACAGAGTGAGACTCTGTCTCAAATAAAATAAAAAATAAAACCACAAGGAGATACCACCACACACACATGCTAACATTAAAAAGACTGATTAACCAAGTATCAGAGAAAATGTCAAACAACTAGGGCTGTCATATGCTGCTAGGAGCATGAAAAGGTACAGTCTCTTTGGAAAGCAGTTTGGGAGTTTCTCAAAAAGTTACACTCATACCCCCAAATGACCCACCATCCTACTCCTAGGTATTTAGCCAACAGAGATGAAAGCATACAGAACTGCACACAAATGTTGGGAACACGTTGAGCAGCTTTATTTGCAATAGCCCCAAACTAGAAACTATCCGAATGTCCATCAGCAGGTGAATAGTAAACTGACTGGGTATATCTATGCAGTGGAATACTACCCAGCAAAAAAGTAATGAATGGTAGTACATGCACACCATGGACAGGTATCAAATTAATTATGTGGAGTGGAAGAAGCCAGACCAAAAATGCACATATTGTAATGGTTCCATTTACATAAAATTCTAGAAAATCTGTCATAACAAATAGATTAGTGGCTCTCTGGAGTATCCAGTGGGGAAAGCAGGAAGGGATTATAACGATGCCCCAGAAAACTTTGGGAGATGATGACTTTTACGTTAACTAACTTCATTGTGATGATTGATTGATTTGTGTTCATATGCATCTGCTAACATTTTATCAAATTTTATGCTTAAAATATATGCAGTATGTCAATTATATCTCAACAAAGCTGGGATTTTTTTAAAGCTCGAAAGAGAAACTGAAATACTAGACAAGAAGGAGGTAACTGCATGAGTTATGCATTCCAGACATAACATTCTTCCAAGGAAGATGAAAATGGTTCAAAAGAAAGTGAGTTTCTAAGAAGAGAGCCAATAAGATTAGACATGTAAATGCTTTTCCTATGGCAAGCTTTGCTCTTAGTAGTATTCCTGAGCTCACTCATTGCAAGTTCTCAACAATCTCCTGGGGGAGGGACTGTACTGTCCTCATTTTATCGATGAGGACACAGGCACAGAGAAGTGAAGGAACTTGCTCAAGGTTACACAGCTAGAAAGAGGTTGAGTCCGGAAGATGAACCCAAGCAATTTGGCTCAGTGGCCTGGTCTCCTGTTCCTGCCACTCTCTTCTGTCCCTTGTGCCTTGTCCAGAGAGCTGAAAACAGCTGCAGTTCTATTCACAGCCCTAACGCCACAGCCGGGGTCTCTCGGAAGCTCTGTGGTTTTGGCCCCCTATGAGAGCTGTAGTACACGTTCCTTCGTTCTCTTCCCCAGCCTCCTCCCATTACCACTGTACCCCTTAGGAACATCTTAAGAGTTCCAGAACTTCCCAGGACCTTCAAAGCGGTTTTATGCCACCATGCCTGCTTATGACCTTCCTCCAATACGCATGCCCTGTTTTGCCAGCCAAGCCAGCACCTCACCTCAGGCTCAGCTCATCCATGAAGTCTTGACTGACTCAAGTCCCCATCCCCAAGAAGAATTGGCCCTGTCCTCCTCTGCTCCCATTCCATGCCTCGTAGAGACTCTGAACCTGGCCGCAGTTCAAGGGCAGGAGAGCCTGGCTGTGGAGGATGCAGGGTTCTGGAAAGGCACCAAAAAGTCATAGCAAATAATGTGGGACAGGGGAGGCTGATCAGGGCTTAGCTTGCAAATAAAATTTAAAATTGTGAAACAGATTGGGCATGGTGGCTTACACCTGTAATCCCCACAATTTGGGAGGCCGAGTCGGGGGGATCATTTGAGGTCAGCAGTTTGAGAGCAGCTTGACCAACATGGTGAAACCCCATCTCTACTAAAACTGCCAAAAAAAAAAAAAAAAAAAAAACTAGACAAGCGTAGTGGCGGGCGCCTGTAGTCCCAGCTACTCAGGAGGCTGAGGCAGAATTGCTTGAACTTGAGAGGCAGAGGTTGCAGTGAGTTGAGATCACGCCACTGGGTGACAGAGTGAGACTCCGTCTCAATAAATAAATAGATAAATAAATAAATGAAATAACATTGTGAAACTGTTTATTTTACATTTCACAACATTTAGTCCTATGATACCAATGGACTGGCTCCTGGGACCGGTCAAGATGAGATAAGAGTTGATGCTTCTGGAGATCCTGACAAATTGTAGGACACCAGGATGCGTCAAGCCAAGAGCATCATTTTTTACAGCATTCGAGGAGCTCATCAATGCTCCCAGGAGCCTCTCTCAAGTTTGGATATGCACATCCCTCCTCTGGAAGTGCCTGTGCTGTCCTGATTGAGTGGATCTGCTCTTCGTCAAATGTTCTCGGAGTTAATCCCACCAGATCCTCCTGTGTCTCCAGTTTTGCTTGTGGCAGAAGAAATTCTTGAAAAACATTGTGGCAGGTAGAATAATGGTCTCAAAGATGTCGACGTCCTAATCCCTGGAGTCTATGAATATGCCACCTTACAGGATAAAGGGGACTTTGAATATGATGAAGTTAAAGACCTCGAGATGGGGGAACTCTCCTGGACAGTCTGGGTGGGCCCAAAGTCATCTCAAGGGTCCTCGTAAGAGGGAAGCAAGAGGGTCAGAGTCACAAAAAGTAGATGTGATGAAGGAACCACAAGTTGGAGTGATGTACTTTGAGGATGGCAGAAAGGGCCATGACCCATGGAACACAGGAGGCCCCTAGAAGAAGGAAAGGGGAGGAAATGAATTCTCCCCTAGGAGGAACACCATCTTGCCCATACTTTGATTTTAGCCTTAGGGAGACCCAGTTCTGATTTCTGACCTTCAGAACTGTAAGGTAATAACTTTGTGTTCTTCAAGTCACTAAGTTTGTGGTCATTTGACACAGCAGCAGTAGGAAACGAATGCCATTTTTATCCACTTCGAGGAAATCGTGCATCTTTGAAAACTTTGAAATTTGCTTTGCAGTCACAGTGGGAGCTGGACGCATGGTTGATGTTCTGTGTCTGCCCCTCCAGTCATCCCACCCAGGCCCTCATTCTCCTATGAATGTCACACAGCCAAGTCCTCCCTGGGAACTGCCCTCTGCAGAAGATAGCAGCCTCACCCAAGGTTATGACCCCTCTCCACTGGGGCAGCCTGCATTGAATGAACAGTCAATCCCAGGGGACAGAGTCTGGCCTTGATTTGGATAGTTTCAGGCTCATCCCAGCTTCAGAGCTCCACGTGGTGCTCAGTGATGGCTGCATCACGTTTTAGCTTCTCCCCTGTCTAAGGTGCTCCTCTCTCTCCCTCCTGGGCATTGCTGCCCAGAGCACTCTCCAGGAATTTTCTGCATGCAAATCAGCTCTCAGACATGTTTCTTGGTATACTCCATGTAAGACAGCAAACATTTAGATTGTGTTGCTTGCAGTCAAGGGAGTCAGATGGCCTCAGGCTGGTCTGCCTGGAGCAGAGACAAGGTTTGTGGTTTTAACAAGATGATTGATGGAGGTGAGCAGAGAAGGCCGTTTGCTGGGGATGACAGTATATGTAGTCCATTCACTTGTGAGGCTCTTCCTCTTACAAAGACCTATGTTTGTTTCCTTTGCTGCACAGTACCTGCCAGGGCTTGGATAATGAACCCATATGTACAGGGACTGCGTAAACTTGTCTTTCTGTGTCTGCACATCCCCTCCAGACAAGCCCAGCTCAGCAGCCTGCTGGATACCACTAAGTAACCCTCATCAATGCCAAATAAACCAGAGAATCATCCTGATGAACCCTGACCCCTCACCCCCAAATCATGACATAGAATAAAATGTTTTGTGTCACTAAGTTTGGGGCTGTTTGTTACGCAGCAGTGGAAACATGGAACAGTCATTTGGACTGACCTTTGGACAGTCATTTGGAGAGGTGACATCATATTAAATGAGTAGCAAGTACCACTGCAGGAATTAGTGGGGGTGGAGGGAGCACCTCCAGATCGGAAGGGCAAAAAGGAAAGTTTTGAGACTGTACTAAGTGCCAAGCCTCAGGCAAGGGCTTCCACCTCTGCTATCTCGAAGAGTCTTACAGTCCTTGGGTGAGGTGGGAAAGCCTCTCCCCATTCTACAGAGGGGCAGATGAAGGCCTGGAGAAAGGTAAGGTGACTTGTTCAAAGTCACACCACTAGTTCCTTGCATTCAATTATTTACCAATTAATTAATTAATTCAACAAGTATTTCATGAGTGTCTGCTATACGGCAAGCTCCATGCGAGTTCCTGGGGAAGCATCATGAAAAAAAGAAAGGGTAGAGTTGGTAACAGGGATTGGGAGTGCATTTGGGAGAGAGGGCTGCAGATGCAAGTCAGGTGGTCAGAGTGGGCTTCTCCAGGAGGGAACACTTAAGCCAGTATGGAAGGGGAGAAGGGTGGGAACTTGCGGTCTAGGAAAGCTTCCTCCACAGCTCTGGGGCTCAGGTCTACAGCCTGCGGGGCATAGATACTCCTGAGTTTTCCGGTATAGAAACCTGCACCGCCTTCAGCTGTGCTGGGCACTGCCTGGGCCCTCCATTGGAGGCAGGGCAGGGCAGGCAACGTGGCACCAGATAATGATGCCTCTGTGTCGCCCACACTGGCCGCACCAGCTGCAAGAGCCATCCGGTGGCTCCAAGTTAATTGCTCCAGAGCACAAGGGGCTGTATAATTTGGATCAAAGGGCCCCTCTCTTGAAGTCTTAATTGTGGCACTTCACGCTGCCCTGGGGCGAGCTGAGCCACAGCAGCACTGCCTCTGGGGTGGTGCCTCTGGTCTCAGCTTTGCCACTTGCCACTGTGTGTTGTCTACCTTTCCTGGCCTCAGTTTCTTTGCCTATAAAATGGAAGTGAAAAGATCCTCCTTCCCACTACCCCCTACCGTAGGCGAGGATGAAGTCAGGAAGTTGGTATGCAAATAATGTCATAAATACGTCTTGAATCCTAAGTCCTACCTACCCTGGACAAATTACTGTTCTTTGAACTCACCCTGGTTATTGATCCATCCATCCATTCATTCCGCATTGCCTGTGTGCCCATTTTGTGCTAGGCATGGGTTCTGGGGTTGCAGAGGTGACCAAGACACCGTCACTGGCCTCTATGAGCTGACTGTCTGGAGAGGGGCAAGGGTTGAGTAGAGAACCACAGTCCTGCTGGGAACAGGGTCTTTGGGCTGGGCTTTGAAGCTCACACAGGAGTCTGCCCCTTTATGGGAGGACATCCCAGCGGAGGAAACTGCACATGCAGAGGCAAGGCATGATGCGGTGTGTCAGTGGGGAATGCTCACTGGACAATGGAGGCAAGGGCTTTACAGGCCAGCAGGGGAGTCTGGACTTGAGAGCCATAGAAGGGTTTTAAGCAAGGGAGAGATATGATCGGCTTTATCTGGGGGGAGGGATCTCTTGTAGCAATGTGCAGGCCAAAGAGTGAGAGGCTGGGGGCAAAGCGATCAGGAAGGAGGCAGTTGCAATGGCTTAAATGGGACTTCATTCCTACACTCCGTGAATACTTTTTGAACACCTACTGTAAGCCAAGCACTGCGCAGGCTCTGGGAAAGTGTGAGACAACGTTTGCACTCTAATGGGGAAGAAGACAATAAACATAAATATGTCAGGAAGTGTCAGATGCTGACAAGAGCTCCAGAGAAAACTCAAGCAGACGTGAAAGGGTCCCTGGGGTAGGCAGGCCCTTAGCATCCCTGCTCCGTGCCTTCTGCTTCCTCTTCCTGGACTTCAGGGGCTGGAAAGCTAAAAACTACATTTCCCAGACTTCCTTGCAGTTCTGGATCCAAGACAAATTAGGTTCCATCAAATAGATGCATCTGGAGCCCTGGAAGAACAAGCAGGGCGAGGCCTTCTTTCCAGCGCTTCACGCTCCTTTTTGTTGGCAGCCAGGGCACGTTTCTGCCGCAGTCAGCGTTCCAGTGGAGTGTGGTTCCTGCAGGTTCCTAGAGGGACAGTTTTAGCAGTGGTTGCAACCTTCTGATTTCCTCTCCCTGATCCCTGATTATAGCCATAGCTGTGGTCCTTTACTGTTGAGATCTAACCTCCTATATAAAGTGTGCAAAAGTGAATTCTTGATTAGTTTGTTACATGTACACATACATCCATGTAACCACCCCATCGTCTAGCTATAAAGCATTTCCATCTGCCCAGTGCCGTGGGCCCCCTAAGCTCCGCAGTCGAAGCGGTGACCTTCTGGTTTCCCATCTTACCATGGTGGAAACCTTAGTAGCCACCCTGGCCAGTCACTCCGAGGCGGTTCAGCCTCCAGCTCCTCTTTAGCCTTCCCAAGAGGTTTGCAAGCACCTCATCCCCTGTTAAGTCTCTGAGAAAACAGAAGGGGCCTTGGGAGTTGGTGTTGCCAGATGCAGCGCACAGAGGTTTGGGATGATGCCTCCTAATATGCTGTGCGGTTCTGGGTAGGCAGGAGGTAGAGAGAGGGGATGGCGGCATTTGGTGGTACACAGAACAGAGGAGGTAGAACCAAGGCTGCTCCCTGTGCAGTTTCCTTGGCCAGAAATGCCCTCCCCACTACTGCATTGTGAGTAGGAGAGTGGGTGCCACCTTCAAAGCTCAGACGCCACAGCTTCCAGAGGTCTGCTCTGACCCACTAGGTAGATAGATCAGCACCTCTGCACCTGTGAATCTGGGCCAAGCAGTGCTTTGTTATATATAATTGTAATTGTGCCTTGTACACAATTCCATCTTTAGGACAGTGTGTCCTGGCAGGGACAAAGGGCAGGGATGCTGTTCTTCCTTTGTTCCATTGTTCACCACCGTACCTGGAGTATCAGTCATCTCAGCTTGACCGTGAGTTACAGGTTCTCAGGGATTTCGTATCTTAGTTATCTGGGTCCCTGCGGACCAGCACGGGTCTCATCCTTCTCCATTGCTAGAGAGAATATCAGGAGCCATGTGGCCCAGGCAGGGGGCAGCCTCTGTTACCCAGAGCCATAGGACTGCAGGGAAGCAGAATGAGGAGCAGGACCTCAGGGGGTCCATGTGGCCGGTGCTGCTGCCCAGGGCTGTATTCTACATGCTCCAGGCTTTCCTGTGCGTGGCCCAGGTATGGGGTTTCAGGAGGGCCAGGGCTGGGCTGGCATCGGCTTGGCCACTCAGTGGGTGCTCACTGACAGTGAGTGTTTAGCTTTATGTTCCTGGGGAATCAGATGGCCTCAGTTCAAATCCCAGCTCTGCTACCTGCCAGCTTCAGGGCCTTGTGTGAGTCTCTCAACCTTCTGTGTCTCCATTTTCTCATTTCTGAAAGAGGGACAGCTATTCATAGGGTTTGCCACAGGTCTGGTTCCTTGGGAAACAGATTCTGTGATTCACGTGCCCAAGATTTTAGTGGTGCATCTGAAGGAACAAGTGAAGCAGGGCTCAACAGCATGGCAGAGGTGACAAGAGTCAGGAGAGGCCGCTCTGCAAATGGAGCAGATCCAGCCCCTTGGGGTGGATTTGGGGCCACTCCTCCTTCCTGTCTTGGCCAACAGGACTCTTTAGTTAAAGGCAAATATGGCGGAGGACTCAGGAATAAGCCTCCGCCACCAACACGTACTGCAACACAGAGCTGTGTCCCTCCTGAACCATGTCATCTGCCATAGCCTTGCTGTGAGAATACAACAATTACTGTTTTTCTGTGTTGGTGAGGCCAGCAGTCACAGCTCTTCTGGTGAGAAATGTTATTATATTTGTGGGGAGCGGCATTCAGGACAGCTCATGCAAACCCAGGCTAACCAGGCCTACAGGTGAGGGAGGGGCAGGAGGCAGAGATCACGGGCGAAAACAATCTGTGCCCAAATTCTGGATGGGGCCTTAACTGCAAACGAAGAGCCCATCGGTTTGGTGTGTCCCAGGAGGCAATGCCAGGGAGAGAACAGGTGGCTGGAGTTGTCTTGGGTCTGTCCATGTTTCCCAAATAAAAAAGTTGTGCACCAAGCAATTCCCCATTTAAAAAAAAAAAAAAACTTGATTTCCCTGTGGAACATAAACTGTAGCTTAGCATTTCTTGGCAGCCAGTGGTTTCCAGAATTTCATGCAGGTTAAAAATAAAAATGCAAAGCATTGTGATAATCCCTTCTGTTCTCGCGGCTCTTTCCACTTTGCCAAGTATTTTCCCAGCCATCTCGCCCCACAGATCCCCACCACAATCTTTCCAGGCTGGGAGTTTTATTCCTAATGATAGATGAGAAAACTGAGGCACTCAAGGCCACAGAAAGGGAAGCAAGATCCCCCAGACTCAGGCCAGGCCCGTTTGGTTCCACATGGAGCAACCTTCTACTCGGCCACTTGTCTTCTTAATGTATCAGGTGAGATCGGGAAAAATACTAAATATCACATCACTAACGTGTTCAAAGCCAACTGGTATTCCCAATAGGGTTGGAATTGATGTCCTCGTCCTTCCAGCTTAAACCTGGGGGACATTTTCCTGTCTATGTCTTACTTGGTGTTACCAGTCAGGGTCCAATGGGAAAGAGTATTTTCAAGTATTTAATAATGAGACTGTTTATAAGGGCTGGGTAGTATTTGCAAGGGGATGAGTGTGGAGCTCATCCTCAGCTACAGCCCCATTTGGGGGTCAGGGTCCAAGAACTCAGGGGACTGGGCCACCATCCTGGAGGAGGGAGAGAAGGGGGCCTGTGAGCTCAGTGAGGGAGACTGGATCCTCTTCCCACTGACCAAGACTGTGTGGCCTGCAAGATTGGACCCAAGGTCACAGGCTCATGGCAGCTGGGCTCAGGGCAGCTGGGTGTTGAACAAATGAAGGGCTTGCCAGGATTCAGGTCTCCAGAAATGGCAGCTCAGAAAAAGGTCTCTCCTCCAGGTGGAATCCAGCGGAGAATGTTACCTGGGGCCTGGGGCCATCACCCCCAGGCATTCGTGGAGGCCCCCGTCTGACCACCTCCTTGCAGAGCTGTTAGCCCATCTCACAGTCTGCTCCACCACTTGCTAGCTGTAGCGGTGTCACCATGCACCTGTTACTCAATGACTTTGAGCCCCAGGCTCTAATACACAGCAATAGACTGGGTGCTTGAGGTTGTTAATTTGTGAATGCAAGATATACCTAGAGTGTGCTCATAAAGTAATCTTCTGAGAAAGAAATGCCATGAAGGGAAATGGTGGCATGGTATCATGGAGCTGAGCCACACACAGATACAATATCATATAGTTCCTCTTGCTTCTTCCAGGAAGTCTCCCCAGACTGGTGCTACCCTCCGTCTGGAATGAGAATCTCCTTTGGGCTCCCACATTCTTCGTGCCTCTATCATAGCATGTATGAGTCCACATCTCTGGGTCCCTTATTGGCCATTCCTCAAAACTGTGAGCTCTTTGAGAACAGGAACCTTGTCCTTTTCTCCCCTATAACCTCAGATCTAGCATATTTCCTGGCACATAGGAGGTGTTATAGACAATGTTTGTATGTCCTCAACATTCATCTGTTGAAATCTTGTCTCCATTGTGATGGCATTAGGAGATGGGGCCTTTGGGATTGGGACTTAAGGGTGGAACCCTTATGAATGGGATTAGTGCCCTTATAAAGGAGAACCCAGAGAGCTCCTTCCCTTTTCTGCCATGTGAGTTTACAGTAAGAAGAAAGGCCATCTATGAGCCAGGAAGTGGGCCCTCACCAGACAACAAACCTGCAGGCACCTTGATCTTGGACTTCCCAGCCCCCAGAACAGTAAAAAATAAATTTTTATTGCATAAGCTGCTCATGTTATGGTATTTTGTTATAGCAGCCCAAATTGACCAAGACAGAAGGCCTATCCCTCATCAAATAGTTGTTAAATGAAGAATGAATAAATGAATGAATCAATGTATCCTTCAGCAATGCTGTGAGGCAGGTGGAATAGACAGTATTGATCCATCTTATAGAAAGGGAAACAGATTCTGAGAGTAGAAGTCACTCACCCAAGGACACAGCAGCAAGTCTGTAGTTGACCTTGCATTAGAAAGTTTCAAGGGTTTTGTAGGATGATAAATCCTGGTCTTGTCTTTTGTCTAGCTGTCTTCTAAGAGCACAGCCCTGACCCTAGAGAATTCCTCCTGTTCTGCAAAAAGCCAGTGGAGGCCCAGGGGCCTGAAATAGGCCAGGGGAGCAAGGAAGTGCTGTTTCTCACTCAGAAAATAATGGCACCCAAATCCCTGTTCACCTTATTTAATGCTCCAAATTTTCTGAGAGGTCTAATTGAACATTCCTCCGTGGAACCCTCTGGGTGGAACAATTAACCGGCCTCTTAGCAGCGAGTAGCTCCCTGGGCAGGCCCCAGATTTATGTCTCCTGGGGAGGCAGCCTATTAGCTGTGGCCATAAATCTCGGGGCCCTGGCTGGCAAGGTGGATTTTAATAAAATCATAGGGGACGGAGCCAGGCTGGGGCAGCAGATTTCCGGGGGGAGAGCCAACATTTGCCTGTAATTAATCGGGACGACTTTGAGCTCTGGGGAAATGCCCAGGATTTTAATGAAAATTCAGGAGCTGGAAGCAGTGACCAGTTGGCATCCACATCAGTGTCCCAGCTGGGATTGGGGATGCAAGGAACCTGGGGGAGCTGGGGCCACCCCTGCCAAGAGGTCTTGACATGGGGTGTTATTCAGTGGACACTAGTACAATTATCCTGCTTAACTGTTAGAATACTTACATACTAGTTGGTAAATTGTTTCCTCAGCCCCCTATGGGCCTCCCACTTTCTAGGCACCCTTGCACAGGAATCCCTGGGCTTCCTCATAATCCCAAAACAAAAGGGTAGATGCCTGGCCCAGCAAGGGGCTTCCTGATCCTTCAGTCTTCTTGGTCAGTGCTCAGGGCCTGAACTTGGCTGTCCTGTTAGCCAGGTCTGCACATGTTAAGGTGCCCTAGGGGCCCACCCAGGTGACCCTCTTTTCATCTCTCTTCTCTCTACATTCTCCTGCCCATCTATATCTCCAGTTCATCCCCCTCTCTTGAGCTGCAGATTCATATCCTCAACCACTTCCTTGACATTTCCTCTGGAAATCACGGACATCACCTCTCCAACACATCCAAAACCAAACAGCTCCTCCCCAAACTTGTTCCTCCCTCCTGCCTGGGCCCTCCATCCTGATCTTAATAAACGCCACTACTTTTGCTTCATTTACTCTTTCAGGCCAAAATCTCAGGGGTATTCTTGGATGCCTCCCTCCATTTCCTCATCCCTCAACAAGTCTTGCCAGCTCTTCCCCCAAAGGTCATGTCACCCAGTTCCTTCCTGGTCCTAGCTGCCATTGGATGCTGCCTGGATGGCTGCCATCAACTCCTACTTTGTGTCCTTGCTTCCATTCTTGCCTCCCTGTCTTCTCATCCACACAGTGGCCCAGGAGAGCTCAAATGCCACTCCCGAGAGAGACTTCCCCAACCATGCCAGCATCGCGATAATGGGCGCTGAGGCTTCCTGAGCAACAGACCCTGTCCCAGGTGCTTCACATGCTCCTTGTTCAACCCTCTGGACAACCCTGTGACAGCATGTGCTATTGTCATCCCCATTTTTCAAATGAGATACAGAGATGTTAAATAATTTGCTTGAGGCCACACAAATGGTTGGTTTCAAAGTCTGTGCCTCCTGTTCCAAGGAGACCTCCCCGCCCCAGCCTCCTCCTGCCCCAGCTCTTGTCCCAAGTGTCCCCCGTCTGCTGTTTATTTCCCTTTAATCACACCTGTTTGCCATCTGACCCCCAAAGCCTGCGATCTCCTGGAAGTGGGACCTTCACTCTTGTTCACCAGCTCCTGGCACACAGTGGGTGAACCATAAAGATGTGTTAACTTGAACCCATTTTGTTGTCAGCGGATAGAAGGTGGGAAACTATTTTGGAAACCACGTAGTCCCCACGTGTGTCCCAGATTGGCCAAAAGGTTTTTCCTCTTTGGGAAGGGATCAGCTGTCATGCTGTATGGAGCAAGTCCCCGGAATCCCACCCTGGGGCTAGACATATTCTCCTGTTACTTTTTATTATGGGAGGCAGGGGAGAAAGATGCACGCTGTCAAGGATAAGACTGGGGATTTGCTGAAAGGGTAGATCCTGTGTTAAGTGTTCACATCACTCAAGGAAAAGGACAGAGGAAGGGAGGGAGGGAAAGAGAAAAAAGGAAGGAAGGGAGGGAGGTAAGGAAGAAAGGAAGAATGGAAAGAAGGAAGGAAGGAAAAGAGAGAGAAAGAAGGGAAAGAAGAGAGAGTGAAGAGAGGAAGTCAGAAAAGTTTGTAAGAGTGGGAAGGGACCTTAGAAATCATCTAATCATTACTTCATCTATATTGTAAATATCAGTGAACCTGAGACCCTGGCGAGTAAGTGACTTGCCCAGGGTCATGTAAGTTCCTGGTTAAACTAAAACTACTTAGGAGCCAGCTCTCCTGTCTCAAAGTCCAGGGTACCCTGTATGTAGCAAAGAGTTCTTCTTATACTCAGACAACACTAAAACTCAACGTCTGGCTTTTTTCTCTATCCCTGGAGAGCTAGTTAAGTGTATCTGGATAAACCAGGCCATGTTCTGGGGAAGGTGTTTCAGAGAGAGGAAGATGAAAACTGTAATCAAGACTAGTCTAAAATCCATATAACATAGGCCACTGCCTGGATGGTGGAACTTCAGGATCATAGCAGAGCTTTTTCCTCTGACTGAAAACATCTCCATGATGTTGTATCCTCACAATTCTTTATCCAGGACAAGGCTTTTTAGTCCACAAAATTTGATGTTTACTTGTAAATGCCCTTGGTAGGCAAAATATACCTGAAAAGTTGCACTGGGCTTAAATG